>NC_000008.11:21981314-22284345 GCF_000001405.40 Homo sapiens | reverse complement strand
CAGTTATTCCAGGGGAACTATTTTTTTTACTGCCCTTTAAGAAGTGAACAATACAAAGGAAAGCTGTGAATACCTGAAAGTCACATGATATTGATAAACTGCTTCATTATGACACTGTATTTTGACGAGGTTCAGTCCCAAAGACTGAGGTGTTCCTTTTGATCCTTGCTTCACAATAAGCTCTCTAGAAAATAAAAACAAAAAGCAACTGCATATATCAAAAACAAAAAAACAAAATAACTAACCAACCCACACAACCAACAACAAGAAGATTGGGGGAAGTAACATTTTTTCACATTTTGCTACAGATACACATATCAAGAGGCAACACTTACAGAAGCAAGCTCTGAAGGCTAGAAGGCAAATCGTTAGCAAGACCTAATTAGATAAGCAAGGTCACCCTACCTTTCCTAGTAACATTACCAAATAAACTAGTCCCATTAACTAGGAACACAAGAATGAGTTCTATGGAGAAAGATGAAGCGTCACGATATTCTTCCTAAATTATTTCCTTATCTTCAACATGACAAGGAATTGTCTCAATTGGGAAGGAAACGAAAGGCCGTGAGTCCACTCATTAGTTGCATGCTATATGTCCACTGTCAAACACATCTAACTTCAGAAATTGTCCCACCTTGGCCGGACACAGTGGCTCACACCTGTAATCCCAGCACCTTGGGAGGCCGAGGCGGGTGGATCACGAGGTCAGGAGTTCAAGACCAGCCTGGCCAAGGTGGTGAGACCCCATCTCTACTAAAAATACAAAAAAATTAGGTGGGGGTGATGGCGGGCGCCTATAATCCCAACTACTTGGGAGGTTGAGGCAGGGGAATTGCTTGAACCCGCGAGGCGGAGGTTACAATGAGCCAAGATTGCACCACTGCACTGCAGCCTGGGCGACAGAGTGAGACTCCGTCTCAAAAAGAAGAAAAAATAAATTGTCCTATCTCTTTGTCAATCTCCCACTGGCAAAAAACAAAACACCCCGCAGTATTATTACCCAGGGAGGACCCAACACAAACAGATTTTACAATACTACACACGAGCCAAAATGCAGAGTTTTCACGATCATTACTAAGTAGAGAAGGCAGTGCTCCTGACTTACTTTTCCTTGTGTTCCACAGTCAGGACCAGAGGGCGATCTGGAGAGTGCAGGGGAGACTGGGGCAGAGCTGGTGGTGATGACAGCTGCGGGGGACCCCGGGACGGTGTGCTGAAGGTACAGGGAGGCTTGTCCACTTCTCTGCTGATACCACCTGCTGCTCTTCCCAGTGGTAATAAAGACGCATCTGAACTCCCTCTTCCAAGCGTCCTGAAATGTGGAGAGAGAGGCAAATCAGGGTTTTTTATAATAGCTATGTCCCATCCAGATTATTCCCCCAACTCCACAATCTCTTCCTGGAGGAGACAGCAAAAGGGATCCAAGTTTCAAATTCTCTCAAACTACATATGCCAAGGCCAGGCACAGTGGCTCACGCCTGTAACCCTAGCACTTTGGGAAGCTAAGGTGGGGAGACTGCTTGAGCCCAGGAGTTCAAGACCAGCCTAAACAATACAGTGAGACCCCGCACTATAAAAAATACAAAAATTAGCCAGGTATGGTGGCTCATAACTGTAGTCCCAGCTACTCGGGTGGCTGAGGTGGGAGGATCACTTCAGCCTGGGAGGTCGAGGCTGCAGTGAGCTGAGATCACACCACTGCACTAAAGCCTGGGTGACAGAGATAGAACGAATTTCAAAAAAAAAACACAACATATGCCACCATGACTCATTCACCAACTGCTATTGACTGTCAGAGCCATCTTCCATAGCAGAATAGAGGAGAAAGTTTGACTCAACGTTATTAAAGAATCACCACGGCTGCGTGCAGGGGCTCACGCCTATAATCCCAGCTCTCTGGGAAGCCAAGGCGGGAGGATTACCTGATGTCAGGAGTTTGAGACCAACCTGGCTAATAAGATGAAACCCCGTCTCTACTAAAAATACAAAAATTAGCTGGGTGTGAGGCGGAGGTTGCAGTGAGCCAAGATCGTGCCACTGCACTCCAGCCTGGTGACAGAGTGAGACTGTCTCCAAAAAAAAAAAAAAAAAAAAAAAAAAAGCCGGGTGTGGTGGCGCACACCTGTAGTCCCAGCTACTCGGCACACTGAGGCAGGAGAATCGCTTGAACCTGGGAGGTGGAGGTTGCAGTGAGCCAAGATTGCCCCACTGCATTCCAGCCCGGTCAACACAGTGAGACCCCATCCCTTAAAAAAAAAAAAAAAAAAAAAAGTCCACGCACAGTGGGGCTCATGCCTGTAATCTCAGCACTTTGGGAGGCCGAGGTGGGTGGACTGCCTGAGGTCAGGAGCTCAAGACCAGCCTGGCGAACACAGTGAAACCTCGTCTCTACTAAAAATACAAAAAATTAGTTGGGTATGGTGCCACATGCCTGTAGTCCCAGACACCTGGGAGGCTGAGGCAGGAGAATTGCTTGAACCTGGGAGGCGGAGGTTGCAGTGAGCCAAGATTGAGGCATTGCACTCCAGCTTGGGAGACAGAGCAAAACTTCATCTCAAAAAAAAAAAAAAAAAAAAAATCACCATGATCAGGGTAATTTTTTAAGAGGACAAATGAATTTTTGAACAGCCCAGTGGAGAACTACTTCTTACCCTTTTCCAATGCCTAGCTGTGTTAACAGCTGCTGACTACTCTTGAGAAATATGCATTCTTTAATATAAAACCAGACATTGATTATGAGATGACACAACTCTTCTTAGAGTTGCTCTCTGAACTTACAGAGATATTCCATCTGAATTTGATAGTTACCTGAGAGGGTAACTTTACCCACCTACTCCAACCAACGGAGGTCTCTGCCATCTTGCTGTCCCCAGCCGCCAACACTTTTGGATCCCAAAAAGTGGGAGAGAGTTCCTCCCTGTCCTTGCGTACCAGATTAGCAGACAAGCCTCGACCTAAAATGCCTCTACCTGAAAGAAAGAACCGAACCCCAGCAATGACTATGACTTAAACGTGTTTTAAAGTATAGTTTTTTTTTTTAAAAAAAGCACAGTTACGTTTCTGAAAATAAACCATTTGGATTTTAGAAGAAACCAATCATACATACCACCAAATTTCTCAAGTTAGTTTTCCACATACCTGATGGAAGCATTTCCCGTTTCAGAGGGGTCTTAGAAACTGTTTCAATGCCCAGGCCTCGGAACATGGAGACCAAACCCACAGACTCCTGTGGAAAGTCAAAGAATAAAGTTCTAAGAGGTAGTTTAAAACCCCAGAAACAAGGGCTTTCTTAGTCTTGGTATATAATAAAATCATCTTCAAATTCTATACATGTTATAAGAATAAAGGGAAACATTTTATAAACTTTAAAAAATACCTGTAACTATGTAATATTAGGTCTTAAAGCACAGTTACAGTTATGGCCCATGATTTGATGTGTACAGTATAACAAAATGCAACAGAACAGAATTAACTTTTCCATTTTGATTTGATAAACAGTATAACAAAATGCAACAGAACAGAGTTAATTTTTCCATTTTGATTTGATAAACAGTATAACAAAATGCAACAGAACTTTTCCATTTTTCTATTTTCTGCATATTCAAGGCAAGAGAGAACAAGTGTACTGGTTAATACATTTCAAAAAAGCTGGATCATTTATGAGTATCAGAGGTTTGTGTAACCTGCTACTGTTTTCCTGTGGCAGTCTTGAATGTCTACTACTGTTATACCAGTTGGATCTGACATGAATAAAAGCTACATATAGACTCAAGCAATTCATTTGAGTCAACATGTAAGATTACTTTCATAAACTTTTCTCCTTATAAAAATAATACATTTGACAAATGTAAACTCTACTTAAAATAATCATAACTTCATTAGGTTCTCCCTATATTTGCTAACTCTCTTTGATATATTAATTATAGACAAATATTATTCTTAAAATTACTTTATAATTAAAAGTTTAAGAACATATACACGTTAAGTGTTCACACAGCAGCAGCAATAACTGAAGATCCTTTTTCTTTAAGATTTGGGCAATGAGCCTTCCAAAATGAACAAAAGTATTATTACCTCAGAGGCAGAAACTGCTGCTAATATCATAGAGCCAAAACCAGGTGAAAATCTAAATATTCAGAAAACAACAAGAGATTGTACCTTTAGACCTAACAATTACAGATGGAGGGATGGAGGGATGATCGGAAGCTAGAGGACCTATGGTACTTACCAAGTCCATCTAGCGCTCATTATGAGGTACTTCTTCATACCTCTAGAAACTCTAGATTTGAAATATTTGCCCAGATGTATCTACTTGTTAAAGAAAAAAAAAGACAACCTTGTTTCTGTTTAGGGCTTCCCAGTTTTGCAAGCACTTTGTTGTCATTGTTTGAGATGGAGTCTCGCTCTGTTGCCCAGGCTGGAGTGCACTGGCGAGATCTCAGCTCACCGCAACCTCCGCCTCCACGGTTCAAGCAATTATCCTGCCTTAGCTTCCTGAGTAGCTGGGATTACAGGTACCCGCCACCACACCTGGCTAATTTTTGTATTTTCAGTAGAGACAGGGTTTCACCATGTTGGTTGGCCAGGCTGGTCTTGAACTCCCGACCTCAGATGATCCACCTGCCTCGGCCTCCCAAAGTGCTGGGATTACAGGCGTGAGCCACCGTGCCCAGCCCTGCAAGCACTTTGAAATCCATTACTTCCTCTGACGGCACACAGGTAAGCTGTATGCCACTCCTATGCATCCGGAAGTGGTCTTACCCTTTGTGCTGGCCCCCTCTGTGTGCTTGGTTCCTCTGGCTTTCCAAATACATGGCCTCTGCCTGCAGGTGCTCCCCTGCCCAGAGCTGGGTCCAAAGGTTTAGAAGCTTGTGGCCAACAGCCTGGCATCCGTACAGCCTGGCACTGGGATGGGTGGATAGGAGACTGGCCCCTGAACGATGGTCGGAAAGGATCCATGGACGGGCTGTAGAGAACACGTGTCGATCCTGTTCTGGTTAATTACCTGCCATCATTTTCAAAAGATTAAGATTCCCAATTGTTTTCCTTTTCCTTCAAGACACACTCACAAAGCATTAAAATAGTATTTTGAGTCAGTCCAGTAACACGCCTAGCCTTCTACAACATATTCACTTCAAAGGCTTCTATTTGATCTGTAATATTCTAAACATCCTTCATTAACAATCCCTCAGAGCAGTGGTCCCCAACCTTTTTGGCACCAGAGACTGGTTTCCTGGAAGATAATTTTTCCATGGACCCAGGGGTGGGGGGATGGTTTCAGAGTGACTCAAATACATTACATTTATTGTGTACTTTATTTCTATTATTACATTATAATAGATAATGAAATATAATAATTATACAATTCACCATAATGTAGAATCAGTGGGAGCCCTGATCTTGTTTTCCTGCAACTAGCTGGTCCCATCTGTGGGTGATGGGAGACAGTGACAGATCATCAGGCATTAGATTCTCATAAGGAGGATGCAACCTAGATCCCTCCAATGCGAAGTTCACAAGAGGGTTTGCACAATGAGAATCTAATGCCACCAGTGATCCGACAGGAGGCAGAGCTCAGGTGATACTACAAGCCATGGGGAGCAGCTGTCAATACAGATGAAGCTTTGCTCATTTGCCAATCTCTCACCTCCTGCTGTGCAGCCCAGTTCCTAACAGGCCCCCCAACCAGCCTGTGGCCTGGGGGTTGGGAACCCCTGCCTTAGAGGCCCGTGTCCTCCTTGAACTTACTTATATTTTCTACCCAAATAGCCTCTCACAAAACTCAGTCCTGTGAGTTAACTAGCTGTTGTATAAGGAAGCAGTTTTTTAGGAGGGTCTCCTTCTGTCGCCCAGGCTGGAGTGCAGTGGCATGATCATGGCTCACTGCAGCCTTGACCTCCTGGGCTCAAGTGACCCTCACATCTCAGTCTCCTGAGTAGCTGGGACTACAGGCATGCACCACAACACCCAGCTAATTTGTACATTTTTTGTACAGACGGGGTCTTGCCACGTTGCCAAGGCTGGTCTCAAACACCTGGGCTCAAGAGATCTGCTGCCTCAGCATCCCAAAATGCTGGGATAATAGGTGTGAGCCACTGCACCTGGCTAAGGCAGTTTTTATGTATGAGGATGACTTTGGTTTATAAACAATTTCTTTTCCTCCCCCCCTTTTTTTTTTAGACGGAGTTTCACTCTTATTGCCAAGGCTGGAGTGCAATGGTGCAATCTTGGCTCACCGCAACCTCTGCCTCCTGGGTTCAAGTGATTCTCCTGCCTCAGCGTCCCGAGTAGCTGGGATTACAGGCATGCAGCACCATGCTCGGCTAATTTTGTATTTTTAATAGAGACGGGGTTTCTCTATGTTGGTCAGGCTGGTCTCGAACTCCCGACCTCAGGCGATCAGCCCACCTGGGCCTCCCAAAGTGCTGGGATTACAGGTGTGAGCCACTGTGCCTGGCCTATAAACAATTTCATAGTTAACACAGCCATATCATAAAATTATTGTCAACAAATATTTATGGGTTTTTGCTTTGTTTTTGGCCTCTCTTTCCTACATAAGAGTCCTAACTTTTTTCCAGTCTATGATTGCACCAAATTCTCTTCCTTGATCTGTTTAGCTGCTTCTCCGAATCTCTATCCAATTCTTTTTTACAAAATTCTTCCTTCAGGCTGAGCACACACACACAGTGGTTCATGCCTGTAATCCCAGCACTCTGGGAGGCCCAGGTGGGAGGACCATTGAGGCCAGGAGTTTGAGGCCAGTCTTAGGAACACAACGAGACCCTGTCTCTACAAATAATTAAAAAATAGAAAAAAAAATTTTAAAAACTCTCTTCTTTCAAACTCCATCAGAAGTCTCCAGAGTACACAGTCTTTCTGCTTTGAGCCTACAATACTTGCTCAGTCTCACAGGTTGCATTTAACACCCTTCTCTCTCCCAGGTTACCCGGGGTGAGGCTCTCCCTGGCTTCCCTACCAAATCTAAAGCCCATCAGGTCTCTTCAAAATCACTTCATAACCTGTAGGTCGGGCATGGTGGCCCATGCCTGTAATCACAGCACTTTGGGAGGCCGAGGCGGGTGGATCACTTGAGATCAGGAGCTCAAGAGCAGCGTGGCAAACATGATGAAACCCTGTCTTTACTAAAAATACAAAAATTAGCCAGGCATGGTGGTGCATGCCTGTAATCCCCCCTCCTCAGGAGTCTGAGGCACAAGAATTGCTTGAACCCAGGAGGCGGAGGTTGCAGTGAGTCAAGATCGTGGCACTCCAGCCTGGGTGACAGCACAAGATTCTGTCTCAAAAAAAAAAATATATATATATATATCACTTTATAACCTACAGATTTCAAGACTCCCTCTTTAAGGGGCTCCTCTCATTGTCCTGACTTGCCCCTGATTCCTGAAAAATATTTCTTAACGGAAAAGAATTTTTTTTTTTTAAGAGACAGGGTCTTGTTCTGTCATCCAGGCTACAGTGAAGTGGTGGCATCTTAGCTCACTGCAGTCTCAACCTCCTGTGCTCAAGCAGTCCTCTTGTCTCAGCCTCCCAAGTAGCTAGGACTTCAGGCACCTGCCACCATACCCAGCTAATTTTTAAAAAAAATTTGTAGAGACGGGATCTTGCCATGTTGCCCAGGCTGGTCTCAAACTGCTGACCTCAAGTGATCCTCTCACCTCAGACTCCCCAAATGCTGGGAGAAGCCTCTTCTTAACTTTCAAAAAGCTGTCTTGGCCGGGGGTGGTGGCTCGCGCCTGTAATCCCAGCACTCTGGAAGGCCAAGGTGGGCAGATCACAAGGTCAGGGGTTCGAGACCAGCCTGACCAAAATGGTGAACCCTCATCTCTACTAAAAATACAAAAATTAGCTGGGCATGGTGGCCTGCGCCTGTAATCCCAGCTACTCGGGAGGCAGAGGCAGGAGAATCGCTTGAACCTGGGAGGCGGAGGTTGCAGTGAGCAGAGATCACGCCACTGCACTCCAGCCTGCGCTACGGAGCGAGACTCCGTCTCAAAACAAACAAACAAACAAACAAAAAAGCTGTCTTAAGTATTAGCTACAGAGAAATCATACATTTAAAGAAAATATTAACACACAATTCATAAACCCACAGCGTAAGTGCAGACAGTTCAGGAACTTGCAAAATTTATTGAACTAAACTATCCTCTTTCACACTCTAAACGCAGGATATGACTCCCTTTCTTGAAGGCTATATTTAACTGCTAACACCCCTTTTCGGTGAGCCAGGACTCTGCTCACACCTCCCCAACACCACCCAAAGAATCCCAAGCAATCAGTATGCTAACAGCTACATACTCAGAAGCGCTGGACGGCCTCCCTTAAGGGACATCTGGAATCTTCCTCTTTGTCCACGCTTCCCTCAACCTCCAGCACCACTTCTATAGATTCAGGTAGCTCCCCCAGAGGGCCCTCTCCCAGTGTGGGTTTCCCCCTGGGATCAGGTAGCAGATACTTGGCTGTCCGAAAGGTTCAATGGGGAGCGAACCCAGGACGGGCTGGGCCTGCCTCCCTCGCATCCCTGGGTGCGTGCTCCGCGCTGAGGCCTCGCGACTCGGGCCTAACCAGAAGCAAGGCCCCCGAAGGCGAGTCCCATCCCCTTTCCACCCCGAGAAAAGCACCTTTCCCCAAAGCCACAGCCCTGCCAGGGGTTCTATCTCCTCTCTCAGGCCAAATAAGACGTCCACTTGGGCCTCCGGAGGGCCTCCCCTGCCGCCCCAACCTGGACACCTTCTTGGGGCCGCGGCGCCGGGCCTCGAATAACGACTTCCCGCCCCCGCCCGACCCGCAACCCTCAGCAGCTCCCCGAAGTGGGAGGGGAGAGGCCCGGGAGGGCGGCTCACCCCACGTGCTTGAGCAAAAACCCAACCTGCCCGCCCCCGAGCGACCCTGGCCTGCCTGGCATGCCGCAACCGGGGCCAGTACTCACCTGTGCGCGAGTCCTCGCCCCAGTCGCCCAGCTCCGCGCGGCCTCAGGGGAAGACCGAGCTCAACCCACGCCCCGGGGCCCACATGCTCCAGGGCCAATTTCCGCTCTTCGAGGCCTCCGGGGATGAGCCCATTGGCCACAAGACCTGTCGTTCACAAGAGCAAGCTATCTAATTGGCCCATCTGCAAGAGAGGCTCGTCCTTTCCAGCAGGTTCCCTGTGCAGGGGCGGTTCGTGCGGAAGGAGCGCTGGGAGTTATGTGAACCTCAGCGTTAAAATGTGTTAGGGTTTGGAGATCCTGACTCCCTTTCTGGGGGCAACTCCTATAAACAGATTTAGCCTAAGACTCGCGTGTTGAAATTGACTTGCCCCATTCCTGCCAGTTAAGAGGATTAGCGATACAGGTGGTGAAAAAGAAACGGTAAGCTCGAGTGCGCATTCAAACACCTAATTCATATGATTTCTGCACATCACTTTCGTTATACATAAAACAGAGATAAAAACTAAAAACATCCATTCATAGGGTTGAATGGAAATGTACACACATAATGACATAACGTATGTAAAATACTTAGCACAAGGAGAAGACGACCCTCGATAAATGTTGCCTATTTTTATTGATGCCTAAATCTGTGAGCCAAGAAGAGCTTTCTAGGAAGCAGATTAAATTATCAGTGGTTACTTCAGCAACTACAGAATGATTTTACCCAAAGAAAGATTTCTGACCCTCTCCCAACCATTTTGTCAAATAACTGCATCCCTCTCCCACACCCAGGTTTTACAGTGTGGTTGAGGTAAAGCTTCTGAAGGCTTTGGCGGATGCTATAGAGACATCCAAGGGCTCTGCATGGAATAGGACTAGAGAAGGGTTAACCTTATTTTTTCCAGGCCTCAGATATCCCATGACTTATTTTAATCCACACATACAAGGGCCCTCCCTATCCTTCCCGAATGAGGATAGTCTGAAAATTATTGGAGCAGGATGATTTTCAACTCAGGAATCCAGTTGGCACGATGCCCCTTCACTGTTCCTAGATAGTATTTGTTTACCATGATCTAACATTTTCACTTCCTTTACCACACAACCTTCTTAACTTGCAGCTGTTGCAATGTTATGTTGTAAGCAATTCTCCTGCCTGTGCAAATACTTAATGGTAGCAAGTGCAGTCAAAAACAGTTATACAAACTGTTTTGTAACTTTCGTGAAGATCCAACTCCTTGTTCTTTTAGGAACTCCGACCAAACTTTGCATGACACACTTATTCTATACACATGAAACAATATTTTGGGGGCAGGATTCAGCAAATCTTCTAGTTGAAGTAAGGGAATAATAATCCTCAGATAATTTCCTGAGTATGTCTTCTATTTGGGAACCTAAACCAAGAGCACCATTACAAAGGGTATGCACATTGGGTTTCCTAGATTTCTATATCCTGTCCATCCATGCAAGTGTAGGTGGCCTTCGTACAGTATTTCTAGCTAATCCAGACATCATTAACACTACTTATTTAACCAAAGGAAAATCCATATAGTCCTGCTGTTGATTGGACATAAAAATGGTTGAAGCTTTCTGAAACGTGGACATCTATTTAGGACCTTTCAAAAGCTAATCAACCTCTTTTGGAGATTATATTCCCTAACAGAGTACTTTAATTGTTAATTAGCCATCCCTAGGATATTGATTAAAAAGGACACACATAATCTCATCACAAAAAGATGAGTATGTGAGGTGATGGATATGTTAATTTGGTTTAATCATTCCACAATGTAAATAAATATCAGAATATCATACTGTACCACATAACCATATGTAATTGCTATTTGTTAATTAAAAATGAAAGGGGCAAAAAGAGCACGTATATCACACTAAGAGATAGTATTTTGAGATAAATCACAGATTTTTTTTTTAACTCAAAAAAGTCGTAACACCAAATTCTGTCCACCTGGCCCTGCCAGTCTCTAAAATTCAGAGTGAAAATGGCCCCATAACTATACATAACCTGAATTTTCCTAGGCAGTCATGACTCCAAATACCCTGGGCACTTGGTCACCATAAATATTTCTATTCCAACCATGTATTCTGGTTTGTTGTTGTTGTTGTTGCTGCTGTTCAGAAAATAAGATCCCCAGAGCCACAGCAAGATTAAGGGCAGAAAATTACATTACTGGTGGGGCCTAAAACCTATAGGAAGGATTTCATTTAAAGTAGACCTATGTAGTATGTCTGGGTTCCTGGCAGAGATAACTAGAAATCCTTTCAGGAGAAATACACCAGGCTCCCAAAACTCCCACGTAAAAGGTATGAATAAATATGAGCTCACGAAACACATCAGGCCGAATAACAGGAGGACACACAATCTAATAAAAAAATGGGCAAAAGGTATGGTGGCTCACATCTGTAATCCCAGCACTTTAGGAGGCCAATGTGGGCAGATGGCCTGAGGTCAGGAGTTCGAGACCAGCCTGGCCAACATGGTGAAATGCTGTCTCTACTAAAAACATAAAAATTAGCCAGGCATGTTGGTGTGGTGCCTGTAATCCCAGCTACTCGTGAGGCTGAGGCAGGAGAATCACTTGAACCCGGGAGGCGGAGGTTACAGTGAGCTGAGATCACGCCACTGCACTCCAGCCTGGGCAACAAGTGCAAAACTCTCTCTCAAAAAAAAAGGGGGGGGGGCCAAAAGATGTGAGTGGACCTGTGTCAGTCCATTAGTCCCTTTAGTGTTACTATAAAGGAATACCTGAGGCTGGGTAATTTATAAAGAAAAGAGGTTTATCGAGCTCATGGTTATGCTGGCTGGAAGGTTCAAGACTGGACACCTGGTGAGGACCTCAGGGTGCTTCCACTCATGGCAGAAGGCAAAGAGACCCGGCCTGTGCAGAGATTACATGGAGAGAGAGGAAGCAAGAGAGGGGAGGGAAGCGCTAGGTTCTTTTTAACAACCAGCTCTTGTTGGAACTAATAAGCCCTTTAGTAGAGACAGGGTTTCACCATATTGCCCAGGCTGGTCTTGAACTCAGTGGCTTATGGGTGTGAGCCACCACCCCTGACTGGAGCCGTAAAATTTAATGGAATTTGTCCTTCAGTATCTGCAGAGTATTGGTTTTTAGGACCTCCCTCCATGGATACCAAAATTCACAGATGCTCAAGTCTCTTATATAAAATGGTGTATTTTATATTTGCATATAACCTATGCACATTTCCCTGTATACTTTAAATTGTCTCTAGATGAATTATAATACCAAATACAGTGTAAATGCTACATAAATAGTTGTTACACTGTATTGTTTAGGGAATAATTACAAGAAAAAAGTCTGCACCTGTTCAGTACTGATGCAGCCATCCTTTTTGTTTTTTCCAAATATTTTTGATTTGTGGTTGGTTTAATCCATGGATGCAGAACCCGTGGATAGGGAGGGCCTATTGTATTTAGATGAGATCTTAGACTTGCAATTGATACTGAAACGGTGTAAGACTTTGGGGGCTGTTAGGATGGGGCGAATGTGTTGCATGTGAGAAGAACATGAATTTGCGGGGGACAGAGGGAGGAATGTTAGGGAGTGAATTGTGTCCTCCTTGCAAAACCTATGTTGAAGCCCTAATCCCCTGTATTTGGAGATAAAGTATGTAGGGAGATAATTAACATAAATGAGGTAAGGAGGAGCTCTAATCTGATAGGATTTGTGTCCTTATCAGAAGAGAAAGACATGAGATCTTTCTCTATCTCTATCCCTCTCTCTTCATGGAAGCACAGAGACAAGGCCATGTGAGGACACAGCAAGATGGCGGCCATCTATAAACTAGGGAGATGGTACTCACCAGAAATCAAATTTGCCAGCACCTTGATCATAGAATCATAGTCTCCAGAGCTGTGAGAAAACAAATGTGTGTTGCTGAGGCCACCCAGTCTGTGGCAATTTGTTATGGCAGGCCTGTCTGACTAATAGAATAACAGAAGTCAGCAAGGATGTGGTGGAACAGGAACCCTCAGACATTGCCAGTGGGAATGTAAAATGATGCAGCCTCTTTGGGAAACATTTGGCAGTTTCTCAAAAAGTTAAGAAAAAAATTACTGTAGGAACCAAAATTTCACTTCTTGGTAGCTACCTAAGAAAAATGAAAACATGTCCACACAAAACTTGCATGCAAATGTTCATAGCAGCATTATTGATAATTGCCAAAAACTTCACCTAAATGTCCATCAACTGGTAAATGAATAAACAGAAATTTGTATGCTTAACAATGGGGATGCGTTAAAAAAAAAAAGGAGGCCGGGCACGGTGGCTCATGCCTGTAATCCCGGCCGGGTGCGGTGGCTCATGCCTGTAATCCCTGCACTTTGGGAGGCCAAGGCGGGTGGATCGCCTGAGGTCAGGAGTTCGAAAGCAGCCTGGCCAACATGATGAAAACCCATCTCTACTAAAAATACAAAAAATTAGCTGGGTGTGGTGGCAGGCGCCTGTAATCCCAGCTACTCAGGAGGCTGAGCTAGGAGAATCGCTTGAACCCAGGGGGCAGAGGTTGCAGTGAGCCAAGATCGCGCCACTGCACTCCAGCCTGGGCAACAAGAGCAAAACTCTGTCTCAAAAAAAAAAAAAAAAAAAAAAGGAATAAAGATGTGGTATATATTCACACAATGGATGGATTCATCAATAAGAAGGAACAAACTGCTATGGCATGGATGAACCCCAAAAAATATGTTAAATGAAAGAAACCAGACATAAGAGACCACATATTGTATGATTCCATTTATGTGAAATGTCTAGAAAACATAAATCTATAGAGACAGAATGTAAACTAATGGTTGCCTGGGGCTGGGGTGGGAATTAGGATGAACTGTAAATGTGCATGAGGGCTTTTATTAGGGTGACAAAAATGTTCAAAAACTGACTTATGGCAATGTTTGCACCACTCATTAAATTTACCAAAAATTATTCAATAGGATAAATTATATGATATGATATGTAAAATATATCTTTTTTTTCTTTTTCTTTTTTTTGAGACGGAGTCTAGTTCTGTTGCCCAAGCTGGAGTACAATGGTACGATCTTGGCTCACTGCAACCTCTGCCTCCCGGGTTCAAGCAATTCTCCTGCCTCAGCCTCCTGAGTACCTGGGATTACAGGCTCCCGCCACGACGCCCAACTAATTTTTGTATTTTTAGTAGAGACGGGGTTTCACTGTGTTGGCCAGGCTGGTCTCGAACTCCTAACCTCATGATCCACCCGCCTCGGCCTCCAAAAGTGCTGGGATTAAAGCATGAGCCACCACGCCCAGCCTAAAATATATCTTAATAGAGGCATTTTTAAAAAAACGCACATTAAAAAATAAGCAGAGCACTTTGGGAGGCTGCAGTGGGTAGATCTCTTGAGGTCAGGATTTCGACACTAGCCTGGCCAACATGGTGAAACCCCATCTCTACTAAAAATACAAAAATTAGCCAGGCATGGTGGCACACGCCTGTAATCCCAGCTACTTGGGAGGCTGAGGCAGGAGAATCACTTGAACCTGGGAGGCGGAGGTTGTAGTGACTGAGATCATGCCACTGCACTCCAGGCTGGGTGACAAAATGAGACTCTGTCTCAAAAAAACCAAACCAACAAACAAAAAGAAACACCACAAAATAACATAGAGAAACTACAGTGAACAGAACCAGATCTAGAAATATTTCAAAAAATAGTGTCACTGAACACGGAATATAAATAAATAGCACATTTCATAAATATGAAACAGTATGTTTCAAGAAATAAAGGTGGCAATTGCAACAATGAGTAAAGAGCAAAGGCAGGCCAAGTGCAGTGGTTCATGCCTGTAACCCCAGCACTTTGGGAGGCTGAGGCGGGCAGATCTCTTTAGCTCAGGAGTTCAAGACCAGCCTGGGCAACATGGCAAAACCCTGTCTCTACAAACAATAGTAATAAAAAAAAAATTGGCCAGGAATGGTGGTGCATGCCTGTAGTTCCAGTTACTTGGGAGGCTAACGTAGGAAGATCACTTGAGCCTGGGAGGTCGAGGCTGCAGTGAGCTCTGATTGCACCACTGCACTCTAGCCTGGGCAACAGAATGAGATCCTGTCTCAAAAAAAAAACAAAAAAAAAAAAAGCAAAGGTAACCAAAATTGATGAGGCAAGTTTGGAAAAGAACCAAAACAGAACTTCTAAAAATGAATAAAGTAATAGAAATTAAACACTTAAAGGAAAATTACACAAGAGAATATACACAGCTAAAGAGAGACATCATGAATTAGAAGATCAGCTGAAATATTTACCTAGAATGTAGCACAGAGACAAAGAGATGGAAACATGAGAGGCTAAGAGACACAGAGAACAGAGTTAAAAGGCCCAATAAAGTATGAGATGGAGATAACACAGAAAAAAGAGGAAAGGCAATATTCAACAATTTAATGGGTATGAACTTTTTAGATTTGATGAAAGATACAAATCTTTAGCTTCAAGAAGACCAGTGACTCTGAAACAGAGAAGTAAAAAGAAATCTACACTCAGCACATCATCATTGTAATGCAGAATACCAAAGGCAAAGAGAAGATCTAAAAAAGCAGTCATAAAGAAAAAACACATTATCTATAAATGAGTGAAAAGTGGATTCAGTAACAGTAATATTAATAGGAAAATCCTGGAAGACAGGGTATAATATATCCACAGGCCTGAGAGGTTAAGGGAAAAAAACCTGTCAACCTAGAAATCGTATAGCCAGTGAAATTTTCTTTCCAAAACAAGGGTAAAATAAAGCATTTTCAGAGAAACATAAACTGACAGATTTACCTTCAACAAACCTCTCTAAAGAAATTTCTAAACATGAAGATAAAGAAAAAATGGGCTAGGTTAGGTGGCTCACCCTGTAATCCCAGCACTTCGGGAGGCCTAGGAAGGCAGATCAGTTGATGCCAGGAGTTCGAGACCAGCCTGGGCAACATGGTGAACCCCCGTCTCTACTAAAAATACAAAAATTAGCCAGGCATGGTGGAGCATGCTTGTAACCCCAGCTATTTGGGAGGCTGAGGCATGAGAATCGCTTGAACTCGGAAGGTGGAGTTTGCAGTGAGTCAAGATCATGCCTTTGTGTTCCAGCCTGGGCAATAGAACAAGACTCTGTTAAAAAAAAAAAAAAAAGAAAGAAAGAAAAGAAAAAGAAAAAGGAAAAAAAAAGAAAAAGAAAAAATGCCCCCAGAAGGAAAGTCTGGGAAGAAAAAAGGAATCATGAGTGTAGTAAGTGACTGAATAAAGGGGTAATAATTGTGTCCAATAGATGGATGACTTAGCCTAGATCCTCAGAAGGCAGGGCCTAAGACAAAGATTTAGTGCAAGTATTTTACTGCAGAGTGTGATCCCAGGGACTAGGAGTAAGGGACAGGGGAATGACGCAGGGAGGGAGGGAGAGCTTACTCAAAGATGCATTAGGAAGTTGGCCACTGCTACAATGATCTAGTTGCTCTATCCGTCAGGACCATTTGAGAAGCCATATAAAGTCCATGTCAAGACCACCTATCCTACAGGAGCAAGGAGGATGCTTGTACTATTGACTCTCTCCTTTCCTTTGGTCAAAGACACGCCTCAAGGAGTGTTAAACCCCGGTACTTTGTAGTTGCACCATGGTGTTCCATCCTTTTCCATGCTTTGTCATCAACACGAAAGTCTCAGGGAAGAAGGAAGAAGATGCACAGAGCAAGCCTGAGGTTAAGTACTATCAGGTTGTATCTGTGTAGACCTAGTGGGTACCCACAGAGAACTGGTCAACACAGTGCTGGCTAAATAAAGAGACAGGTAAGACTGAGAAGATGTGCAAAGGGTCATAGAGATGTCCAATACGATGAAGTTTTTAAACAGCCAAAAAAAAAAAAAAAAATAGAGCCAAGAAGTTAAGACAAATAGGCATATAAGTCAGGAGAGAGATAATTATAATAAAAGCATTATAAGGTTCTGGAGGAGGGTAATAAGAATTAACTTTACACTCACTAAGTATGCACATTAAAATTTTTTAAAGAAATACAGTGAGCCTACAAAACATGGTGAAACCCTGTCTCTGCAAAAAATAAAGAAAAAAAATTAGCTGGGCATGGTGGCACACGCCTGTAGCCCTAGCTACTAGGGAGGCTGAAGTGGGAAGATCCCTTGAGCCCGGGAGTTCGAGGCTGCAGTGAGCTGTGATCATGCTACTGCACTCCAGCCTGGGCAACAGATCAAGACCCTGTCTCAATTTTTTTTTTAAGAAATAAAATCTATATATTTCCAGTCAGTGGAGGAAAAACAAATGAGAAAAAATTAATCTAAACAAAAAGGCAAAGAAGAATAAAAATTTATCACAGAAAAATCCGGACAAAAAGGAAACATAAAATAAGTGACAGAAATAAATTCTACTGTGTTAGTAATTACAATATAAATATGTAGAACTTTCCAGGCAAAAGGCAGAAATTGGTTGGGCGTGGTAGCTCACCCTGTAATTCCAGCACTTTGGGAGACTGAGGCGGGTGGATCACTTGACCTCAGGAGTTTGAGACCAGCCTGGCCAACATGGTGAAAACTTGTCTCTACTAAGAAAAAGAAAAAAAAAAAAACTTAGCTGGGCATGGTGGCATGTGCCCGTAGTCCCAGCTACTCAGGAGGCTGAGGCAGGAGAATCGCTTGAACCCAGGAGATGGAGGTCACAGTGAGCTGAGATCATGCGACTGCACTTCAGCATGAGCAACAGAGCAAGACTCTGTCTCAAAAAATAAATAAATAAATAAAAATAAAAAAAACAGAGATTATCAGATTGGATTTTAAAAACAGAATCCAGCTATATAGTGTTTAGTAGATAGAGATAGACATAAGTAGACATAAAATATAATGACAGAGAAAGGTTGAAATTCAGATGGTGAAAACATAGGCCCAGTGCTTTGGAAGGTGGGAGATAACTTAAGGCCAGGTGTTCAAGACCAGCCTGGGCAACCTGGTGAGACTCCATTTCTACCAAAAAAAAAATTTGCTGGGTGTGGTGGTGCATGCCTGTAGTCCTAGCTACTTGGAAGGCTGAGGCGAGAGGATTGCTTGAGCAGAAGAATTTGAGGTTACAGTGAGCTAGGATCCTGCCATTGCACTCCAGCCTGGGTGACAGAGTGGGATCCCATCTCTATAAAAAATAAGAATAAATAAATAAAATCAAGCAAGCACTAATCCTTCAAAAAAGCAAGCAAGCTGGAGTTGCCATGTCAATATCAGACAATGAAAACCTTACAGCAAAAAAGTAGTATTAGAGAAAAAGAGGCTCACTTAATAATGACAAGATTCAAGGAGTTCTAGTTTCATGTGCCAGAATCAGTTGATTGGACCAGGATAACAGCACTGTAACCTGAAAAAGTATCAACAGCAGTAAGCCAGGAGCCCCAAAAGGGGTTCAAAGGTTGGATGGACTCAACTGCCACACCCTGTGCAATGCGGTCTTCTCCCTGGAGACAAACGGCTCACCTGTTATTCCTTTTATTAGGAGTCGCAAGTCTGGCATGCAGTGATAGCTTGTGAATCTGAAGCAGAGTTCTCTACTAGGTGCCCAGTCTGTTGTGGGTGTGCTGCCATGTCTGGTACAATGATCAATCCAGAAAGCAAAGGTGTTAGTCTGGGCAGTGCAGACTCAATCTGCACCTTGATTCCAGTTGGTCTCATCAGAGACACCCTTACCATGGGCACCTAGATCGACCAAGACAGTTCAATCAGCAGCTGCAATGTGCTTCCACAGTTCATGGCCAAAGACAAAACAAAACAAGACAAAAACAAAAATCTTTTTTTTTTTTTTTTGAGAGAGTCTTGCTTTATGGTCCAGGCTGGAGCGCAATGGTGCGATCTCGGCTCACTGCAACCTCTGCCTCCCAGGTTCAAGCGATTCTCCTGCCTCAGCCTCTGAAGTGGCTAGGATTACAGGCACCCGCCACCACGCCCTGCTAATTTTTGTATTTTTAGTAGAGATGGGATTTCACCATGTTGGCCAGGCTGGTCTCGAACTCCTGACCTCAGGTGATCCGCCTGACTTGGCCTCCCAAAGTGCTGGGATGACAGGCGTGAGCCACTGTACCCAGCTGACAAAAATCTTTTTAAAAAAAGTATTATTACTTTTAGAGATGTGTCTCATTATATTGTCCAGGCTAGAGTGCAGTGACTATTTGCAGGTGCAGTCATAGCTCACTGCAGCCTCTAACTCTTGCGCTCAAGTGATTCTCCCACCTCAGCCTCCCAAGTAGCTGGGATTGCAGGTATGCACCACCATGCCAGGCTAGAGAAATACTTTATCTGCCAGTCTGTAGTTTTCCAAGTGGCCCAACTAAGGAGCTAGGTCATTGTCAGCAGCCTGAGTCAGTAAAAATATAACAGAAAGAGGTTCATCAAGGAGTACTGACCTGGGCTATGAGAACAGCTTTGAGTTCTGCCTACCAAGTGGAGTGACCATATCTGTTTTCCATTCCACATAGCAGCCCAGTTGGACAGCACTGGCTTCAGCTTAGCCAAGCCATCAGTGAGCCAGGCACAGGCATTTAGGGGAACCTCTGTGGATTGTGAGCCTTGTTGAGCTAGTGGCTTTGCTTAGGCTGTGGGGTGGAGGATAAAATTTCCCCTAAAAGAATAGCTGCCGTTTTGTGTTTTTTTTTTTAATTCATGTAAAGCCAAAATGCCACTAGGGCCAGGCCAGCTGCATACTGAATGCACCATTTCCATCGGACAAGAGAGGCTTGTCAGGCCCTTCCCACATTGTTAGCTTTGAGTTGGAATCATGCCACCCCAAAATGGGACTATCAGTCACAAGGCCTTTATAAGGATGTGCTGTGCACACTTTGTCAGGTGCTCAGGGTTTTTTTAAGAGACAGCATCTTGCTCTGTCATCCAGGCTGGAGTACAGTGGTGTGATCCTGGCTGACTGCAGCCTGGAACTTCTGGGCTCAAGCAATCCTCTCGCCTCGGCCTCCCGAGTAGCTGGGACTACAGGTGAGTGCCACCACTCCTGGATAATTTTTAATTTTTTTTTTTTTTGTAGAGATGAGGGTCTTGCTATGTTGTCCAGGCTGGTCTCAAAATCCTGGCCTCAAGTGATCCTCCTGCCTTGGCCTCCCAAAGGGCTGGGATTACAGGCATGAGTGCTCGGTTTTGACGAGAACCCAATAGCACATTAAGAGCTGCTTTTCAAAAGGGGTGTATGTCTTACGTCAGGAAGACAACAAATCCAAAACCTCCCAAGAGGCACCTCCAGGTGATGGTTGCCTCCCTTTAGCACATGCCCCGATCAGTAAAATCATCAATCAGGAGGACTTTTAGGTCAAAGGGGTCATTAGCGCTGTGGGGTCCCAAAGACCCTAGCACTGCTCTACGTGCAGTACACACTGGTGGGTAGAATGCCCTTCAGCCTTTATGAGCATTCACAGGACATTGATGTAAAACACCAGTGCCCATTGTACACGTAGCTTGGGGAGCCACAAGGACTGTATGTTGAATAGACTCAAAGCCGTACCCTACGAGGTCAGTGTCCTGGAAAAGTGAGGGACATTCTTCCGCTGGGAGGAAGCTAGGAGACTTTCCAGCCATTATCAGTTTTCTTTCTCTATATGCTCAGAAATGTGGTTACAGATTCTTTAGTGCATACTTGCAGCATTCACGCAATAATAGTCATGCCTCTATTCTTTCAACCAGCACTTATTTGGTGCCTATTATGGGCAAGAAATTAGAAGTCCTGGGGATACAGGCATGAACAAAACCATCTCTACTCTATAGCTTGTGTTCTAGGGGGAATATCGACAGGAAAAGGAAATACATGGTATGTAAGTGCTATGGAGAAAAAGAAAACAAAGAAAAAGAAAAAGAAAACAAGAAAAGGGGTGTAAAGACTGTCAGAGGCCAGGAGCGGCTCACTCCTGTAATCTCAGCACTTTTTGGGAGGCTGAGGTGGGTGGATCACTTGAGGCCAGGAGTTCAAGACCAGCCTGGCCAACATGACGAAACCCCGTCTCTACTGAAAAAAATAAAAATAAAAATTAGCCAGGTGTGGTGGCGTGTGCCTGTAGTCCCAGCTACCGAGGGGGCTGAGACATGAGAACTGCCTGAACCCAGGAGGTGGAGGTTGCAGTGAGCCGAGATACTGCCACTGCACTCCAGCCTGGGTGATAGAGTGAGACTCTGTCTCACAAAAATAACAACTTAAAAATTAAAAAAAAAAAAAAAAAGAGTGTCAGGGATGGGAGTTTACTAATTTATGTAGGGTGGTCAGGAAAGTCTCAGAGACCCGAAGAAATGGAGGAAACAAGACATGCAGCTATCTGGGGAAAGCAAGTTCTAGGCAGGGGGGAAAGTAATGGGAAAGCTCTGCACCTGGAACCAGCCTGCTGTGCGACAGAAGTAGCAAGACCTGTGCGACTGGAGTGGGATGGCCTGGGAGGAGAGTGGGACATGAGGCCCCAGGGGCCCCAGGAGGGTCCCATGCTAACTTCTGTAACAGACTGAACAGACGGGCGGTGGGTAGGAGGGGGTGATGTATCATTGAAGAGGCAAATGGGGCCGGGCGTAGTAGCTCATCCCTGTAATCCCAGCACTTTGGGAGGCTGAGGCGGGAGGATTCATTGAGCCCAGGATTTTGAGATCAGCTTGGGCAACCGACATGCTGAACCCTGTCTCTACAAAAAATATAGAAATTAGATAGGCATGGTGATGTGTGCCTGCCTAAAAAAAAAAAAGAAAGAAAAAAAGAGGCAAATGTAAAAATCTGTTATCTGATCAAAGGATGTTTGGCCAAGAGTGGTAGTGCTGGAAGTGGGGAGAGATGCTAATAGTCTGGATAAATTTCTTTGGATTATTTTGAAAAACATAACCACAACACCATTATCACAGCTCAAAAGAATGAACAACAATCATTTAATATTATCAAATATCTAGCCAATATACAAATGTCCCTAATTGTCTCAGGATTTTTTTTTTAAGTTTGTTAGAATTGTCAAAGAAACAAAGCCAGGCCAGGCACAGTTTCTCATGCCTGTAATCCCCGTGCTTTGGGAGGCTGAGGGAGGAGAATCACTTGAGGCCTGGAGTTTGAGATCAGCCTGGGCAACATAGTGAGGCCCCTCTCTCTACCAGAAAATTTTAAAAATTACCCGGACATGGTGGTGTGTGCCTGTAGTCCCAGCTACTCGGGAGGCTGAGGCGAGAGGATCACTTGAACTTGGGAGGTCGAGGTTGCAGTGAGCAGTAACCACACCACTGCATTGCAGATGGGGTGATAGGGTGAGACTCCATCTCTAAAAAAAAAGAAAATTAAAAATTAAAAAGCCAGACACCAGTTAAAGCAGTGAAGACAGTTTTTATTTAGTAAGTACTAACAGTAGGGGAAAGAGCTGAGTTCCATTCTAATTTTCAAAGAGGTAACTGGACCTCTTAAAGGGAGAAAGAGATGCATGGTGTGGTGGCTCATGCCTATAATCTCAGCACTTTGGGAGGCTGAGGCGGGAGGATCTCTTGATCCCAGGAGTTCAAGGCCAGCCTGGGGAGCAAAGTGAGACCTTGCCTCTAATTTTTATTTTTTTTAATTAGCCATAATCCTAGCTACTCAGGGGGCTGACGTGGGAGGATTGTTGAGTCTGGGAGGTCGAGGCTGCAGTGAGCCGTCCACCTCCCCATTCTCTTTCTCCTTTTATTTGAGACAGGATCTTGCTTTGTCACCCAGGCTGGAGTGCAGTGGTACGATCACAGCTCACTAGACATAGGAAGTTTAAAGCTGGCCGAGCGCGGTGGCTCATGCCTGTCATCTTAGCACTTTGGGAGGCCAAGGTGGGCGGATCACGAGGTCAGGAGTTCAAGACCAGCCTGGCCAATGTAGTGAAACCCCGTCTCTACTAAAAATACAAAAAAATTGGCTGGGCGTGGTGGTGGGCGCCTGTAGTCCCAGCTACGAGGCTGAGGCGGGAGAATGGCGTGAACCCAGGAGGGGAGTTTGCAGTGAGCCGTGATCACACCACTGCACTCCAGCCTGGGCAACAGAGTGAGACTCCGTCTAAAAAAAAAAAAAAAAAAAAAAAAAAAGAAAGTTTAAAGCCATGATTCTGGCTGAGATTGCTGAGGGAAGCAGGGTAGACAGATAAGAGAAACCTTGAAAGGCCTGAGCCCTGGGCATTCCATATTTAGAGCTGGAGAGATGAGGAAGTACCAGGAAAGGAGGCAAGGCACACACATAGCCCCTGACATAAACCATCTACATTGTCATGGCTCAGTAGTCCAGGATCACCTGAAGCAGATGATCCTCCTACTGATGTATCTTCAAAAGTCTGTAGTAGCCTAACACTGTGCCCCAATGACCATGCCACTCACCTCATCTCATCACAAAGGCATTGTACCATCTCACATCATCACAAGGATGAGTACAATAAGATGTTGAGAGAGAACCACATTTACATAACTTTTATTACAGTATATTGTTATAATTGTTCTCCTTACTGCTGTTAATCTCTTAATGTGCTAAATTATAAATTAAACTTCATCATAGGTATGTATGAGTAGGAAAAAACATAGTATATCTAGGGCTCAGTGCTTTCCAGTTTCAAATATCCACTGGGGGTCTTGGAACTTGTCCCCTGCAGATAGGAGGGGACTACTGCTTTGTATCCTGTGGGGCTGGTCTATATGTGTGGGGAGTGGGTGAATATGGGAGTGGTCTATATGTGTGTGAAGGGGATCAATATGTGTGGGTAAGTGGGTGAGGGAGGTGTTTGCTGGAGCCGTATCCTTTGAGTGGACAAGAGGGAATGGGATCTAAGGCCCACTGAAGGGTCTTGTCTCAGGGAGGAGCAGGCAGTTCATCCATAGGTTTCCTTTTTTTTTTTTTTTGAGATAGGAGTTTTGCTCTAGTTGCCCAGGCTGGAGTGCAATGACACAATCTTGGCTCACTGCAACCTCTGCCTCCCAGGTTCAAGCAATTCTCCTGCCTCAGCCTCCCAAGTAGCTGGGATTACAGGCATGTGCCACCACACCCAGCAGATTTTTTTATTTTTGGTAAAGGCAGGGTCTCTCCTTGTTGGTCAGGCTGGTCTCAAACTCCCGACCTCAGGTGATCTGCCTGCCTCGGCCTCCCAGAGTGCTGGGATTACAGGCGTGAGCCACTGCGCCCGGCCAGACAGTTCATCCATAGGAATAGGAGGCAAGAACAGGCACCTGGACGCAGACTCAAGATGTGGTAGTGGGAACCACACCCTCTCCAACTGCTTCTATTTTCTTTTTCTTTTTTTGACACAGTCTTGCTCTGTCACCCAGGCTGGAGTGCAGTGGCGCGATCTTGGTTCACTGCAACTTCCGCCTCCTGGGTTCAAGCAATTCTCGTGCCTCAGCCTCTTGAGTAGCTGAGATTACAGGCACCCGCCACCATGCCTGGCTCATTTTTGTATTTTTAGTGGAGATGGGGTTTCACCATGTTGGCCAGGCTGCTCTGGAACTCCTGACCTCAGGTCATCCACCTGCCTCGGCCTCCCAAAATGCTGGGATTACAGGCATGAGCCACTGCGCCTGGCTGATTGCTTCTATTTTCTTAATGCACTGAGAAGCAGTGTTCTCAGCTGAGAGTGAGAACTGGGGAGAGGCGTTGGAGGCTTGAGGACATAGGAAAAGGGGAATGGTAGAGTAAACAGACAAGGAGAATGGTAGTTTGTTTTACTTATTTTATTTTTAAAAATAAATCTTTAAATAAAGGTTCATAATTCCCCCACCCCTGCCAACTAACAGAGGCATGTATCATGTCTCCTTTAAGGAAAGCTCCTGGGAGCTCCCTGTCTTAGTCCATCTGGCTGCTGTTACAAATACCACAGACTGGGTAATTTGTAAATAGAGATTTATTTCTCACAGTTCTGGAGGCTGGGAAGTCCAAGATCAAGATGCCAGCAGATTTAGTGGCTGTTGTGGGCTTGCCCTCTCTGCTTCAAGCATGATGCCTTGTTGCTATGTCCTCACATGGTGGAAGGTGGAAAAGGGACAAACATTCCCTCAAGCCCTTTAATGAGGGCACTAATCCCATCCACGAGGTGGGAGCCCTCACGGTCAGATCACCTCCTAATGGTCCCGCCTCTTAGTACTGTTGCACTGGGGACTAAATTTCAACATGAATTTTGGAAGGTGACAAACATCCAAACCTTAGCACTGCCCCATGTTTATGATTACATGCCATTGTCCAGAAAGTAATGATAGAGTCACCTCTGCTCTCAAAAGAGGCTGAGAATGTGGTCTTTGTATTGAATGAGTACGTGCCCTCCTAAAAGTCAAGGCTCATTATCATGGAAGAAGGAAAGAGTGGATATTTGGATATTGAGGAACAACCAACAGCCTCTATCACATCATTTTTATTTTTTTTATTTTTTTTGAGAGAGTCTCCCTCTGTCGCCCAGGCTGGAGTGCAATGGAGTGATCTCGGCTCACTGCACCCTCCACTTCCTGGGTTCATGTGATTCTCCTGCCTCAGCCTTCCAAGTAGCTGGGATTACAGGCTTGTGCCACCACGCCTAGCTAATTTTTGTATTTTTAGTAGAGACAGGGTTTCACCATGTTGGTCAGGGTGGTCTCGAACTCCTGACCTCAAGTGATCCACCCGCCTCAGCCTCCCAAAGTGCTGGGATTACAGGCGTGAGCCACTGCGCTCAGCCTCATCTTTAATCTTGCCAAAGCCTTTACCTTAGTTTCCATAGAAATAAGAATTTTTTCTTCAGCACTCACATTGTATCAGTTTATATATTTAATAAAAATCACGCATTTACCATATTTTCTTTTCTTTTTTTTTTTTGAGACAAAGTTTCACTCTTGTTGCCCAGGCTGGAATGCAATGGTGTGATCTCGGCTCACCGCAACCTCCACCTCCCAGGTTCATGTGATTCTCCTGCCTCAGTCTCCTGAGTAGCTGGGATTACAGGCATGCACCACCACACCCGGCTAACTTTATATTTTTAGTAGAGACAGGGTTTCTCCATGTTAGTTAGGCTTGTCTCGAACTCCTGACCTCAGGTGATCCGCCCACCTTGGCCTCCCAAAGTGCTGGGATTACAGGCAGGAACCACGCTGCCTGGCCCAACATTTGCACACATGCACACACACATGTACGTGTGTGTGTGTGTGTGTGTGTGTGTGTATATATATATATATATTTTTTTTGAGACACAGTTTCACGCTGTCCCCCAGGCTGGAGTGTAGTGGCGTGATCTCAGCTCACTGCAACCTCCGCCTCCTGGCTTCAAGCAATTCTCTGGTTCAGGCAATTCTTGGGCCTCAGTTACCTGAGTAGCTGGGATTACAGGCGCGTGCCACCATGGGCCCAGCTAATTTTTTATTTTTTGTAGTGATAGGGTTTCACCATTTTGGCCAGGCTGGTCTCAAACTCCTGGCCTCAAGTGATCCACCCACCTTGGCCTCCCAAGTGCTGGGATTACAGGCAGGAACCATGGCGCCTGGCCCAACATTTGTATAGTTTTAAAAACAGAACGTTAACTACACATTTAACTACAAATGCACTGCTGATGCACATGTGAATAGATGCAAACATTCTGGAGGGAAAAATCTATCAAAATCCTTAAAAATCTCATAGGATTGGACTTAACAAACTCCTGGGCTCAACTGATCCTCGCACGTCAGCCTTCAGAGTAGCTGGCGCTATATAACCTCATATCACCACGCCCAGTTAATTAAAAAAAATTTTTTTTTTCTAGAGACCAGGTCTTGCTACATTGCCCAGTCTGGTCAGGAAAACCATTTTAAATAGAGACTCCTAAGGAAATAATTGAGGACACTGGCAATTTAATGGATTTTATTTATTTATTTATTTTTTGAGACAAGTTCTCACTGTCACCCAGGCTAGAGTGCAGTGGTGCGATCTCGTCTCAGCTCACTGCAACCTCCCACTTCTGGGCTCATGCAATCCTCCCACTTCAGCCCCCCAAGTAGCTGGGAGTACAGGAGCAAGCCACCATGCCTGGCTAAGTTTTATATTTTTGGTAGAGATGGGGTTTCACCATGTTGCCCAGGCTGGTCTCAAACTCCTGAGCTCAAGTGATCCACCAGCCTTGGCCTCCCAAACTGCTAGGATTATAGACATGAGCCACCACCCCAGGCTGCATCATTTTTTAAACGATGAAAAACTAGAAAAAATCTAAATATCCCAGAAATGGGAGATCAGTTGGGTGAATTTTCATAGTACGAAGACGGATTCTAATATAACCATTAAACTTTAGTTGTACAATTTAAGAGACGTTCCTAAAGGAATTCTTGTGATCATCTTGCCCTGGGGAAAGGTCTGAGAGCCACACTGAACATGGCTAGTTTAAGTACTGGTCGTGCTTTCATTGGGAATATACTGTTTTGAGGGAATGAATCGGAGAGAACTGTGTTGGCAGCACGGCACAGTCTCAGGAAGCTTCACTCAAACTGTGAACCCTTATGCTAACTCCCGTGAATATGGCTGGTGGCGCCCACCACCCACGCCACTCCCATTTTATAAGGTGGAACCTGAACTGCAGGGCCAGAAAGCAAAATACCCACATTTCCCTAAATCTCTTGTGCTAGCATTCTGGGCATGCATGAGGTTTTACCAGTTGAGGTTTGGAAGGTGGAGGTAAACTTGAGGCCACCTTCTTCACTTTGGCCGTCTTCCGCTGCCAGAGCTGTGGATGAGCTTGACTCTCCTCCCTCTCACACCTGACATGGAATCTATCAGCAGATCACGTGTGTGCTACCCTTGAAATCAGTATCTAGAATCCAATCACTTCCCAGTGCCCCTGCTGTTAGCGGCCTGGCCAAGCCACTGCCATCCACTGTCCAGGGACTCCATCAGCCCTGCTTCCCGCCTCATCTCCACACCAGCTGGCTCACCAGGTCACTTTAAGAATAAAGCCGGGCTGGGTGTGGTGGCTCACGCCTGTAATTCGAACACTTTGGGAGGCCGAGGCGGGTGGATCACCTGAGGTTAGGCATTTGAGACCAGCCTGGCCAACCTGGTGAAACCCTGTCTCTACTAAAAATACAAAAATTAGCTGGGCTTGGTAGCGGGTGCCTGTAATCCCAGCTACTCAGGAGGCTGAGGCACGAGAATCACTTGAACCTGGGAGGTGGGGGTTGCAGTGAGCCAAGATCACGCCACTGCACTCCAGCCTGGGCAACATAGCGAGACTCCGTCTAAAAAAAAAAAAAAAAAAAAAAAAAAGAATAAAGCCAAGGTCCCTACCATGGCCTAAAAGCCCTCCAGGGCCAGGTCCCACCCCTCTCACTCCCTCAGCTCCAGCCAGTCTCTGTCTTACTCTTCACTCAGCCCAGAGCACTCTCCCCACCTGCATCTGATCCCGCTGGTTCACTTCCTCAAACGATACCCTCTCAAGGAGACCTACCCTACTTGCTGCAACATGCCCGCCACCACCCAGAATCCCCTGCTCCCTGCAAGTTCCCAAACTCTTGTCACCTTTTAACGTCCTTCCTTAAGCTTATCCTGTCTCCCTCACTAGAGTGCAGGCTCCTCCAGCAGGACACAGCCCCTAACCACTGCTTTCCTAACTCCTGCAGGGTGCCTAGCACACAGCAGGCACTTTCTTCAGGTGTGCCAGGGTCCAGCTACAGCTGTATGGTTCCCCAGAGGCAGCTGGGGCTGTGGGATTCCCTCACCCCTGGCTGGCAGCTGTGGCAGTGTGTTGTGTTCCGGAACTCAGTCGAGCTTGAGTCTCCACCCTCCTGATTGTGGCAGAGGGTGTAGCTCCCTCACCATCTGTTCTAGGGGGTGCTGATTCCTGGATGCTTAACCTATGGCTCACTCCTCCAGCCTTCCAACGAGTCTATAAACTTCTCTTCTTGTATTAACTCTTTCTGAATACCTAGAATGGTTTCTACTTGTCCAGTGAAACCTCATGCACGCCCTGGAAAACACACAAGATAAAGTCTCCAGGCCAACAGTGATCAAGACTGCATTTTTCTTTTTCTTTCATGTAAGCTTTCTATTTTTTTTTTTTTTTTTCTGAGATGGAGTTTCACTCTTGTTGCCCAGGCTGGAGTGCAATGGCGTGATCTTGGCTCACCGCAACCTCCGCCTCCCAGGTTCAAGCAATTCTCCTGCCTCAGCCTCCCAAGTAGCTGGGATTACAGGCATGCACCACCACGCCCAGCTAATTTTGTATTTTTACTAGAGACGGGGTTTCTCCATGTTGAGGCTGGTCTCGAACTCCTGACCTCAGGTGATCCGCCCACCTTGGCCTCCCAAAGTGCTGGGATTACAGGTGTGAGCCACTGCGCCTGGCCCATGTAAGCTTTCTTAAGATGTAAAGACTGCATTTTTTTTCTGACTATATCTTAAATGTAGATGAGCCAAGTAACAAAGTCCAACTTCTGACTCAGTTTTTGGGAAGACAGATCAGTGGTTACCCCAATGGAAGGGAACAGAAGAAATGCTTTAGAAGAGCTGAGGCAGAAAGTGGCCATGCAGAGGGCTCCTAGAACTGGTGTCCCATCACCATCTCTGTTTTTTCAGATGACACCCCTAAGACCTGAGCCCCTTCTGGGCCCCACACTCCACCTGTAGAACTCTGATGGGGCCTTGTGCGGCCGAACCACAATCCAAGAGAGGTGTTCACATCATGTGTCGCTAGCCACAGCCATCTCAAGGGGAAATGCCCCAAATGTAGAAGTATCTGACACCAGGACTGGGGGTTGGAGCACTGGATGAACAGCGTGTGTGCCACTCTTTCACTGTGCACCGTCCTAAGAAAGAAGCCTGTTTCCCTTTGAAGAGCCTAGTGCTGACTGCCCAATTCAATCGGACCACGCAGGGCAGTCTGAGGATTAAAAGATGCTACCTTTAATTCCTTCGGCTAATTCAGAAGTATGTGAAACACAACATACTCATTAACATGGAAGAACTGGATGTGTGTGCATGTGGGTGTGTATTATTTATTTTTCAGAGACAAGGTTTCACCATGTTGCCCAGGCTGGTCTTGAACTCCTGGGCTCAAGTGATCCTCCCACCTCAGCTCCAGAGTAGCTGGGAACGAAGAATTGTATGTATTTCTGAGTGAGATAGAGTACACGATAAAACCACATAATTTATATCATTATAAATAACATACAAAATTTTGGAGGCTGAAATAATATACATGAGCAGTCATAAAATACAATGAAATCATGTGCTTTGCAGCCACATGGATGGAGCTTGAGGTAATTATCCTAACCTCGGAAACAGAAAATCAAATAGCACATGTTCTCACTTATAAGTGGGAGCTAAATAATGGGTACCTATGGACATAAAGATGGAAATAGCAAACACTGGGCACTCCAAAAGGGGGTGAGTGGGAGGGGGGGCAAGGGTTGAAATGCTACCTGAGTACAATGTTCACTATTTGGGTGATAGGTATGACAGAAGCCCAATCCCCACCAGTACGCAATATACACAAACACGCACATGTGGCTGGGCGCAGTGGCTCACGCCTGTAATCCCAGCACTTGGGAGGCTGAGGCAGGTAGATCACTTGAGGTGAGGAGTTTGAGACCAGCCTGGCCAACATGGTGAAACTCCCGTCTCTACTAAAAATACAAAAATTAGCCAGGTGTGGTGGCATGTGCCTGTAATCCCAGCTATCTGGGGGGCTGAGGCGGGAGGATCACTTGAACCTGGGAGACAGAGTTGCAGTAAGCCAAGATCACACCACTGGGCGACAGAGTGAGACTCCATCTCAAAAAACAAAACAGAACAAAACAAAACAAAACAAAACTAACATGCTCATGTACCTGCTGAATCTAAAATAAAATAATATACACTAAAATGTTAAAATTGATTTTAGTAGAATAAAAGGTGACTGAATATTTTAAAAAGTTATGCCTAGATGAATACTTTATGATTTTACATTGCAGCATTTTTTGAACATGGCAGCAGCTACTATGAATTGTCTATCCAACTGCCACTCCAGCTTCCTCCCTACTAACAAAACCCCAGCTCAAGGGCAAGTGTGCTCAGTGCCAGGGGATACACTAGTCGACCCATCCCCCTTTGCCAGGGCCTGGTCCAAGAGTGGGCACGTGGCCCCACTCTATAAAGAGACAGGGGGGAGGTTGCTGGAGCTGCTGACGGTTATTCCCGGATAAGGGCAGAATGAGAAGGCTCCTGTACTACTGTCCACTCTGGCTGTGGACACCATCATTTGCAGAATGATGCTTGGCGCAGGAGCAGCCATTCTGCAATACTGAGGATGGCAAAGCAGACGGTTCCAAGGAAATCCTGATGACATTTTGGCTTCCACCCAACTCTAGAACCATCTATTTACAGACTTTTTGCTATGTGAGATAAACATTCCCATTGCTTAAGCCACCGTCAGGCTAATTTTCTGTTACTTGTGCTGATCACATCCTGTTATAGGCAGTTATCTGTCTGGCACCGAATAAATGCCTCATGTTCACTCTAATTTAAAAGCAACCCTATTAAGCTACTACTGTCTCACTCTTACATAAAATAAAATAAATAAAATCAAGCTTAAAGAGGATAAGTGATTTTTTCCAACCAAAGTTACTGGTGGAGTCAGATTCAAACCCAACCGTGACTCGACAGCCTGGACTCTGCCACTTAAACATGTAGTTAGAAAAGTGTGCAAGCCTATTGTTCCTTCTTTCTGTATTTAACAGAAAGCATATACACAGATGCAGGGAGCAACAAATTTGCATCCACTTGCACTCATGTATAAATTTGGCTTTGGGCTCTTCTCCTCTGTCATCTGTCCATATTCCTTGGTAGAAATGCATGCCTCAGGGGCCTGACCAAGAAGGTGGACTCTCCTCTCTTTTCCCACACTTATTAATAAGACCTAATTTGTGCATCAGGGATCTGAGACAGGTTGTGAGGACTTTGATACGGAGTCATAAGGTTCAAGCCAAGACATCTGAATGGGCGAAATGAACGTGAAAGCAGTACATGTTCTTCCTCAAACTTTCTTGGAAGGGTCAGAAAACAGAAGATTGAAAAATACCCAATATCTAACATCGGGCCATTGAGTTCGTCCAAAAAAAGCAGAAGAGTATTTCTGAACCAAAGAAACAGAATAGAAAGAGAGGATGAGAATGGAGACCTGCTGGCCGTGCATCAGCTATTTAAAGGAAGAAAGGGCTGGAGCCCAGAGTTAACCAAAGCTTAGCCTTAGACCAAACAGGGCTTCCCAGCACAGGTTTCCAAGGAACCCTTTCTGCTCCAGTCCTCTACAGTGAGAAGAGCCCAGAATAACACTGTCCAATGGAGCTGACATGAGCTTCAGCACCAGAAAGGGTGATATGGTCACCAAATATTCAGTCAGCCTCACAGCTGCTGGCTGGGCAGGTTGAGGGCTTTGTAGGAGAAGCCCAGCCTTGACAAATGAGTAACAGGCTTGAGGAACTTTGAAAAGAAGGAAGGTGAGCCTGAAGGAAGATGTACCCAAAATCTAAGGGGCCACTAGGAATCAGGGATGGGGGTGGAGGGGAAGCGGTTCTTCCTGAGCCCCTATGGTTCATACTGTCCCAGAGGCCAGGTGCCACGACGCCAGCAAAGGGAAGTTGTGCCATCAGCGTCTAACAGCCACACACGCTGCCGCATGAGACCTTTTTCTAACCTGCAAACGTCTCCCCAGCTGAACCAGGGAAAACCCCAGCCCTACTGTCAAGACAAGAGGAGAAGCTGTTCCTCCAGGGACAACACAGTACAATGACCTGGTAAAGGGAACAGGATCACAGACCCAAAAAAGTAACACTGAGTAGGTGGCTCTGGCAGTGCTAGGACAGGAGACGGGCAGGCCTCTGAAACCCAAAGTTTTTGAAGTGGGCATCATCGGCCAAGTGTCAAAGAGGCCATTATTCAATACATCCCTAACTTCTCTTATGAAGGATTTAGTTTTTTTGTTAGCAATATATGACTTCGGCTCATACATGAGTACTAACTGCAAAGGAAAGAGTGCAGGGAACATGTCCTGGGCCCAACATGTCCCCCAAAGGCTTTTGTAGGGTGCTGGGAGGGGTCTCTGACTTCTTCCTTTCTATTACCTGCAGCTATTACAGTAACTCACACAGGAGGCACCTGGCTAACAGGAGCCAGGAGAAAAAGGCATAGAACAATCTGACACCATAAATTTAGGGCATCAGGCCCAGGGTGAGGACGGGATATAAAGCAGGAAGGGGCAAGAGTGGGGACGGGAGCAGCTCTAGTCGCTGCTTCTGGGAGATTTAGAATCTCTATTTTGTTTGAAAATAGACTCAGGTAGAGAAAAAGGACATGAACGTTTATTGAGTGCCTGCTGGTTCTGGCCTTGTGCAGTTTTCATCTATAATAGCCCATGAATCCTCACGCCAACCCTGGAGGTAGGTATCATCCCCATTTGTGTCGGATGAGGTATAGGAGGCTCAGAAAGGTTAGGTAGTTTGTCCAAGGACACAGAACCAGGAACTGGCAAGCTGGGACCGAGTGCTTAAGTCTCAGACTCAATCCTTGCTCTCTCTCCTATACTGCCTCCAGGAGGACGGGGGGAGCACCAGCAGAAGCTGCAGTCCACACGCTTCCTGCCCCTGCAACCCAGCAGGCACCAAGAGAAGCCGGCCCCTTCACACAGACCCTCCCCATCTACCCTTGGAGGATGCATCAGTGGAAGAGATTAAGACATAAATACAAAAATAAATAGCAGGGCCAAGTCCCCAGCAGCAAGGATGTGCCATCTCCACGCTGCAGGAAGGTCACTGTGCCATTCACAGCTGCTGTGGGAGGAAGCCCTGGGGGACCTGGAACAATGGTTGCCAAAGGCTGGAGTGAGTGGGCTCAGTGGGCCCCTTCTGGGTCTCACAGATTCAAGAACAAAATGTCTGGAGCAGGCAGCAGCCGTGGGCACAGGCGCCGTCCTCCTCCACCTGCTCATTTTACCGGTGTTTGTGATCCAAGAGGGATTCAAAATCAGGGGAACATACAAGTTTGTGCTTCACGTGTCCCAGGACTGTCATCTCCCCTGTCCTACTGTCTCCAAGGCCCACGGACACCAGCTCCTGCCAATTAACAGAGACAGTGATGAGAACCACCACCACGTGCCCGGCGTGTAGAGCTGTGAATGGGGACATGATACTCCCAGAAACCCCCTCCCTTATTTAGCAGTGGCTCTTCAATCCTCCTTCACTCCTGAAAGGGTCCCTCCTTGCCCCTAAGGAGGCTCTTACCTGCAGGAAGGAGCAGGCAGTTCCCATGGTCACGTCCAGAGTCACCTTGCCCAAGAGGAGTTGCACCCTTCCAGACTTGCGGATGAGTAGCTTGCCAACCTGACCCTCTGTCAGGTCAGCCAGGGTACAAGCATTCTCTGCCAATTTGGCTTCCTGCGGAGAAAACCAGAGGATGGACACTGGGCTAGGAGCTCTTTCCTCCATCTTTCATGAACCCCCTTCTACTCCCCAAGAGAAAGGCACAGCAAAGGTCAAAATGAGCTCCCCAAAGAGTGCCTTCTCCTAGGGCTGTCTGCTATGGTTAAAATACAAAACCCACAGCAAACAAATACATACACGGACAAAATATCAGTTACTGCTGAAGCTGAGTTCTGGTACATGGCGGTTTACGTTCTCTTATTTTTTTGAGACAAGGTCTGACTCTGTCGCCAAGGTTGGGGTATAGTGGCATGATCTAGGCTTACTGCAACCTCTGCCTCCTGGACTCAAGCCATTCCCCCGCCTCAGCCTCCCAAGTAGCGGGGACTACAGGCACACGCCACCATGCCTGGCTAATTTTTGTATTAGCCATGGTGTCACCACGTTGCCCAGGCTAGTCTCGAACTCCTGGGCTCAAGTGATCCTCCTGTCTCAGCCTCCCAAAGCGCTGGGATTAGAGGCATGAGCCACCGCATCTGGCCATATGTTCTCTCATTTGTGTTTGAAATATTTCCTTATAAGAAGTGAACACACACCCCCACAACACATACACAATTGGGGTTGGAGGTACAAAGCCCCATGGCTCTTGCAGGCGTCAAGAATAACCACCCATTATTGTCCCATTTCAGCCAGGGTGACACGGCTTTGCTTCCCACTACAGGTCACCACTTCCCGTCCCAGTCCCCGACTTGATTCCCGCAGGCCTCTGTCTGAGCGTACTCGGTCTTTCTCCTGCTTGATGAGCACCACCTGTCCGTCCTCGCCCTGCACCTCTGTCTTGATAGGCTTGATGTCCTGGGTGGGTGGCTGGCCAGGGAGGGTGTCTGGCAGCTGCAGAAACAGCAGTTCCTCTTCCTTGGTGAGGCTCAGCTCCCTCAGCAGCTCTGCCACAGATACATCCTTCGGGAGGCCTGGAGTCTTCCTGGCTGCTTTGGGAGGAGCCTTCATCTTGGCCTCTTCCTCCTCATCTCGTGGCTCCTCTTTCACTGCCCGGGTGATAGACATGGAATGCTATCAAGTGACCACCCTCCATACCAGCTCACTGTTACCAGCCCTTTGCCCCTGTCTGCTCCACTGTCACTCAGCCAGGGAGTGGGAAGGAGGCACCAGTTATACAGAGGGGCAAGAGACAACACGTTCAAGTCTCACATGACTTATCTAAAAAGGGACATCTGAGGCTAGGCCCACTGCTCCCTGTCAACACAGGAACCCTCTGCGAGGGAGAATGGAGCATCTTTGTTCAGCTCATGTATCTTACAGCCGGAATGGGAGGACCTGCTCACGAGCAGCAGTCAGGGGCACATGCAAGGGATGCCTGATGCACGGGATTCCTGGGGAGCAGCCATGGAATTGGAGATGAGAAGTTAACCGACAGAGTACCTTTCACAGCAGGTATGTCCACCTCCATGTCCTCTTCCTTGGGGCCAGCCAGCCAAGGTTTAACATCTGGTTCGTCATTTTCTTCCTTAAAAAGCCATCCTGAGTGAGCCAGCGGCAGCTGCACAGGCATATTTCGAGTGTCGTTCCTCAGGCCGGGGTCATCGAGGAACTGCCAAAGAGAGTCTGGGTCATCCAGCCTGCTAGCACATGCACCTGGATCAAAGTCTGCTTTAGTCCCTTTCTAACCAAAGATTCCGCTGCTCCCCAGGATTCCAGGACATCAGTAAGCTCTTCTACCCCTCACCTGGCTCCCCAGAAGCCCTGTTCTACAGCCACAAGGAAACCCCTTCCCCCAGCCTCCTGGTACCCACATCGTCCTTCTCCAGCATACGCAAGATCTGTTTAGTTTCTTCGTCTGTCTCTCTCTTCTCTTTTTTGATGTTGATGATATGAGAAGGTCCCATGTCTGACACATCCACTGTCTTATCCCAGTTCCCTGTGGGAAATCACCCAGGTCACTAGGGATCGATAAGGAAGATGCCCAACAGCAAGGAAAACGGAAATGGGAGTGGGGAAATTCCACTGTTCTCGCCCTTCTCTGGGGCAGTCTGAACTGAAATTCACTGATTCCTTCCTTATACCTTTTTTCTTCATCATTTCAGCTGGGCCCTGCTCAAAGATGGAGTGAGACTGGATCACTTCTGGACGGCCTCGCCCTCGTCCATGCCCCTCTCGTTGTCGGTCTCTGTCCCTTTCACGCTTCTCCTTCTTGACAGTTACTTCTTCCTTGGGCCTGGAAAAAAGAATGGATTAAGGGAAACCACTCACTCACTGTGTCTCCAAAATCTGGCCTTACTCTCCCATACCACTTCACTCCAAAACAGTGGAGAGTTTGAGCCAATATTTACACCATGAGAAGCAGAATCCAATCCTAATTCTAGCACTTTTCTCACTTCCTTGATGAGGCAGGATTTTTTCAGTTTGCTTTACTTTACCTTCTTGTCCAAAAATATAGATTTTTGTTTGCATTGGGACTGAAAGCAGGAAGGCAGAAATGCAAAGGAACTTCAGGGAAAGTGTGATACATCTTTGTTTAAACTATTGGCTCTCAACTCGGGCAACAAAGAGAATCACTCCATTCTACTGCCAGCAAGTTAAATCACAATTTCTAAAGATGGAACCCTAGACACCAGTAATTATTTATTTATTTATTTATTTTTTAAAGCTTGCAGAATCACCTAGGAGCCAGGGTTGAAAATCACTAGTGAAAAGAACTAAAGATATAAATTTAAATTTTGGAGCTACAAACCTAGTTATTTCCCCCAAAGCCCCAAATTCAGAGCAAGTAAATAAGGGGCAAGTATTCAGAAGGCCTAGCTACTTACTCTTCCTTGATCTTCCGACTGATGATATTTGGGGTGAAGGTTTTCTGAAAGCAAAATACAGGAGTCACTGATGTGTTAGGTTCTGACCCCAAAGTACAGAGGAAAATAAAAATTCCCAAAGGGCATCTTCTACAGACCAAGGCCACCACGGCTCTCGTTGGCACATTCCACAGTGCTGTCAGTTTTATAGATACACATGTGCCTGAAAAGGAGGAATGTCATAGTGTGGTAGCAGTGGAGTTACACATAGAAGGGGGCACCAAAACCCACTTTTAACCAGCAGCCTTAGGTTCTGCCTCTGAAAGAAGATCCTCTGGGACTTCTAAAAGCAAAGGAATTTCTCTGGTCTCACCTCTTCTCTTCAAACTGCTATAGAGACCAGTCAGTATCATGGGGGAACAGCTCTAGCAGCAAGGCCTAAGTAGGGAAGGCCATAGATCTGCCAACACTTTCAATCAGGTGACTATGGACTGTCACCACAATTTTCCAAGGCAAAGTTAGGTTTTTAAAAACTGCTTTATGGCTGGGCGTTGTGGCTCATGCCTGTAATCCCAGCACTTTGGGAGGCCAAGGTGGGTGGATCACGAGGTCAGGAGTTCAAGATCAGCCTGGCCAAGATGGTGAAACCCGTCTCTACTAAAAACTACAAAAAGTAGCTGGGCGCGGTGGCGGGCCCCTGTAATCCCAGCTACTCGGGAGGCTGAGGCAGGAGAATCGCTTGAACCCGGGAGGCGGAGGTTGCAGTGAGCTGAGATGGTGCCTCTGCACTCCAGCCTGGGCGACAGAAAGAGATTCCCTTAAAAACAAAACAAAAAACCAAAAAACCGCTTTATTCGGCCAGGAGCGGTGGCTCACACCTGTAATCCCAGCACCTTGGGAGGTCGAGGCAGGCGGGCGGATCACGAGGTCAGGGGTTCAAGAACAGCCTGGCCAACATGGCAAAACCCTGTGTCTACTAAAAATACAAAAATCAGCTGGGCATGGTGGCGGGCGCCTGTAATCCCAGCTACTCAGGAGGATGAGGCAGGAGAATCGCTCAAACCTGGGAGGCAGAGGTTGCAGTGAGCTGAGATCGTGCCATTGCACTCCAGCCTGGGGGACAACGGCGAGACTTCCTCTCAAAAAAAACCAAAACCAAAACCAAAACCTGCTTTGTTCTTCTGTCATCCTGACCCCACCCCTTTCTGGGCTACTCTTGACATCCACAGTCATATACACATGGGAGAGGCCACAGAGCCTCGAATGCCATACCTAGGATTCATCATACTCTAGATAAAAAGTTTGCACACAGAGATGGTGAATTCTGAACCCTCTAAGACTGCGAAGTTTATGCCTGTCTGGCTTTCATGGGTTTCTTAAAGATGTCCAAACACACAATAAAAGTAAATAAACACTGTTCAAATTGCTTTTGAACGACTTTAACTTATTAGGATTCTCTGCCCTTCAACCACCTCTGGGAGTCATTTCAACATCTTGTACTCAGTACCTAGATTTGAAGGTAGGACAGACTCCCTAGAATTTAAAGAGGGGTAGGCTTGAGAGGCCCAACGACAGTCCTGACACACAGTAGGTCCTACACAAACATTAGTTGAATCCTGGGGCTTGGAATTCAAGGTAGTTGAGTTTCTTTAGAAACGCGCCGTTGGGTACCTTCTTGACTCCCCCGAGGGTGAGGTCCCTGGAACGGATGGAGGGAAGGCGGCCGGGGGTGAGGGGAGGCGCCGGCCGCCGCCCGATGAGCCCCCGGGCCCCAGTCAGGAGAGGTCGGGGCCCTCCCGGCGTGCTGGGCTCGCCGGCGGCGTTTCCTTCCGACATGTTGCCTGGGAGAGAAGGGGCGACGAGATCACCAGAGGGGACTGACACGCGGACCCTGGCGGAACCCCACCCCCTTGCTTTCCGGTCCCCCAGTCGGTGCGTCCCTCCAGTGGCCTCTCAGCTCCTCCCCTCCCACGTGGCGAGACTCCCGGGACCACCCAGGTGAGAGCCTTTGGCTCGCGACACGCCCTCTCCAGGAACCCCGCCCAGGAACCAGACAGGGACGCACCCGGGCCGCGGCTCCACACCGCGCGTCACAACCTCACCTGCAACGCGACCAGCCGCCAGCCTTCGGTCTCCGCGCCGGGCGGAAGTCTGCGTGGCAGGGCCTGGGCGCCGCCATCTTGGCGCGGGGCGGAAGTGACGTTAGGGGGGCGGGACTGGGCCACAGTATTTATCAGGCGGCGCTTCGCTCCCCTCCGCCTTCTCTTCCCGGTTCTTCCCGGAGTCGGGAAAAGCTGGGTTGAGAGGGCGAAAAAGGATGAGGTGACTGGTCTGGGCTACGCTATGCTGCGGCGCTCGGGGGTCTTGGCCTCCGGGCGGTGGCGTGGAGGCGCCAAGATCAGGGTCCCGGGTTTTGTCGGCCACCACGCCGCAATGTGAGGATTCGCCTCGGCGGAGCCCCTGGGAGCTTCGGGGTAGCTGCTCGGGATGGGGCGAGGGGCGCGGCGCGGCGCAGAGAGTGAGACCTGGACTTAAGAGTCGGGGAGTCCTGGGCCACACCGAGCCCTGTCTGCGGGTTCTCCATGGTGACCTTGGAGTGGTCATTACCTCCGGGCAGCGACCTCGCCCACTTTCGGGGACCCCTTCCCTGTGCTCCTGGTGGAGTCCTGGGGTGAGGCTGTGGGGGCAGCTTGGAACAGCCGCAGTGGACCAACCGGTGCCCAGTCATACCCGCTTCTGATCACGAAGGCGGTGGCCCTCGTGTGCGCTCTTGGTCAAAGCCTGGAGGGAATTGGAATACCAAGTTTGCTCTACTGCTGGAGGAATTTAAAGAACTTTTGTTGACTCCAGCGTTTGTGATTTAACATAAAAGGTGTCATTTAATGTTATCCCCCATCCCCCAGACCGTATAAAAACCATGTAACAATATTATGGGGAGTTTGAGGAAAGGAAATCATTTCTACCAGAATGCCACGTAGAGTACTACTATTAAAAATTTTGTAATGTATCTAGTAGTCTTCACAGAGTTGTCGTATCACAATTTCGTGTCCTTTTTCTTTTCTTTTCTTTCTTTTTTTTTTTTTTGAGACGAGGTTTCTCTCTGTTGCCCAGACGGGAGTGCAGTGGTGCGATCAACACACCGCAACCTCTGCCTCCCAGGCTCAAGCCATGCTTCCACCTCAGCCTCCTGAGTAGCTGGGACTACAAGTGCATGCCACCACGCCCGGCTAATTTTTTCTTTTTCTTTTTTTTTTTTTTTTTTTTTTTGTATTTTTCGTAGAGACGGGGTTTCACTATGTTGCCCAGGCTGGTCTTGAACTCCTGAGGTCAAGTGATCCCACCCGCTTCGGCCTCCCAATGTGCTGGGATTACAGGCATCAGCCACCACGCCTGGCCTGTATCCTCCTTTTTCAAATAACATTTCTCTGTTGCGACATCAAAGACTGCGTAGTTCTCCAGTGGCTGTATCATGATTTAAGTATTTCCCTGATTGTTTCTTTTTTCCCTGTTTTAAATAATGCTGCAGTGAATGTCTGGTACATTTGACTTGCTTTTTTTCGATTTTGTTTTTGTTTTTGTTTTCTTTTGGATTATATTCCCGGGATAGATTTCCCGTCCTGGGATAACTGGCCAAAAGAAGATTTTTTTTTAAGTAAATATTTGCGATAGGCACGGTGGCTTAGGCTTGTAATCCCAGTGCTTTGGGAGGCGGAGGTGGGAGGATCGCTTGAAAGGCTCGGCAGTTGGAGATTTCAGTAAGCTATGATCCAGCCCTTGCATTCCAGCCTGGGTGACACAGCAAGACCCTATCTCTAAAAACATTTTTTAAATTAAACTTTTTATTTTGAGAACATTGTAGGTTCATGTAGAGTGGTAAGAAATAATGTAGAGAGATCCCAAGTACTGTTTACTCGTTTTCCCCCAGTAGTAACCTCTTGCCACCAGAATATTGACATTGGTACAGTTAAGATACAAGAAGTTTCCATCACCACAAGGATCCCTCTAGTTGCCCTTTTATAGCCACACCTCCCTCCCCCCACCTCCTCCCACCACTAATCTGTTCTCCATTTCTGCCATTTTGTTATTTCAAAAGTGTTACATAAATGGAATCATACAGTATGTGACTTCTTGGGATTGCTTTTTTCACTCGGCATTGTTCCCCGCAGATCATCCAAGTTGTGTGTATCAATAGTTCGTTCCATTTTATTGCAGAGTATTCATGGTTTGTTTAACCATTCACCCTTTGAAAGACATCTGGTGGTTTTCCGTTTGGGGTTATTATGGATAAAGCTGCTGTGAAAATACATGTACAAGGTTTTGTGTGAACGTAAATTTTTATTTCTCTGGGATAATTGCCCATGAGTGCAATCATTGGGTCATATGGTAGTTGTATCTTAGTTTTATAAGAAACTGCCAAGCTGCTTTCCACAGGGGCTGTACCATTTTGTACATGCACATTTTATGGTTCTTCATTCATATTGCTAAATTGCTTTCAAAAAGGATTGTGTGGCCGGGCGTGGTGGCTCACGCCAGTAATGCCAGCACTTTGGAAGGCCGAGGTGGGCAGATCACTTGAGGTCAGGAGTTCCAGACCAGCCTTGCCAACATGGTGAAATACTGTCTCTACTAAAAATACAAAAATTAGCTGGGCGTGATGGCACACGCCCATAATCCCAGCTACTCAGGAGGCTGGGGCACAAGAATCGCTTGAACCACAGAGGCGGAGGTTGCAGTGAGCTGAGATCACGCCATTGCAGTCCAACCTGGGTGACAGAGGGAGACTGTCTCAAAACAACAAAAACAAAAAAAACCCCACAAAAAAACAAGATTGTGCTGAAATGCATCAACACTAAGAATGTGTGTATATACAATAATCAAACGTATATACACACACACACTATATACACACACACACATTGTGGGCTTTTGAAGGACTCCTGGGTGAGGCTGTGTGGGCAGCCTTGGAACAGCCACATTGGATCAACCGGTGCCCAGTCCCACCCTTCCTGGGCTCACAGCAGTGACCCTCATGTGCACTTTTGGTCAAACCTGGAAGGAATCTGAATACCAAGTTTGCTCTACCGTTGGAATTTAAAGAACTTTTATTGGCCAGGTGTGGTAGCTCACACCTGTAGTCCCAGCACTTTGGGAGGCTGAGGTGGGTGGATCACCTGAGGTCAGGAGTTCAAGACCAGCCTGGCCAACATGGTGAAACCCTGTCTCTACTAAAAGTACAAAAATTAGCCAGGCCTGGTGGCGGGCATCTGTAATCCCAGCTACTCGGGAGGTTGAGGCAGGAGAATCACTTGAACCTGGGAGAAGGAGGTTGCAGTGAGCCAAGATTGCGCCATTGCACTCCAGCCTGGGCAACAAGAGCGAAACTCTGTGTCAAAAAAAAAAAAAAAAAAAGAGCCGGGCACAGTGGCTCACGCCTGTAATCCCAGCACTTTGGGAGGCCAAGGTGGGCGGAACACGAGGTCAGGAGTTCAAGACTAGCCTGACCAACATGGTGAAAACCCGTCTCTACTAAAAATACAAAAATTAGCCTAGCGTGGTGGCATGTGCCTGTAGTCCCAGCTACTTGGGAGGCTGAGGCAGGAGAATAGCTTGAATCCGGGAGGCGGAGGTTGCAGATAGCTGAGATTGCGCTGGAGTGTAGACTCCAGCCTGGGAGACAGAGCAAGATTCCGTCTCAAAAAAAAACAACAAAAAACAACTTTTATTGACTCCGAAATTAATGTGTGTGTAAACACACACACACACACACACACACACACACAGAGAGAGAGGTAGTATATAAGAATATATAATTTTAGGGCTTGGTGGCACCCACCTGTAGTCCCAGCTACTTGGGAGGCTGAGGAGAGAGGATCGATTGAGCCCAGGAGTCAAAGGCTGCAGTGAGCCTTGATTGTGCTACTGCAGTCCAGCTTGGGAGACAGAGGAGACCTTGTCTCAAAAAAACAAAAAAGAGAATATATAATTTTTTGGCCACATCCTTTTGAGTATTGGCTTTTAAAATTTAGAACTTTGTTTGCCAATTTACTAATATATTAATATTTTGTTATGTTGTTTTCTAAACAGATCCTTTTCAACTTCTTTCTTCATGTTGATTTTACAATAATCAAACCAAACCAATACCCTTTTCCTGTTCCCTACAGAGCTACACGCAGCAGCCCTTAGCTTCTAATTAGAGCACTGGATGAAATAGCTTTGATTTCATTCTGTTGGGCTTTGAAGTTCACCAGGTAGTAGCTTTTTTAGTTTTTTTTTTTTTTTTTGAGACGGAGTCTCGCTTTGTCGCCCAGGCTGGAGTGCAGTGGTGCAATCTCGGCTCACTGCAAGCTCCACCTCCCAGGTTCATGCCATTCTCCCGCCTCAGCCTCCTGAGTAGCTGGGACTACAGGTGCTCGCCACCATGCCTGCCTAATTTTTTGTATTTTTAGTAGAGACGGGGTTTCACCGTGTTAGCCAGGATGGTCTAGATCTCCTGACCTTGTGATCCGCCCGCCTTGGCCTCCCAAAGTGCTGGGATTATGGGCATGAGCCACCACGCCTGGCTTATTTTGTATTTTTAAAAATACACTCATTCATTTTAGAAAATTTGGAAAAATTTAAAAAGCACTGAGAAGAAAAAGCTATCCATTGTTATCCCATCAAATGTTTTTGTTTTTGTTTTTTGTTTTTGTTTTTTTTTTTTTTGAGACGGAGTCTCGCTCTGTCGCCCAGGCTGGAGTGCAGTGGCACGATCTCGGCTCACTGCAAGCTCCGCCTCCCGGGTTCACGCCATTCTCCTGCCTCAGCCTCCCGAGCAGCTGGGACTACAGGCACCCGCCACCACGCCCGGCTAATTTTTTGCATTTTTAGTAGAGACGGGGTTTCACCGTGTTAGCCAGGATGGTCTCGATCTCCTGACCTCGTGATCCGCCCGCCTCGGCCTCCCAAAGTGCTGGGATTACAGGCGCGAGCCACCGCGCCCGGCCCAAATGTTTTACATACTTGAAGTCATTTTTCAATGCATTTAGATTTTTTTAAATTGGGATATTTTACACAGGTTCTTTTAATATTTTTATCTATCCATTTATTTTGAGACCAGGTTTTGAGACTGGCTAATTTTTCTACTTTTGGTAGAGTCAGGGTTTTGCCATGTTTCCCAGGCTGGTCTTGAACTCCTGGGCTCAATCGATCTGCCCGCCTCAAACTCCCAAAGTGCTGGGATTACAGGCGTGAGCCACTGTGCCCAACTGAGCTTAGTTTGTTATTAATAACATTTTATTTTCATAAATATCATAATAAAGACAATAATCTCATTGTAACTTAATAATCAAACTCTTGAGGACAAATACAGTTTTCTGGGTCTAAATGCAGGTTTTAGAAGGTATAACAGATTCTGTCAAAAATCTGTTCTTGTGAATTTTTTTTTTTTTTTTTGAGACAGAGTCTTGCTCTGTTGCCCAGGCTGTAGTGCAATGGCACGATCTCCACTCACTGCAACCTCTGCCTCCCGGGTTCAAGCGATTCTCCTGCCTCAGCCTCCTGAGTAGCTGGGATTAGAGGTGCGCGCCACTATGCCTGGCTAATTTTTGTATTTTTAGTAGAGATGGGGTTTCACCACGTTGGCCAGGCTAATCTTGAACTCCTGACCACAGGCGATCCACCCGCCTCAGCCTCCCAAAGTGCGGGGATTACAGGCATGAGCCACCACGTCCGGCCTTTTTTTTTTTTTTCCTGAAACAGAGTCTTGCTCTGTTGTCCAGGCTGGAGTACAGTGGCTATTCACAGCTACAATCATAGCTCACTGCAGCCTGCAACTCCTGGGCTCAAGGGATCCTCGTGCCTCAGCCTCCAGTGTAGCTGGGACTACAGGTGTGCACCACCATACCCAACTAATTTTTAATTATTTTGTAGAGATGGAATCTCACTATGTTGCTCAAGCTGGTCTCAAACTCCTGGGTTCAAGCGATCTGCCCCCTTCGGGCATCCCAAAGTGTTGGAACTACAGGCATGAGCCATGGCGCCCGGCCTCCTGTGAATTCTTCATGGGCATTGAAAATGAATAAGAAACTGTTTTGCATATGTATTGGTAGAGTAAAAGGAATGTGAGGTATGAGAACGCTATCCAAGTTCAAGCTATTACATGTTCTCTGTGTAATTTGTCCTTGTTTATTTGCATCATTTTGCAGGCCATTCATTTGCTGGTTCCTCCTTATCGCCTTGACCCTTACATGTTAGAGAACTCCAGAATTCTGTCCTTGGGGCCAGGCACGGTGGCTCAGGCCTGTAATTCCAGCACTTTGGGAGGCCGAGGTGGGCGGATCACGAGGTCAGGAGCTCGAGACCATCCTGGCCAACAGGTTGAAACCCCATCTCTAGTAAAATACAAAAAATTAGCCGTGTGTGGTCGTGTGCACTTACAGTCCCAGCTACTTGTGAGGCTGAGGCAGGGAATCGCTTGAACCAGGGAGGCAGAGGTTGCAGTGAGCCAAGATTGTGCCATTGCACTCCAGCCTGGGCAACAAGAGCAAGACTCCATCTCAGAAAAAAAAAAAAAGAATTCTGTCCTTGGAATTCTTTCCTATTTTCTCTATACTAACTCCCATGACAATGGTTCAGTTTCTCAGCTTCAAGTATACTGTATGCTGATCACTCCTAAGGGCTCACCTCCAGTCCAGTGCTCCCTGAATTCCTGATGTGTCTCTGCCTATTCCACACCTCCAGCTGGATGTCTGCTGGGCATCTCGAAACCTATGTGCCCATCCAAACTTTTTTTTTTTTTTTTTGAGACAGGGTCTTGCCCTGTCGCTCAGGCTGGAGTGCAGTGACGTGATTTCCGCTCACTGCAACCTCCGCCTCCCAGGTTCAAGCAATTCTCCTGCCTCTGCCTCCTGAGTAGCTGGGATTACAGGCACCTGCCACCACGCCCAGCTAATTTTTGTATTTTTAGTAGAGACCGGGTTTCACCGTGTTGGCCAGGCTGGTCTCGAACTCCTGACCTCAAGTGATCCATCTGCCTCGACCTCCTAAAGTTTTGGGATTACTGGTGTGAGCCACTGCACCTGGCCATATCCACACTTTTTTGATCTTGCTCCTCAAACTACTTCTCCAAAGTGGTCCCCATCTCAGTAAATGGTAACTGCATCCTACTAGTTGTTCAGATTAAAAATCTTGCAGGTTTTTTTTTTTTTTTTTATGAGACAGGATCTTTCTTATTCTGTCACCCAGGCTGGAGTGCAGTGGCATGATCTCGGCTCACTGCAGCCTCAACCTCCCGGGCTCAAGTGATCCTCCCACCTCAGCCTCTCAGGTAGCTGGGACTATAGGCATGCCGCACCATGCCTGGCTAATTTTTTTTATTTTTTGTAGAGTTGGAGTTTCACCATGTTGCCCAGGCTAGTCTTGAGCTCCTGAGTCTCAAGTGATCTGCCCACCTCAGCCTCCCAAAGTGCTGAGATTACAGGCTTGAGCCACTGCACCCAGCCTTGCGACTCTTGACTCCTCTCTCCCATGCACTACTTCTAACATATCAGCTTTTTGACATACATCCGGGATCTTCCCACTTCTCACCACCTTGGTCCAGGCCACCATCATTTATTGCTGATTATTATAATTGACTCCTAATTGGCCTCCTTCCACCTGAATCCTCCAAGTCTAGTCTCCACATAGTGCAACTGACATGTTTCACGTTAGGTCACATCTCTGCTCTAAACTTCCCAATGGCTTCCCATTTCAGAGTCAAAATCAGAGGCCTTAGAACGCCCTGCGCCACGGCCCTGCACAATCTCTCCCTGCACCATTTCTCTAGTCTCAACTCCTTGCACACTGGCTCCCCCTGCTGTTTCTGGACTATATCAGGCAACATCCTGCTTCAGGGCCCCTGCACCTGTTACCTGGAATGCCCTTCCTCCACAAAATTCTGCATGGCTCCCGTCCATCCTTTAATCAGGTGTTTTTTGTTTTGTTTTGTTTTGTTTTGTTGTGTACCAAAGTCACCTTTTCAAAAAGTCCTCCTCTGATGGCCCTATTTAAAATCATAACTCCCGACTTCTCCATGATGTTTCCTATCTCTACTTACCGACTTATTTTTCTCTAGAGCATTTATCACCACCCAACAGACTATAAAGTTTGTTTATTTATTCACTTACCTATTTAATTATCTGTCTTCCCCCACCAGAATGTAAGCCCTATGAGAGCAGGGATTTTTTGTTTGTTTGTTTGTTCTCCTTTCCCTGCCTACAACTGCAGGATCCTCATTGCCTGAAACAGTGCCTGATACATAGATAAGCACTCAGTGAATTTTTTTAAATGGATGATTGAATTCCAATTTGTGATGAGATCAACTAGAAAATCTGGATGTGCATTAGAAAAATGAGTAGATTGTTTCCAGAAGGTAATTGAATTTTGGCACCATTGATGTCAAAGCCATCTGTGAGTTGTATTTTCATGTCTTCTCTATAGGTTCTTCTGTCAGTGACTCTTAATAGAGTCAGTGTGGCAAATTTTGGGTGCATGGAGGGAAGGCGCTTCATCATGGTGATCGCTTGTATTCAATATGTCACACTCTTCTGGTATTTCTTTCTTTTTCTTTTTCTTTTTTTTCTTTTTGGCAGTCTTGCTCTGTTGCTAAGGCTAGAGTTCAGGGACACGATCTTGGCTCACTGCAACCTCCACCTCCCGGGATCAAGTGATTCTCCTGCCTCAGCCTCCTGAGTAGCTGTGACTACAGGCGTGCGCCACCACGCCTGGCTACTTTTTGTATTTTTAGTAGACACAGGGTTTTGCCATGCTGGCCAGGCTGGTCTCGAACTCCTACCTCAGACGATTCGGCTGCCTCAACCTCCCTAAGTCCTGAGATTACAGGCGTGAGCTACCGCGCCTGGCCTTGTCCTGGTACCTTGCCAAGCAGTGCGCAGTGGTGTTCCGTATTTCCTACATCATGTTCTTCCACTTTGGGTATAACTTACTGACTATTCCAGTACTGAGGTTCTATATGAGTCCTTCTACTTACGATTCTCTTTCATCATTGTTCTTGATCTTTTTCTCTTGAAGTTCCTTTTATCCCTCCAACATTCTCTCAGTGTCTCTTCTGTAGCTTGTCTGAGTCCTTTAATATAATTCAGCATTTTCCCATGTCTTAAAGTGGTTAAATATTTAAGTTTTCTACAAAATCTAAAATATATATATCTTTGAGACAGGTTCTCGCTTTGTCACCCAGACTGGAGTGCAGTGAAGCGATCATGCCTCACTGCAGCCTCCAAATCCTAGGCTCAAGCAATCCTGCTGCCTCAGCCTCCAGAGTAGTTGGGACTATAGGCCCATGCCACCATGCCCAGCTAATTTTTGTACTCTTTGTGAAGACGGGGTTTCACCATGTTGCCCAGACTGGTCTCGAACTCCTGGGTTCAAGTGATCTGCCCACTTCAGACTCCTAAAGAGCTGAGATTACAGGTATGAGCCACTGCACCCAGCCATAAAATACTTTTTCTTTAGTTTAGTAAATGTTTTTAGAATTAGGTTAATGCTCTTCATTAAAATAGATGACCAGTGAAGGTTATAGGTTGTCTAAACATAATATCGAAAAGAAAAGGAAATAAGCACTGAGAAATCCATGTAGTTCTTATAAATACTCATGGCCCACTCTTGTCATTGTAAACACATGTAAAGGACAAAAGTGGTTTCCACGGACTACCTGATGTATGTGCATTCATTGGCTCACCGGATCCCCACACTGAGTTCAGCCATAGGGAAATACACATAAACATTTTAAATCTATAAAGTGCATAAGCAATATTAAGACTGTAAATATGTTTTGCTTATAGTCTCATTCTCTATTACATCAGACTCTATATTTGCTATGCATCTTTCTACCACGAGGAATCTGGCCTTGGTACTCAGACAGACCTGAATTTGAATACTAACTAGTTTTACTACTTATGGCCTGAGTCCTCTTTCCCACCCTCCACCTTTTTAAAATGGAGTTGATCAGCTGGGCATGGTGGCTCACACCTGTAATCCTAGCACTTTGAGAGGCCGAGGCAGGAGGATCACTGGAGACCAGGAGTTGGAGATCAGCCTGACCAACATAGTGAGAGCCTGTCTCTACAAAAAAAAAAAAAAAAAAAAAAAAAAAATTTGTTGTTGAGATGGAGTCTCACCCTGTCACCCAGGCTGGAGTACAGTGGCGTGATCTTGGCTCACTGCAACCTCCACCTCCCAGGTTCTGGGAGACAGAACAACAGAGCGAGACTCTGTCTCAAAAAAAAAAAAAAAAAAAAAAAAAGGTTATATGATGAACAGAAAAGATATTGGTAAGTGAAAAAAGCAGGTTACAAAACAGCATTCTTTCATTCTATTTTTGTTAATAAATTCTATACAAGTATTGGCTGGGTGTGGTGGCTCGCACCTGTGTAATCCCAACTACTTTGGAAGGCCAAGGCGGGTGGATTGCTTGCATTTAGGAGTTTGGGACCAGCCTGGGCAACACAGTGAGACCCCATCTCTACAAAAAATAAAAAAAATAGCCAGGTGTGGTGGTGTGCGCCTATACTCTCAGCTATTCAGGGGACTGAGGTGGGAGGATTACTTAAGCCAGGGAGGCAGAGGTTGCAGTGAGCCAAGTTTGCGCCACTGCACTCCAGCCGGGGTGACAGAGCAAGACCCTGTCTCGAAAAAAATTAATTAAAAAAATTCTTTATATGTATTTAATGTGTATTTCTGCATGGTGGGAAAATGAGAGATTTAAATTCCCTCTTAAATTTTAAAATGAAATGTGCTCGTCTCTCTACAATGATCATGTGCTACTTGTGTCATAAAAAGTTATGAAAAATAAAAATGCAGCAGAAGTGCATCTTGGCGGTTGTTTGGTTTCATAGGGAGTGAGTTATACTTGGCACACTATGGTTTGCTCTTACCACGTGTTTCCTCTCGTGATCTGTAGAGAAGTCCTCTGAGGCAAGAAGAGGCAGAAGCTCCTAAAGGGCTGTGCCTTCACCTGTCGCCGGCACGCAGCTCCACAAAGGGGCGCTCAGATGGCTATTGCTCATGCTTGGGCCACAGGACCTCGTGCAGTCTCCTCATGACATCCCGAGAAGGTGGGAGGCAGGGATGGTGCTGGGGCTAGTTTTCCTTTGGCAGAAGGGGAAACCAAGTCACAGAGAACCTGCCTTTTTCCTTGCACTGCCCCTCTGTGTGGTCCTAGGGACAGGATTTTATTATTTATTTATTTATTTATTTTTCGAGGCACAATCTCACTCTGTCACTCAGGCTGGAGTGCAGTGGTGCAATCTTGGCTCACTGCAACCTCCACCTCCCGGGTTCAAGCGATTCTTGTGCCTCAGCCTCCCAAGTAGCTGGGATTACAGGCGCCCACCACCACACCCAGCTAATTTTTATATTTTTAGTAGAGATGGGGTTTCGCCATGTTAGCTAGGCTGGTCTCGAACTCCTGATCTCAGGTGATCTGCCTGCCTCAGTCTCCCAAAGTGTTCGGATTCTTGTGAGCCACTGCGCCCGGCCTGGGACAGAATTGTAGTCCAGATGTCATGTGCTGGCCATCACCAGGAGGTTACGTTTTGCATCTCTTCTGAGCTCACCAGCTCGGCGTGGGTATGTCGGAGCAGGACGTAGTCATGCTTGGCCAAGGGGGTGCTTAGTCCTGCCTCAGTGCCACGCACCACCCCACATTCGGCAGTTCAGGACCTGGCCAGGCTCACTGAGGTTCTCACAGCCGTTTCAGGCAGGGTTGGCTTCTGCTTGTCTTTGCATTCTGTGAACTCTCACTTTCTGCTGCTGTTACCTCCTCTGACTTTTGCACTGAGGCCTGCCGCCTCAACTCCCTCTTGGTGAGTGTTTCTTAGGCTCAGCTCACACCTTCTCCTGCTCACCAAGACCTCACCCTGGGCCTGCCTGGTGTCAGCTGCCCCCGTGCCAATCCTCCCCACCCCAGCCGCACTCCTGCTTCCACAGCCTCCTCTGGCCTGCACCCTGCACGTGCCCTGGAGCCGCCCATTGTTCTTTCTCTGAATGAGTATCTGTGCCCTACGATTTAGTTGTGTGCTCCTCATTCTCTAATTGCATCCTCTAAATGGCCATCTTCTCTCCCGTAGAGGACTGTGGGCTCCTTGCAGGAAGATGCTGTCGATATGATGGGAACAAGAACAGTTCTGACATGTGACTGGCACTTCTGATGTGCCAGGCCCAGGGCTGGGCGATTTACCTAATTATTTCATTCCATGATGACAATAAACCTGTGTGATCCCACTTGACAGATGAAGAGAGGTTGAGTGGCTTGTCCAAGGTCCCCCAGCTGGGTAGCAGTAGAGCAGGGATTCTCAGCACATCCATCTGACTGTGAGCCTGTGCTTTTCACCACTGCGCAACCCTCTGTCCCTGCTTGCTGCTGGACTCACATTTCCTTGGATGTTCTTCCCGATGGCCTCCACGGAGTCTGCTTCTTGATGGCAGAACAGCCTCCTGCTGCCGTGAGAGCAGAATTACATTCTCTCCCCAAGATGCCCAGGGCCGGCTTCCTTTGTGCTCAGAGAGTGGGGTGGGCTGAGGACACTCAGAGCTTGGTGTGTTCTCCCACCCCCATTTTCTTACCCCTGTGCACCCTGCACTGTGCCACAGCCTCTCTCCCAGCCCCTTTTCCTGTGGACCCCCAAGCTGCCAGAGGGTTCTTGCCAGACCCACAGGGATCCCTGAGCTGCAGGTCTGCCATCTCTCTCTAGAGTTGGTAAGAAAATGGAACCACAGTTCACCAAAAGGCCCCAAGGAGAGGCTCCGGACTGAAGACAGCCACCCCAGCTTCACACCCCCCATCTGGACCTTTCCCCTCTACAGCCTCCCTCCCCTTCCCCCAATCAGAGTCTTTGCTTTGGGGCCCAAGCCCTTGGCTAAGCTCCACCCCTCTCCCAGCATCCTAAAGTTTGGGGGCTGCATTCAAGTCAGAGATTTCCAAGTAGGGGGTGTGTTGGAGGGACTTCTGAGGGCAGCTTGTCCTGGAAGAATGGGGGAAAGGCGGCGTGTGTTGCTGTCCCTGAGGACATCTGTGTAGCTCCCTGGGAGACCCTCTGCCCTTTCCCCCTCCCACCAGCCCGGCGAGCAGGGACCAAGCCTGCTTATTATCACCTGACGCTGCGCAGCCGCTGATCCCATTGGTGGAGGCAGATTCGGTCTGGCTCTCTCGTTCTTTCTCCCTTCTCTGCCTCTCTCTCCTCCACGCTGCTTTGATTTCGCTCTTGCCTCTCTTCTTGCGCTGCTCAGCTGGGAACATCGTCTCACCAGGGGCAGCAGCGACGCGCTGCACAGCCAGACAGGAGCTGGCTGCGGGGCATGGAAGCAGCCTCCTTGGCAGCCGGGAGAGGAGCAAGCGCACGCCACTGCCCGTGACCCAGGCGTCCGGCTGCTGTCCCCTGCCGGGGAGCTCATCCACGCAGAGGTCTCTCCCTGTCCTCCCTGCGAGCTTTTCCTCTGCAGAGCCCAGTGGAGCCAGGTGAGTACCCTTCCTCCCTGGAACCTGCTGCTGTTGATCCTGAGTAGCCGGGATCTGGGGGCTCTAGGGTCCTGCCACCACCCAGGGTGCCCACCTGGACTGCCAGGCCTGACGACCTTGTCCCCTCTCCCCCCCCCCGGCCAGGCCTTTGGCAAAGTGGTTAATGGCTGAATCCAGTCTCTGGGGCACCACAGTTAGTCACCCCGTGACCGTTCTGCTGCAGTCAGCGATGCCAACAGGGACAGCAGGGTGGGGGAAGCATTCCCTGTGGCAGGGTGGCTGTTTGAATGGGCATGGGGAAGGGGCACCGGTGTGCGCGGCGTGTGTGTGTGCGCGCTCGCGAGTTGGCTGGAGGCTTGCTGGCGCAGATAGGTCCGTCTGTCCGCAGTCATGCTCATGTGTGGGTTTTGAATGGTGTGAGGCATGTCTAGAAACATATCTTTCTGGCACACGTGAGGTACATGTGTGTGGGGGACTTATTTGAGTAGCCTGTGGGTGTGCGTGGGTGGGGACACTATGAGGCAGTATATTTAGGGGTAACCATGTCCCTTTTCATGTGTGTGGGAGTGTATGCAGACAGGGGCTTTCTATATGGGGAGGTGAGACCCAGAGCAGGATGGAGTGGGTAAAGAGAAGAAGGGGCAGAAACCATTGTCTGTGGGCAGAGCCACGTAGGTGCACAAACCTGTTGGCATGAAGGCTCAGGGCTGGCAGAGTGTGGCCAGAGGCAAACACATTTTCAAAGTCTGTCTTTGAGCCTGGAGATGATTCGAGAGAGAATACCAGACTTCGGGCGGGGGCTGCTGTGTGTATGAACACACATGTGTGTGCCGGCAGGCGTGTGGGTTGCGTGCCTTCTTGTGGAGGTGGCACACATGCATGTTGGTGCCTGTGGCATCCTCTTTTCCCCACATATGGCTTGTGAGGCGGTGTGCGTGGACGTGTGTGTGCGTGAGCCTGTGGACATGAACATGTCTGGGTGTGCATGGAGGTGACAGATTGAAGAGGGAAAACTGTGGGGCATTCTTAGAATGTGGAAGGTGGCAGCAGGCACCTGAATGTGGAGATGGGTGTGTGGGAGTGAGGACATCTGCGGAGGTGTGGGACGCGGGTGGGTGGGCACTCTTGGCGCATGTGTGTATGCGCGTGCGTGCCTGCCTGTGTGTGGGTGTGTACATGCCTGTCTTGGGGTGGATCCACACAGGAGTGTGGGTGTTTCTCGGGTGTTGCCTCAACCTGTCCCTCACACCCTGCCCTTCCCCAGTCTTCTGGGTGTAGAGAACTTGGGTTCACACCCACCCCTCTGTCCACCCCAGCTCACTCACTGCCACCCTCCCAAGCTAGCGGGGGGATGTCATCTCAGCTTTCCCAGAACCGTAGGGAGGGAGGGACAAGCAGACACCCAGGTCCTGGAGACCCCTACCGCCAAACACAGCTGCCCCTATTTCTAGGAGGACTCCAAGGAGAGGCAGGAATAGGTGCCTACTCATGGGACGAGTGTGGGCTGCCTCCGAGCGTGTGGGTGGGTGCCGCTCAGGGCCTCTTGGGTAGGAGTGTGTCTGTGTTCGTGTGTGTGTGTGCGTGTGTGTGTGTGAGGGGCACATGTGTGTCTCCCTGGGAGCTTCTCACCAGGTTCCCAAGAGATGGTAACTCCCCACTGCTCCACACCTGTCCCCATGAATTACAAACTGGTTTATTATGGTAGGGTTGTTTCCAGACACTCAATCCCATCTGCCTGATTTTGGGGTGGGCCTGGTAGCACCGCCATGCTTATTTACCATAGGATTCCCCATGCACAAAGCCACCGGCATTTGGCTGTGGGGTGGGAGGCTAAGATGAAACAGGACTTGAGTGACACCTGGAGCAGGTAAGGGCCATCACCTTTAGCCTTCACCCTGTACTTGCCATCCAGGCAACTCACAGGTTAATACAGAGGTGCCAGGCTCTGGAGCAAGCTTAATTGACAGGAAGGTGTGGGCTGGATCCTCTGGAAGCTATAAATAAAAGTACCTGCTTTTGCAGGCACAAGATGCCCTCACCACTAGCTCCTGGGCAAGGGGAGGAGAAAAAGAGGGGAGAAAGAAGAGAAGGAGGTGACATTTAGAAAAATGAGGGGTGCCAGGAACTGGGCTGGAGGAAGGGATTGGAAAGCAGGAGACCAAATGCCCCTGGAGAATGCCCCACCCACGTCTGCTGTCCCCTCCCAGACGCTGTCACTCCCCTTCCCTTTGCTCTTCCCCATCCCGGAGCTAGGCCAGCCAGGCCAGAGTCATGGCCAGAGTCAGCTCTTCCCAGCTAAAGCACACATGAGAGTGACCGTGATGAGGTCCTCTCATACCTGGACGAGCAGCAGACATAAGGGGAGAACCAAAGGAGTAAGACAGGGAGGGGAGAGAAAATGCAGTTGCTTGAAAGGAAACGATGGAAGGAGGAAAAATGCCAGGTGGAAACACCATGGGCACCCATGCATGCACACACGCCACACATGTGCCCCTCCACCCCCACACATGAGGGGACACTATCTTAGCTTAGTGATCAAGAGCTTGGGTGCCGGAGTTCAAATCATTTGCTCTCTGCGTGGCCTTGGGCATGTTAGTACCTCCCCAACCTCAGTCGCCTCATCTGTAAAATGGAGATAATGATAGTGTGTGCCTACTTCCAAGGTTGCATGAGACGTCTGTGAAATTATGAGCACATGGCCGGCCCCTAATAGATGTTAATGTTAAAAGTCATGATTGAAAGGAGTCAAGAGAAGATTGGCCGAAAGAGAAAGAGGGATCATCAAAAAAAGTTATGGGTGGAAAAAGAGCTTGAAGCCGGCTGTGCCGCGTACCCCTCCCACCACGAATGTGTCCACATGCACCAACGTGGCACTTGTCCTTCCAGCCATGTACCGCGGCAACGCTTGCTGACCCCAGTGAGGAGAGAGGCCTGAATCCGAGGGCCCTGGCACCTGTGAGCTCTTGGCTGTCACCTGCCCCAAGCCTCGCACCTCCGCTCCACAGCAGGTGCTTCCTGCGTTTCCTCCGCCTCTCACCCGTCCTCTCCACCCCCACCCCTTTCTCTTTTCACGCCTGCTGGCTGAGGGCCCCCTCCCTCCTCGGCTCCATCTGCTGCAAATCTGTCCCCGCCCGGCTTTGCAGCATTCCCACTGCCTCTGCCACCTGTCAGGTGCCGTCTGCTCTGCAGACCCCTCCGAGGAGAGCAAAGAGCCCCCCGGGCAGGCACCCCTTTCCACCCTCCATCATCCTTCTCCAGCCTCCCCTGTACAGTCTTTCCCATCTGGTTCATGAGGCATGTGGATTCCAGGGGTCCTTGAGGTTCCGCCTCGAAAGGGATATTGGGAGGAGGACATTCCAGAAAGCTCGCCGGGGTCAAGGGATGTACTGACCCTTTCCCTCCTCCTCAGTCCCCACAGGAGACAACCCTGACGGGAGCATGGAGCTGCTGTCCACGCCCCACAGCATTGAGATCAACAACATCACCTGCGACTCCTTCCGCATCTCCTGGGCCATGGAGGACAGTGACCTGGAGAGGGTCACCCATTACTTCATTGACCTTAACAAGAAGGAGAATAAGAATTCCAACAAGTTCAAGCACCGGGTGAGTAGAAGGTGTCCTGGGAGCCCCTCCCCAGCTTCTGTTCCTGAAGGAGGCCGGATAAGGGAACACCTGGAAGTGATGGCTTGGAGTCAGAGGCTGGTTAAAATCCACACTCTTCTTCCTGTGTCATTTTGGGAAAGTTACTTGACCTCTCTGAGCCTGAGCTCCTTCCCTGGTAAAGAGGGAATAACAATGCCAAGCCTCACGGGGTCGTGGAGAGGATGCAGTGAGTCATGTTTGCGTGGTGCTTGGCCCGGCGCCTAGCACAGAGGGAGCGTTGTTATCAGCGCCACAACTGAGACTTCAGGCAGGGGCAGAGAGCCCGGGTAGGGTGGGGCCGCAGGCTTCGCCTATGGGGATGACGTCTCAAGTCTCGACAAAGCCCCGGCTCAGGGCACAGCCTCGCTGTTGGCTGGGTGGGCCACACGGGCCTCGGTCGGGGCGGAGCCCTTTTGCTGTGGCCTCAGTTCTCCCTCTCGGGCCCCTCACCTGCTGGCCTGCCATTTGCTTGACTTAGAAAAGGAATGGGAGAGAGTCCTCCGTGGGTGTGTCCTTTCCTGGGGTTAAAAGCCAGTGTGGGGGTGGGTGGGAGGAAGACCCCCATCCTCTCAAGCTGGCAGAGGCAGGGGGAGTGAGGCGGCCAGCTGGCTCCCAGGCCGACGGCACCGGCGTGGGTTACTCACCCGCTCTCTTTCTCTGGAACCGGCTCTCCCGATCTGGGTGTCTTTTGGCAGGCCAGTTGCCACGGTGACGTGAATGTTCAACACCACCCCCTTAACCCTCCCCCCCAAAGAATAAGGCATATTTTCCCTTCCTCCCTGGCTTCTCAGCATTTGCCGTTGCCGTGGAGACGGCACTGCAGTGTGCAGAGCTCTCAAAGTCTCCTTAAAAAATGAAGGCCTTGCCGTCCTCAACTTTGTGGCTTTTCCCCTCCGTTCCCAAGAGAACGGGGTGTCAGGGGGGTTCGAGGAGGGGCCAAGGCTGTGGAGTGTCTGGGTGGCCTTCCCAGGAAAATGGTGGCCAGGGTATGGAGCCATTGGATCCTCAAGATTGGTCCTGCTCAGGAGAAACAGGGCCATCTGGGGAGTGGGGATTCTGGGGTGATGCCCAGATTGGGCATGAACCCCTGTTTGACGCCTGGCTCTCTGTTTGTACCCTGTTTCTCAGGACGTCCCCACCAAGCTCGTGGCCAAGGCAGTGCCGCTGCCCATGACGGTGAGAGGCCACTGGTTCCTGAGCCCCCGCACGGAGTACAGTGTGGCCGTGCAGACGGCAGTGAAGCAGAGCGATGGGGAGTACCTGGTGTCCGGCTGGAGCGAGACGGTGGAGTTCTGCACTGGGGGTGAGGCCCTGCTATCACACCCCTGTCCTGCTGCTTGGCACGTCGGGCTTTGCTGTGGTCAAGGCGGGTCTTCCTCGTAGTCCAGCAAACACTGATGAACACCTTCTGTCCACCAGGCAGCGTGCTTGGGCCACAGGGGAGATGCACGGGCATGACACCCTCCCTGCCTCCAGGAGCCCAACCTTTCTCTTCTCTCACTGGAGGCAAATGCGAACCCCACTAATCACGCTGGCAAGACCACTTCCATTAAGAAAGGGAGTTACTTTTCGGGCTTGGTACCAGATCACAGGCATCTTTTTAAACCTTGTGGTCAAAGGTGCATGACGTAAAATTTGCCGTCTCGACCATTTTGAAGTGTACAGTTCAGTGGTATTAAGTATATTCACATTGTTGTACAGCCAGTCTCCAGAACCTTTCTTCCTGGAAAACCAAAACTCTATACCCATTAAATAACCGCCCCCCATTTCCCTCTGCTAGCTACCATTCTACTTTCTGTTTCTATGAATATGACTCCTCTAGGTGTCTCATATCAGTACAATTGTATAGGATTTGTCTTTTTGTGACTGGAATATACCAAAATTTCCTTCCTTTTTGAAACTGGATAGTATTTCATTGTATGGATAGACCACATTTTGCTTAATCAATTATTTGTCAATGTGCACTTGGTGAGGCAATCACATTTCACTTGTTCTGAGCCTTCACGTAGCCTGGGAAAATGGCCCCTGGTCAATGGCCCCGCAAACTCTCTTAGCAGAACTTAACTTGTAGACTCCATCACAAACAAACAGTGGGCCTATGTGTGCTTGGTCCCTCACGACTCAGGGTCTGCCCCCACAAGATTACATTCTTTTGGTGTTCACGGTGAGAGCTGCTCCAGATCTCTCTGTCACACAGAAGAGACACGGAACATTCTCAGCCCCGGGCCTCTGAGGCTGCTGGCTCTATCCTTTGCCAAGATTTATGCCCCAAGTCTCCTTGAGCTGCTGTTGTCTTTTGAGTGGTGCTTTTTCTTTTTTTTCTCCTTCTGCCTTTTTTTTTTTTTTGAGATGGAATCTCGCTCTTGTCGCCTCCTGGCTGGAGTGCAGTGGCGTGATCTCGGCTCACTGCAATCTCCGCCTCCCGGGTTCAAGCGATTCTCCTGCCTCAGCCTCCTGAGTAGCTGGGATTACAGACGCCCACCACCATGCCTGGCTATTTTTTTTTTTTTTTTGTATTTTTAGTAGAGATGGGGTTTCACCATGTTGGCCAGGCTGATCTTGAACTCCTGACCTCAGGTGATCTGCCTGCCTTGGCCTCCCAAAGTGCTGCGATTACAGGCATAAGCCACCATCCCTGGCCTTTTTCATTTTTATTTTTTGAGACAGGGTCTTGCTCTGTTGCCCAGGTTGGAATGCAGTGGCATGATCATGGCTCACTGCAGCCTCAGCAACCTCCTCCCCACGAGCCCAAGCCATCCTCCCTCCTCAGCTTCCTGGCCTCCTGAGTAGCTGGAACTACAGGCACATGCCACCATTCCTGGCTAATTTTTGATATTTTTTTGTAGAGATGGAGTTTTTCCATGTTGGTCAGGCTAGTCTCAAACTCCTGGGCTCAAGTGATCCCAAAGTGCTGGGATCACAGGCGTGAACCACTGCTGCTGGTTGAGTGGTGTTTTTTCTTAGCTCTGCTGCAGAACCCCACTCTCTGGAGGCCTCTTGCTCCTGGTGGGGAAAGCTTCTTGGTTTACCCCTGAGACCTCCATGTGCAGTGGGCATTTAATTCAAATTGGAGATCTGGCTGCAATCCAGTCCACACTCCTCTCTCCAAACCAAGCACCCTGGCCAGGGATGCAGCCACAAAGAGGGAAGGGCATCTTCTAATTTGTACCAAGGAGCTGTATGTGCCAGCAGCAGCCTTGCTGGGGCCCCAGGGTTCAATGTTGCTATCCTGTTTCCAGCCTTCCCTGTTTCTCCTGAGATGCTCAAGCTGAGAGCCATTGCTCCAGACCCAGGACTGCCTAAACATTGCCTGGGCTCAGTTCTCCCTAGACCCTCACGAGCCGTCACCTGTAATTACAGCTGGCTTCCATGGGGGTGGTGTGGGCAGCCTCCTATCTACTGTATTTGAGAGACTTTCCCAAAAGGACCTCAAGCCCTCCCGTCTCAAGTCTTCCTTTTTCCCAGGGGTCCTCTTTTCACATGAGGATGGCCTGGGATCACAGCCCCTGAGGACCCTGGCAGGATAACTGGGCAGCCCTCTGCCTTTTTCTGACCCGGAGAGCCCGGAGCCTCTGGCAATGTGGTTGCAGAGGTGATGACGACAGACAGTATGCAGCGCTCTGTGTTTCCAGCAGAGGCCAGCTGGCCTGTTCCCATCTGAGTTTAAGGTTCTGCGACTGTCTAGTCTCCCCTGCTGCTCTGGCGGACAGAGGTTGGCCGGCACACACAGTGTGGGGTGGGGTGGGGACAGGAGGTGTTTGTGCTCCTCAGCTGGCCCTCGGCTCACCTACCGCATCTGGGATCTTGCAGATTATGCCAAGGAGCACCTGGCTCAGCTTCAGGAGAAAGCTGAGCAGATCGCAGGCCGCATGCTCCGCTTCTCCGTCTTCTACCGCAACCATCACAAGGAGTACTTCCAGCATGCCAGGTATGGGCGCGGGCTCCCGGCTGGACCCGCCGGGCCTCTCCTCCCTCCCAGCCCTTCCTGCTCCTGTCCTGGCTGTCTGAGGTCACCCCCACCCTCGTGGCTGCCAGTCCCTCCTCTAGGGTTGACATGTCCTGACGTCACCAGGCTGGCTCTGAAGAGACTGCTACTTTGGGGATTGGGCTCAGGGAAGATCAAGGGCTCTGGGGACAGGGCCTTCTGCAAGAGTGTTGTACTAATGAGCCTGGGAGAATGAGGTCTGGGTTTGCTCCCACTCTGGGACAGTTCCTTTCACAGGGGTCTACCACCACAGGTCTCTCCGATTCAGGCCCTGGGGCCAAAGGGAAGGTGGCAGGGAGTGCACAAAATGAGTGTTCTGATCACAAAGGGTTCGAGGAAGCACCCAGCTCGTCGGTTTTCAAACTGGGTGCTCCCTCCAGGGAGACATGTCAGTGAACCCCTTAGAATGCTGCCATGGGGTTGGGGGGACCAGAGGTTGAGGCTTGGTGGGCCCCACACCTGACCTCCAGTCAGAGTAGCCTCAATTTTATTTGCCTGTGACCCTTCCACGTATAATTTCTTTTGGGGATAAAAAGAGAGTTGCTGCAGTCCAAAAGTGTTTGAAAATTGGTGATCTGATCCAACACCCTCAGCCTACAGAAGAGGAGCCTGAGGCCCAGAGGGAAGCACTTGTTCATTCGAGCCAGGGAGTCACTTGTTACTGAGGACAGCCAGGACCAGGCAATGTGAGGCAGGACCAGGAGTACCCACCATCCCCGGGCCTGCTGGCAAGTGCTCCAAGGCCGCATCCTTCTGAGGCTCAGCCAGGGCAAGCAGCTGCTCTGCCTTTTTTTTTTTTTTTTTTTTTGAGATGGCGTCTTCTCTGTCACCCAGGCTGGAGTGCAGGGGCGCGATCTCTGCTCACTACAACCTCTGCCTTCTGGGTTAAAATGATTCTCCTGCCTCAGCCTCTTGAGTAGCTGGGACCACAGGTATGCGCCACCATGCCCGGCTAATTTTTGTATTTTTAATGAAGTGGGGTTTCACCATGTTGGCCAGGCTGGTCTCAAACTCCTGACCTCAGGTGATCCGCCCACCTCGGCCTCCCAAGGTCCTGGGATTACAGGCATGAGCCACCACGCCCGGCCTCTGTCTGTCTTTATCCTTACAGTCAGGGCAGTTTTAACCTCAGGGCAGTGAGGACCTTGGGAGTCTTTGGGGTTTGTATTAAAGAAGCAAGGCCTGCTTGGTGGCTCAAGCCTGTAATCCTACCACGTTGGGAGGCCGAGATGGGATCTCTTGACCCCAAGAGTTCAAGACTAGCCTGAGCAACATAGTGAGACCCCAGCCTCTGCAAAAAATTTAAAGAATTAGCCGGGTGTGGATTGCTTGAGCCCAGGAGTTCGAGCTTGCAGTGAGCTGTGATTGCACCACTGCACTCCAGCCTGGAAAGCAAGTCAGTGGCCCAGTTTGGGCTCCTTTATCAGCGAGAGTGGGAGAGATAGAGAGCACTCATGGGTGCCAGGCACCTTACTTGGTGCCAGGATGTAAAGATAAAGGCACAGTTCACTCTTTTGAGAACCTCAGAATCCAGTCAGAGAGACAGTATGGAAAGATTTCATGTAAAAAGTACGTGTAATTGTTGAGCACAGTTCAGTGTCCTGGCCAGGTGAAGTGGCTCACACCTGCAATCCTAGCACTTTGGGAGGCTGAAGCAGGAGGATCACTTGAGGCCAGGAGTTCAAGTCCAGCCTGGGCAACATAGTGAGAAGATTGGGTGTCCTGCACATAGTAGGAAGCCAAAAATTTGTCAAGTGCAGGTGTCTGCTGTTCCTGGGAGGTTTTAGAGGGGAGCAGACGCTTGACTGAAGCTTGAAGGCTAATTAGAAGTTTGCCAAGCCAGACGGAGGAAGGTGGAGAGGGCAGTCAGTGCAGCAGAGGGAAGAGTCCTGCATAGGGGTCACGGAGGCAGGAGACTGTGTGTGCAGGGGGTGGGTAAGTGGATGGGGTGGCAGGAGGTGGGGAGTGGCAAGGAGACCACAGAGATCAGATCATGAGCCGCCGTGTTTTTCACACACACCCCATCAAAGGGTTTCAAGCTGGGGAGTGACAGCTTCATATCTCTTCTCTGAGAAGGAGTGGGCTGGTTGAATCCCTCTCCAGGGCCCTCCCTGCTCTTGCATTCTGGAATGTTCTATTTGCGACTAGTGGAGGCGGCTGGGGGAGGGCTGGGAGCTGGGCTGGCTTCCTCCCTCCTCGACCACACGCAGCAGCCAAGCCTCAGCCCGGCTCACCAGCCACATCTTCTCTTCCCTTTGGTGTGTCTCCCTGGGGTGGGCAGGACCCACTGCGGGAACATGCTGCAGCCTTACCTGAAGGACAACAGTGGCAGCCACGGCTCCCCCACCAGCGGTATGCTCCACGGGGTCTTCTTCAGCTGCAACACGGAGTTCAACACGGGCCAGCCCCCGCAGGACTCCCCCTACGGCCGCTGGCGCTTCCAGATCCCAGCTCAGCGCCTCTTCAATCCCAGCACCAACCTCTACTTTGCGGACTTCTACTGCATGTACACGGCCTACCACTACGCCATCCTGGTGCTGGCGCCCAAAGGCTCCCTGGGGGACCGCTTCTGCCGCGACCGCCTGCCCCTCCTGGACATTGCTTGCAACAAGTTCCTGACCTGCAGCGTGGAGGATGGGGAGCTGGTCTTCCGCCACGCCCAGGACCTCATCCTGGAGATCATCTACACTGAGCCCGTCGACCTGTCCCTGGGCACCCTGGGGGAGATCAGTGGGCACCAGCTCATGAGTCTGTCTACTGCCGATGCCAAGAAGGACCCCAGCTGCAAGACCTGCAACATCAGCGTGGGCCGCTAGGGACTCCTGGGGAGCTGGGGGGCGAGGGAGAGATGAGCGGAAGGTGGAGGTGGGTAGCCCAGGTTCAGGGAGCTGGCTTTCTCTCTCCTGCCCCCCTGCTCCCTCCACTCTGCCCAGCTGCCCTCCCCTCGCCCCTTGGCATTGGAGGCAACAGACGGTGGTCCTCTTGGTAAGTGTGGCCCACACCCAGCCTGGTGGACATGGAAAGGCTTCTCAGCCTCTGTAGTTGGCAGCTGGGCTGGACTTCTGGAGAACTTCCCCTTTCCTCTGGTTTCCTTGTCCTACTGTTCTTTGCCTCGTCCAGGTCTCTATCTCCCAAAGACCTGCCCACCTCCTGGGCTCTCCCAGGGAAGCCCCTCTGGGCCAAAGCCCATGGGTAGCTTGGCTGCCTCCAGAAGAGATGCAGAGAGCTGTGGGGCGATCTTTCTTAGTCCCACTCACCCCACTCAGGGCCAACCACAGAATGCCCCCTCCCTGCTGAGCTGGGTCTCTGGGGCTTCCCACTCCAGGCCTGGATCCCTTCCTTCTATAAATAGTCTCCTGCACCACCGTGACTCCCTGGCTGCTCCTTGCCCCAAAGAACCCTCTTCCTGCATGGGAGAGCTGTCCCTCCTTCTCCACCTGCCCACCGGGACACTCCCCCTGCTCTCTAGAAAGGAACTCTCTTTCTTCTCTTGGCACTGGGGGCGTCAGGCTGTCGGATGTTCCTTCCTTCCATACCCCAGCATACCTTCTCCTTGCTTAGAGTGCAGGGGTCTGAGACAGCAGCCACTGGGGTTGAGGAGGGGGAGGAGACCCCTGAGACCCAGAGGTGCCCCTTCCTCAGCTGGGAGTGGGCCGCCTCATGCTCTGCTGGGGCCTGGCATGGAACGTGAGACCTGTAAGCTGTCCCGCGGGCCCCGGCACCCCGCCCAGCTGTGCACTTTGCTCACTCGCTCTGCCATGGTGCCATGACTGTACTGTGCCCATGCGTGACCTGGACTGTGGACCCTCTGCTGCTCCGCCTCTCCCCTCCCCACTGGCTCTGTCTGCTCTCCTGCCACCCTGCTGGCCGGGAGCCCCTCCCCGGGGAGTTCTTGGTGAAGTCCTTCCCGGGCCTCCTTGTGTTTTTGCCTCATTCCTACTGTCACACAGGTCACGAGGGTGGACTCCCTACAATCAACAAAGCAAACAGAGAGCCTGTGGGAGGGGCTGACAGCAGCAGCCGGCTGTTTGGGGGATGATGGAGGTGACATCAGGCAGAGGAGAGTGCAGCCTCACAGTGACTTTCTCAGAGGTGACAGAGATGATGGATGAGCAGCTGGATTTTCGTGATGAAGGACGGAAGCAGCAGCGGGCCGGCAAGGCCATACCTCGGTGAGGGACAGGTGGACAACGGTCACCTATCTGTAGCCAGGGGCAGTTGTGTGGCCAGCTGTCTCTCTGGGATGAGTCAGGAGGCCTGGAGGCTTGGGGAGAGGTGTGGAGAAGGAGAGAACATGGCCCAGGCCCTTTCCTTCCCCCTGTGCTGACAGCATTGCTGTGGGGGTGGCCCACTGCCCTCCCCTGGCCCTCATGTCCCCCCGGGGCTGGGGTCCGCCTGCCTGTGCTGTGCTTGCGACGTGCATCAATAAACCACCATGGCCTGAGGGCCCTGCTCGTCTCAGTCCATTTGAGCTGCTGTAACAAAATACCACACATTGGGTGGCTCAGAAACCGCAGATTCATTTCTCATAGATCAAGGTGCTGGCAGAAGCGGTGTCTGGTGAGGGCCTGCTTCACAGATGGCTCTTTTCACTGTGTCCTCACAGGGTGAAAGGGACTAGCAAGCTCTCTTGCCCCTCCTTTTTTTTTTTTGTAGACATGGGGAATTTCACCTTGTTGCCCAGGCTGGCCTCAAACTCCTGGCCTCAAGTGATCCTCCCACCTGCTTGGCCTCCCAAGGTGCTTGGGATTACAGGCATGAGCCACTGCTCTGGGCCATCTTGGGCCCCTTTCATAAAGGCACTAATCCCATTCATGTGGCCCCACCCTCATGACCTCATCGCCTTCCAAGGCCCTGCTTCCTAAAACTATCACCTTGGGGTTAGAATTTCCACCTAGAGCTGGGTGAGGTGGCTCACGCCTGTAATCCCAGCATTTTGGGAGGCTGAGGCAGGTGGATCAGTGGAGGTCAGGGGTTCAAGACCAGCCTGGCCAATATGGTGAAACCCTGTCTCTACTAAAAATACAAAATTAGCTGGGCGTGGTGGTGCATGCCTGTAATCCTAGCTACTGAGGAGCCTGAGGCAGGAGAATTGCTTGAACCTAGGAGGCGGAGGTTGCAGCAAGCCGAGATTGCGCCATTGCACTCCAGCCTGGGTTACAGAGTGAGACTCCATCTCAAAAAAAAAAAAAAAAAAAAAAAAAAAAAGTCAACCTAGGATTTAGGGGGGACACAAACATTCAGACCATAGCACCCCATCCCTTTGGGCCAGTGATGGTATGGGTGAGTTCTGCAAACCACAGAGGAGCTCAGGTGGGAATGCCCCCAGGACAGGCGACCTGAAATCAGCTCCAAGGGAGCACCTCGTCCATTGTGGGAGGCGGGGCTCAGGATGTAGAGCTGAGTCTCCAGCTTGGAAGGGACTTTGGAGTCTTTTGGTCCCACCCAGTGTTTCCCATATGGGGCCTCCCACATGGGGCGTCCTAGGAGAGGACTCACAGCATCTGGAGGCCCCGTTTGGAGCTTTTGAAGCCTTCCTACTACAGCAGCTTGCCATTGCTCCAGACCCAGATGCCACCAAATGTCCCTGTCCCAAGTGCCTGAGTGTCCCCGCTCCCCAACACAGCTCCCGTTTATAGATCCCAGTCACCTCTGCATCTATCATTTTATTATTATCATTATCATTATTATTTTTGAGATGGAGCCTCGCTCTGTCACCCAGGCTGGAGTGCAGTGGCACGATCTTGGCTCAGTGTAACTTCCACCTCCCAGGTTCAAGCAATTCTCCAGCCTCAGCCTCCCACGTAGCTGGGACTACAGGTACATGCCACCATGCCTGGATAATTTTTGTATTTTTAATAGAGATGAGCTTTCACCATGTTGGCCAGGCTGGTCTCGAACCCCTGACCTCAAGTGATCCACCCACCTCAGCCTCCCAAAGTGCTGGGATTACAGGCATGAGCGAGCCACTGTGCCTGGCCATTATTTTTATTTCTTGAGACAGGGTCTTCCTCTGTTGTCCAGACTGGAGTGCAGTGGCACGATCATGGTTCACTGCAGCCTCAACCTCTGGGGCCCAAGTGATCCTCCCACCTCAGCCTCCAGAGTAGTTGGGACCACAGGCGTACACCACCATGCCCAGCTAGGTTTTTTAACATTTTTTATTTTGTAGAGATGGAGTTTCCCTGTGTTGCCCAGGCTGGTCTCAAACTCCTGGGCTTAAGTGATCCTCCTGCCTCCCAAAGTGCTGGGATTACAGGCTTGAGTCACTGCACCTGGCCTGCATCTATTGTTATGGACTTATTGATATGGTCCTCTGCTGGAGTAGAAAAGCTCTAAAGAAGTCAGAGTCCTCACCAACACTGCCTGACTCAAGGCCATGTTCACGTGTGTCATCCAGAGCTCAGGGCACAGCCTTTTTGGGGTAGAAAGGAAAGCAGAAGGGCAGATGATGGCTCCTGAGGGCCTACTATGCACCAGGCACCTGGGTGCTGTCACACACATCAGCTTCTTTAGTCTTCACGATGGTCCTGGGGAGTATTATTCCCACTTAACAGAAGTAGAAACTGAGGCACAAAGCCTTGCCCATGTCTTACAGCCTGTAAGTGACAGTGCCCAGGCTTTGATTGAGATACCAGAATCTTCCCATTTTCTGCCCTGTGCCTGTCTCCTCTAGTGTATGTCAGGGGCTACCTGGGACAGTCCTGTTTCAGACACAGTGACACCCCCAGGGGTCCCCTCCACAACACCAGTTAAGCACGTCTGTGCCTAGTTCCAGAATATCACAGGGGTGGGCGGGGGGAGGCTATGGAGTCACGGAGGGCACAGAAGCTTATTTTAAAGGCATAGTGGAGCGGAGCCGGACCATGGTATCACGCGCCTGTAGTCCCAGCTACTTGGGAGGCTGACGTCGGAGGATCACTTGAGCCCAGGAGTTCAAGGCTACAGTAAGCTATGAGCGTGCCACTGCAGTCCAGCTTGGGTCACAGAGCGAGACCCCAACTTTTGAAAAACAAAGGGAGTAGTGGGCAGTACCTCAAATCCAGCATTCTGAGAATGGAGTGACTCGGGGCCAACCCTTCTGCCTCTGGGCGGGCCTGCACAGGATTCTCCACTCCCAGCTGAGAGGGTTTCAGTCCTCCAGAGGGGCAGGCTCCAGTCTTCCTTTTATGAACCCTTTTGGGTTTCTTGGGAGGAGAGGAGAGATTGGCTCCCAGAGCCCTCATGGTGGAGCATGAAGGCAGAATGGAGGTAGGATTGTGGGAAGCCCCAGGCAGGTTCCTTCAGAGAGCCTTCTGCTTCTCCTTCCTCTGTCCAGATGGTGAGTCCCGGCGCACAGCCAGCCCTGCCATACTCGCTCGAAGCACCAGTCAGACAGAGCTGGGTCAGAGCGTCCGCTGGAGTCCGCCCTGGGGTCCTTTCTGGCCTATTCTGACTTGGTGGAAGGAGAGAGGTCCACGTGGGAGTGCACACACACATGCACACACACACGCCTACACATGCACCGCCCCCGCTGGGCTGGATTTAGAGGACAGCCTAGAAGGCCACAGACAGCTGCAAGGTGAGGGACAACCCTGAACCCGTAGCTGCCACTGTCCAGCTGAGGGGCCCCGAGTTAGTTCTTTCCGGCAGTGCAGGCAGCCAGGGAAAACGAGGTGGCGGCCACAAGGGGAAGCTTCAGATGCCAGGTGAGGGGTTCCGCTGTGCAGGCACAAACACACAGACATACCTGACACAAACACGTGGTGGCACGCGCTTGGTCCCCGACACACACACAACTCACAACTGAAACTCCTCTGCTCGGGCGCGCACCCATACTTCCCTGCCGTTCCTCTGCCCCTGGACCAGCATCTTTCATTTTAACCTGGGCATCCCACAAAGTGGAGGGAGGGGAGGCGCCCGCTCTGAGGACGCTAGCAGTTTCATTTGGCTTTGGTATGTGTCTCTTCTCCAGGTTAGGAAAGAGGTGGCTGGAGTCCCAAGGAAAGGGACGAGGAGGGTCCATTCCCCAAAGTGGAGGGAGGCCTTCAGGAAGCGGAGCCGAGGTGATTGGCCATAAAACAGCTTGGCCACAACATCTGGAGGAGATTGGAACCAGATGTTCAAGGGGTGGGGGAAGGGAGGGTGTGGGATGGAGGGGGCTGGGGCAGCAGAGGCAGCAGCTCTGGTTGGCGGGAGGCTGGGCTGGGGGCTCAGGGTTCTCTGGGGAAGACATCTGGCTGCCCTGTCCCCCACTCTCCAAGTCAGGCATTACTATTTTTGCAAACCGGAGCAACAAAGCTTTTCGGATTCTAGAATCGGCCTTGTGCGTAGGGACAGTCAAGTACAGGGTGTGGCTTGGGAGGCCACCAGCTCGCCAGAAGTATGTCCCTTGCTGCCCTGAAGCCCCCTCCTTGCTGTGGGCTCAGCGGTGCCCCTCCGGCAGGGGAAGTTCTACACTAAGCTCCTAGTGCCCACCTGGAAACTACTTTTGTACCTGAAAGTTTCCTTTTAATACAGGAGTGGAGTCGTCTGGGAGCGAGCAGAGGAAAGGAAAAGCAGGCCCATTTATTAAGAGCCCCCTTTTGCCAGGCACTGTGACCGGCTGTCTTCAAAGGTTAACTCATTCCTTCTTTTTTTCCTGTCACTCAGACTGGAGTGCAGTGGTGTGATCTCGGCCCACTGCAGCCTCAACCTCCCAGCTCAAGCAGTCCTCCCACGTCAGCCTCCCATATAGCTAGGACTACAGGCATGCACCACCACTCCCGGATAAATTTTTAAACATTTTTTGTAGAGACAGGGTCTCGCTATGTTGCTCAGGCTAGTCTCAAACTCCTGGGCTCAAGTGATCCTCCCACCTCAGACTCCCAAAGCACTGGGATTACAGACATGAGCCACCGTGCCTGGCCTCATTCCTTCATAACCGTATCATCCCACACTTATCCATGAAGAACCTGAAGTTCAAAGAAGTGACTCTTCCAGGGTCACGTAGCCACCAAATGGTGGGGCTGGTGTTCAAAATGGGTTTTGTTTGCTCTCAAGTTTGTCGCTTTTTTACTACTGGGGATCCTGTGGGGTTAGAGGGAGGGGCAGGGAAAAAGAGAAAAAGGGAGTGAGGGACAGAGCCAGGCACTCAACTTTCCTTATTTTACAACTGAGCCAACACTTGTCCCTGGAAGCTGCCACATCTCTGCTGAGGGTCCCAGTCACTTCAATTGCCTGGTGCCCTGCCCTCTGACTGCTTCGGAGACAAGACGTTGGATTTTCAAATCTGTCTCTCAGGACGTGGCAGGAAGGGTGCTGGGAACAGGTGATAGGTTTGGGGAGCAGAGGACCAGGGAGGGGGCAGTGGGCCAGTGTCACAGAGCTAAGCGTAGCAGAGCCAGGTCTCCTGACTGCCAGGCTCATGCTGCCCTCTTGGCCGAGGGCTCCAGAAAGTTCGAAGCTCCCAGGGATGTGCTCACCTTGACCTGGCTACTGGGGCTGGGAGTGTAGGGTCGGGGCAGCTGCATCCCGGCTTTTCCCATGCGAATGCTTATCATGAGCTCAGGACCCCAGGGGACCTCAGCTAAGCCCCCAGGGGACCTGAGGTGCTGGGACACAGGAGGAGGAGCAAGTGTACCTTCCTCTACCATGGAATCACCTGCGCAGAGGGGCAGCTGCACTGGGTGGGGGTGGGGGGCTCGTCTAGAACCCTGGGCAGCTAGAAGGTGAGGGTAGGATGGGCCCACAGAACACATCAATTTACCAAATTCTGAAATACACATCAGTGGCCTGCAGCCAGCTCCTGAGGGGCTTCCATCACCTGAGGAGGCGGATCCTTGCTCCTCCTCCCCTTCCTCCCCTTCCTCTCCATCCTCTCTCTCCTTCCTCCCCTCCTCCTCTCCAGCCACCATCTTGTCTTCCTCAGCACTCTCTAGCCTCCGTCCTCTGAGTGTTCCTCCTCTTCCTCCCTGTCCTCTTCCTCTTTGTCCTCCCCTCTCCTCCCTCTCTATCAAATGGACGCCCTTATCCATGCTTTGGGCTGCCTCCTGCCCAATTGCAAGCACCTGCGGGTGGACATCTGGGCATCCAGACAGGCCTGTACCCCTGCTTCTTGGCTGACCAGGGCAGAAGATCCGGAACCGCCATGTGGACCTCCTCGGCGGTCTTCAGGATCTTTATTCACTCCATGGGGTGGGTTGGGAGCGCCCACGGTGGCCGGGGCTCCTGCACTGCTTCCGTTTGGGTGTGGGTGCTCTCTGAGATACTCTGTGCCGAAGCTCCCCTGGCTGGGCCTACCCTGGACCTAGGGCACCACAGCCCCTTGCCTACCTCTGAAGAGGGGCCTACGGAACGTCTGGAGGGCTCGCTGGCGTGGGTTCTTGAGTTGCTGGAAGAACCCATGTTTGTGGGTGATGGAGTGTTGAGACGTGTGCCAAGGTGGCTGCATGGGTTATCCTGAGCCTTCCTCTAGCTGGGGGTTGCTGTCCATAAGGACCCTGTTTGGGGTGGGGGACCCAATGTATCTCTGTGGGCTGAAGCCCCTGCCTGGACAGGGTTATGACCCTGGCCTGTGAGCTGGGACTGTGGTCCTTTGAGCTTCCGAAGGACCCAGAGGGCTGGTAAGGAGATCTATGGCCACTGACCACCAACTCCGTGGCAGAGCTCATGCCAAGTGGGTGGGCAGTGTCTGGGTGAGATGCCCAGGCAGCTCCACCAGTGTAGAGGTTTTTCCATTCTGTCATGGCCCTCCAGGCTGTCCTAAGCCTCCCTTTCAGAGGAAGCAGCAGCAGGGAGGAGTGGCTGTGACATCACAGCCTGTGACTCTACTGGTGCAACAAGCAGTAACCCCTCTGGGCACCTCTAGCTCTCTCTCAGGGCCCTGGGGCCACACTGGTGGTCAGGCCTCGAGGAGACAGCTACAGCCTGAGCAGTAGAGCAGGTGGGCTTCCTGGAAGAAGAGGGCCCTGCGTACACATCCAACACTCGCAGTGTGCCTGCTTTCCACTGATACCTTCTGCTTAGAGGGCCAAGATGGAGTCCCCCATGCCAGGCTGCTTCCTGGGGGTGGGGGCCCCTGCGGGTCCAGAGAGCAGGCCGCCCAGCTCTCCCCGGACCCTGGGAGCGCCCAGCCCGGGCGTAAGAGCCGGGGCTGCCCTGGGCTTTCTTTCCTTTTGAGATCCATGTAGAGAGAGGGGAGAGAGGGAACTGAGATGTGGTTTCTCCTCCTGGCCTCTGGGAGGTACAGGTCTGGGATGGGGAAGCGGGGTGTGCGATGGCAGGAAGAAGGAGGCCAGACAAGACATAGATTTGGGTCACCTGGGAAGTGGGGCCAGAGCTGGGATGTTTGCTCAGTGGCCGCTGAGTTCTGGCTCTTGTCTCCACGAAGACAGGGGGATCCATGGGGACCAGCACTCAGCATCTGACCGGCAGGAAGACAGGCACCAGGGGCCAACTGGACCTGTCCCAGCCGATGTGGGTTTTCTGGCCCCCGTGTGCTCACCTAGGTGGACACCCTTGCAGCCCACCTACTCCTTCCCTAGATGCAGAGACAGAAAACCCAGACGGACAGACACCCCTGACCCCTTTCACATCCTTCTTCCCTCCCCACCAAACAGCCACTTTATGGAATGTTCCACCCCTCCCCTCATGTGGGAGGACCGCGAGCAGTGCGTGTGGTGTGTGTGCGCGCTGTGATGGGTGCCTGCGAGTATCTGTGCCTGAGTGTGAAATTACACCCTTGGCAGCCTGGGATCAGGGGAGGGAAGGGCAGCCCGTGATGCCAGGTGCCCTGGCTACGTGCCAGCCTCCACAGCAAGCCCATACATCTGGAACATGATGGCCCCGCCCCCATGGCCCAGACAGCATCTGGCACAGGATATTGGCTGTAACACTTTCGGTTTATTGGCTGCGGTGCCCTGGTGTGGCTGACCGGCCACTGGGCCTGAGAGAAGCCCTGTCTTGTTTCTCCATCCCCTCCCCATCGGCTCCCCACGGTGGCTCCTGGGGGACATGCACAGACACTTGTGCCCCAGGAAACTGGGGTGGTGGAATGGGGGCTCAAAATAAAACCAAATCGAGGCTGGAGCAGGGGTGGGAAATGAACATTACAATGAAAATAATGCCCCCGGTGATACACAATACAGCGTGTAGAGACACAGGGATGGCGATGGGGTCCTGCTGACATTCCCTCTTGCCACCAGGCAGGGCCCCCTAAGAGAGGAATGATGACTTCGAAATGTCTTGTGGAAGCTCTGCTCCCTGGCCCCAGCCCCTTGCTGGTGGGGGTTTGTGGGGAAGTGGCTTATGCCGGAGTCCAGTTCCCCCACCTCCTATGGACAGTCTCACCAGGCCATTGGCCCTGCAGGTCCTGGGGCCTGGGGGAGAGGGATGGTGCGTTGCCTTCCGCCCACCCCCACTATCCAGTCTAGGCGACCAAGGGCAGCAGGCTCCAGTCCCCGCCCCTGCTCAGGCAGTGGTCACTTCCTGCTGTGGAGTGTGTCCTGGAACTTGGTGCTGGTGTATCGCAGGTGGAAACCTTTTTTGGTGATGGTGTCATCCGAGTGGAACTTCACCAGGACAGAATCTCCCGCCGAGTACACCTCCTCAGGAGGCTGGCAGAGAAAAGAGATGGGGTAAGGTGGAGGAAGAGGGGCTGGGGCTGCTGTCCTGCCTCCCCAAGATCCCCAGCTTTGAAGGGCAGGAGGCTCCCAGGCAGCCACCAGATTCTCCCCGCCCCTTGAAGCATAGGGCTTCTTGCTGGTTTAATGAGGAACCTGGGGAGGGGAGGAGGCGTGGGCCGAAGAGAACTAAGTTCCCGTAAACCCAGCTCTGCTATAACTACTAAATGAGTTGTGTAGTCTCAGGCAAGCCACCTCCCATCTCTGGGCCTCACTTCCCTCAGCCACAAACAGGAGCAAAAGGTCTCTGCTCTCCATGCCTAGGAGGGGTGCTGGGGAAAAACAAAGGACTGCACCGATGTCAAAGTATTTTGCAAAGGGAGGGAGTTCTTTGAATGGCATCACTTCCTGCTGTCCCAGTGGACTCTTAGGGAAGACGGCACAGCCACTTCTCTGCTGGAGTGTGGAGGAAGTTTTGGAGAGAAGCACAGTGCCCCCCAGGCCTGGACTCTGCCATCCCTACCCCTTGCCCCGCCTCTCCTCTGGCACCTGGCCAAGGTCTGCTCCCGAGCCCTTCTTAGGTGCCTCCTGCAAGCCTACTGAGTGAGGTCAGCCCTCAGAGCATCGGACGTCAACGCCCTGGCCTTCCAGGCACAGAAGAAATCATTTCTGAGAACCTTGAGGACATTCCGAGTAGTTGTGCCAGGAGGCCCTGATCCTTCCCCAAGTTCCTTCCGGTCAACTCAGCCTGGGGGAGGTCTCTGGAAGAAGACACCTGGGGACATCCGATTTGGTGTGTGATTCAGAAGAAAGAGCAAAGAGGGGAGGGGACACTAGCCTGGCAGCCAGGGGACACCAGGGCAGCCAAGCTGCTTCAGGCTCCACCTTGTCCCAGCCCCTGCCAGCCACACGAGGGCTGAAGCTCTGCTCCTGGGGGAGGTTCAGCCAATGCTGGGTCCAGCAGCTGCTGCAGCTTCCAGGAGCTTTAACCCTTCCTGGGGCACCCAGGCTGCCTGGGATACAGCCATGAGATAGGCAAGGGGACAGGGAGGTGACAGGAGGGCCAGTGTATTTGAAAGTGCATGCAAGTGGGTGTGCCAGTGTGTGTGTATGTGTGTGAGAGAGAGAGAGAGAGAGAGAGGGAAAGAGAGAGAGATGGGTAGGAAGACAGTCTGTCTCTTTGAAGCCCTCAGGAAAGGACAAAAAAAAAAAAAAAAAAAGAAGAAGAGGCAGCTGCAAGCTCTTACAGGGAGGAAAATAAATCCTCCCCACGAGGCTAGCCCATGTCCTTAGGGAAAAGCCCATCAAGCCTACTTTTGCTCATTGACTCTTAACGTGCCATTTTATGGACCAAGAAGCAGTGCCCAGGGGCCACTGGGACAGCAGCAGCAAGAGCTTTGGGACAAGCTGGCCTTTCATCAGGAGGAGAAACTGGTAGAGGAAATGACAAGAGTGTTTATGCCTCCGGCAAAAGGACTGGTGAGGGCCACTCCGCTCAGGCGCCCTGTCCCCGGCTCTGGTGCCAACCTCTGCCCCCCATTCCAGGCCCTGGTGGGCTGCCTTGGGGGAGGGGTAAGGAAAGGAGGGACAGAGGAAGCTCCATCCGCTCCAGGCCGTGGCCAACTGGTTCTGAGGCAGGCCTGGGTCAGAGGCCGCAGGAACTTCTAGGTTGCCCAGAAAGGACTTGGTTTCCTACGTCGGGGATGGGGCAGTGTCTCTGAGTAGCCCCAACAAGGCTGGGCTTCTGGGCTCCCACACAGGGCCACACGCGTGCTGCACTCAACTTCCGGGGCCTGTGTGGGCGCTAGGTCTTGGAGACTGGGCTGAGAAGGGTGGAGGACAGTGTGGGGCGTGGGGCATGGGGCCAGGAGGGCGAGGGGTGGGGGCCTCACCCCTGAGCCACAGTAGCGCCCCAGCCTGGGGGCTGTGCTGTCGTAGCCGTCGAAGAGCTCCATGTAGTCATAGCCGCAGTCGGTCTCCTCCTCCACCTCAAAGGTCTGGAACACGAGCTCCACGCCGTAGCCTTCCTCGGCCACAATGACCCACTCACAGTCCACACCCCCAGGGTAGTTGTTGTCGCCAAACTGGGCGTGGGAGTAAAGGTCCTTGGTCTTCACGTCTGCCCGTACCTGGCCCCCGCACTCTGTAGGGGACAAGAGGGGCCAACCAGCCCTGAGCACCGCAGGTGCCAGGCCCCATGGCACACTATGCCATGGCGTGCCCTCACGGCAGGATGGAGGCCTGGGTGAAGGCCACGAGGCCAGTGATGGGTGGGTGGGGGCCTGGCCCAGAACATTGCTGTGCTGCCCCATCTCTAAATAGAGGGACCTTGGCCCTAGGCTGAGGGGAACAGGCAGTGAGGCTCACCGAGAGGAAGACAGCATGGAGCGGTGGCACGAGGCACCACACACTTTGTCTAAAGAGGGCATTGCTCATTTTCTCCAGCTGATGGCTGTCATGGAAGAATGTGGGCCCAGTGTCGCCACAGCTTCCATTTTCAAGAGAGAAGCCGTACATCTGGGTTTTATGTGAAAACTCCTAACTTTTAAGTGTTGGCTCACATTTTTAAAAAAAACACAGTGTGGGCCAAACATAGCAGGTCTGAGGGCCAGATGGAGTTCCGGGCCTCCGGTTTGTGACCCTGTGCTGGGAAGGGCAGAGGACAGTGCATGGGGCCACCCTCCTCCCCAGGCCCTCTGGCTTTTGTGCACCTGGCACTCAGGTCTCGCTAGAGGAGGTGGGGAGAGGGAAGGACGGGGCTGGGTCAGGGACTGAGTTGAAGGGGAAGAGGGGAGGCTGTGGACCATCAGCTCTGGGGATGCCCTGACAGGTGGCTTAGGACCCAGGAGGAGACTGCAAAGCTCCCTCGTGGCATCCTTGGTCTGGCACTCAAGGCATCCCCCTGGACTCCAGCCTTTCTCTGCAGCCACATCATTCCCACAACCTGCTGTCCTCACACACCCATTGCTTCGGCCAAAGTAAATGACCTGCTGTCACCTGGGCACACTCTGGGCTGGGCTGGGGTTGTGTCTCTGCCTGGGCACCTCCCCCTGCCTCGAATGCCTCTACCAACACATGCCCAGTTAGGCCGGGGTGCCTTTCTTCCTGCCTGGCTCCCGCTTGGGCTCATGCTGTCACGGGCGGTGCCTGCCTTGTCTCTCTCCTGGACTGCGAGTTCCTAGTATGGGGTGGGGGGCAGGAGTGAAGGGCTCATGCCTGATTCAGGCCACGTGCCCCTTAGTCCTCTCGCAGAGCGGAGCTCAGTTCATGGCTGCTAAATAAACAAGCAAGTGAAAGCCGAGCAAGCCCCTCAAGGGCTGGGATCTTTGCTTGGTCTGTTTCTGGGACCTGCATTTAGGATGCCGCCTCATCCATGTTACATGTCAATAAGTATCAGGAGAATGGGCTGGGCACGGTGGCTCACGCCTGTAATCTCAGCACTTTGGGAGGCCAAGGCGGGCGGATCACCTGAGGTCAGGAGTTTGAGACTGGCCTGGCCAACATGGCGAAACCCTGTCTCTACTAAAAATACAAAAATTAGCTGGGCATGGTGGCAGGCTCCTGTAATCCCAGCTACACGGGAGGCTGAGGCAGGGGAATCGCTTGAACCCAGGAAGTGGAGGTTGCAGTGAACCAAGATCGAACCACTGCACTCCAGCCTGGGCGACAGAGCAAGACTCCATCTCAAAAAATAAAAAATAAATAAAAATAAAAATAAAAAAATAAATATCAGAGAATGAATAGAGTATATTTCAGGGTTGGTGTGTGGCTGGGCTGCTGCGGTGGCCCGCGTACGCTCAGGGGGACCTCTGGGGGCTTTCCTCTCTGTCCCTGAGTTCCCTCACCTCTCCTGTCCATCGTCATCACTGCCATCCTAACCCCTAACCACACCCTCCTATCCCTGCCCCCCAGGCCTGGTTCTCAGGACACAATGTTTGCATCACCCACAACCCTGGCCCTGGGTCGCAGGGCTCAGTCCCTCTGTACCTTCATACCCGCATTGAAACCCCCGACTCTACCCCAGTCTTGGAGACCAGGCTCAGTGAACACTCCCACAACCGGGGACAGTACCTGTGGCGTGGGAGGCCTGGAAGCCCTTTCGCTGGACCGAGTTATCTGAGTAGAAGCGCAGGAACATGCGGCTGCCTGTGGCCAGGACGGGCTCGGGCTTCTTGCTCCCACAGAAGCGGCCGAGGACGGGGGCCTTGGCGTCTCGCCCGTCGAACACCTCTAGGTGGTCGTAGGCACACTCAGGCTGGGACTCGATGTCCATCTCCATGAAGGTCTAGGGGGATGAGGAAGGAGCACAGATTAAAAATTTGGCTGGAAGGCAGGTGGGGCAAGGATGAGGGCCCCAAACCTAGGCCTCACAGATACCCATGGGAGCAGCCACAGCTGGGGATGACAGTGAAGGAGGGCCCAGGAATAGGGCGAAGGCAGGGACGCCCCTAATTTATACTGGGAAAGGGGCCTCTGTCCAGGCCAGACTTGGGGTCTCCTGGGGATGGCAGACCTCTGGGCTCAGCCTGCAGCCTGTGTGGCTCTGGGCAGTGCCTCTGACCGGGGGCAGCCACACCGCATAAGGAGTGGGGAGGGGACCCCTTACCAGCTTGACCCGGTGCCCGGGGGTGCTGGAGATGGCCCACGTGCACTCCTTCTTGCTGGGATACTTGTCAGGCCAGTTGGGGCTGGTGATGGTACCACTGGTGGATGTCACCTTGTGGTCACAGCCGGCTGCAGGGAAGCGAGTGACGGAAGGGGATAGAGAGGGACCCCAAGCTCCGATGCCTCCTGTGGGGAAGGCCCTTCCCTCCTGCCCCCCCTCCTTTCTTCCATCTCTTGTCCCACTTATGAACTGGATGGCAGGCAGGCATCGTTTCTTTTTCATGAGGTTACTGCGTCTGGGGAAAATCTAGCTGCCCGATTCCTACAAAAGCCTTGAGTGAGGCCTCACATGGCAGCACTCATGAAGCAGCCATCGCAGGCTCCCTGGACAACCCCCAGACCTTTGTAGGTGTTGGGCCACAGGGGTCATATCACCTGTGCCTCTCCATTTTTCTTTTCTTTCTTTCTTTTTTTTTTTTTTGAGATGGAGTCTCGCTCTGTTGCCCAGGCTGGAGTGCAGTGGTGTGATCTCGGCTCACTGCAACCTCCACCTCCCAGGTTTAAGTGATTCTCCTGCCTTAGCCTCCTCAGTATCTTGGATTACAGACGTGCGCCACCATCTCTGGCTAATTTTTGTATTTTTAGTAGAGACGGGGTTTCGCCATGTTGGCCAGGCTAGTCTCAAACTCCCGACCTCAGGAGATCTACCCACCTTGGCCTCCCAAAGTGCTGGGATTACAGGCGTGAGCCACTATGCCTGGCTAATTTTTGTATTTTTAGTAGAGACAGAGTTTCACCATGTTGGCCAGGCTGGTCTCGAACTCCTGGCCCCAAGTGATCCACCTGCCTAGGCCTTCCAAAGTGCTGGGATTACAGGCGTGAGCCACTGCACCCGGCTGACCTGTGCCCCTCCTTGAAGCTGTCATCCACTGATCTCCAGCAGCCTGGACAGTCACAGGGGACTTTGACACCTGACTCAGTTCTCCCCACCCCCACTCCTGCTACCCTCCCAGGTGAAGTCAACAGACATATAACGGTCCACCCAAGACGGCCTCTCGGTTCCTTGAGGGCTTTGTCATCATCCACTGTTTCTTCACATCACAAACACATCACCCCTCTGTGGCCACCTCCTGTTCCTTCGGGGTGCTCAGGACCTCACCTTCCTGATCATGGTCATTTGGCTTTATTAAAATTAAAAAACAAAAACAAAAATGGGTCCTCACTTTGCTACCCAGGCTGGAGTACAGTAGTGCGATCATAGCTCACCATAGCCTTGAGCTCCTAGGCTCAATTGATCCTCCCGCCTCAGCCTCCCAAGTAGCTGGGACTACAGGCATGCCACCTGGGTAATTTTTTTCATTTTTGCTTGTTGTAGAGATGGGGTCTCACTATGTTGCCCAGGCTGATGTCAAACTCCTGGATTCAAGCGATCCTCCTGCCTCAGCTTCCCAAAGTGCTAGGGTCACAGGCATGAGCCACTGTGCCTGGCTGGCCTCTTAATTTTAGAGAGACCTCCAGGGTCTTGATCTTTCTATTCTCTCCCACTATTTCCTCCTCGATTGACTTAACTGACTGCAGGGCTGACCACCCAGCCTGCTCCTCTGCACCCTGCGTGGCCCTGCATCCCCGGCTCTGCACAGCACTATCTTAGAAAACTCCACCTGTGGCTCCAGCCTCACCTGGGCCCCCAGACCACTTGATACTCTTTGGATTGGCCTTTACCAGCTCCATCTCTCACCTCCTTAGTAACTGCTGCAAACATCCAGCCCCCTCCTCAAGCCACTGTGTCAGCTCCCAGTGGCAGACCACCTCTCTCCTACCTCCTGACAAAGCCAGGGCCTTCCACCATGAATGGCTTCAACCTCTGGACTCCGACCTGCAAACCCACCTACCCTGCTACCCTGCTGCCCTGAAGCCTCAGAGCAAGTGTCCCTCCTCCCCGTCAGGATGGACTGCCCTTCTGGGAGGTGCAGCTCATTGCTGCCCACGCGTGGGAACCCTCACACCACAAATGATCCAGCCTCACGCTCTCACTCAGCTCTGCAGCCTCGGAACCTTCACACATCCTGAAAGAGCTCTCCCAGGCCCCTCCAGCTACAGCCCATCGCTCTCCTTTTGTTTCCAGCTAGCCTTCGAGAACACTCGCTATGGCCACACTCTCACGGCAGGTCTCCTCAATCCACGGCAATCTGACTTCTGCCTCTGAAAAGCATGGCTTCCCCAACTCAATTTCTTTTTGCGGGGGCGGGCGGGGTGGGGGGGGACAGGGTCTTGCTCTGTTGCCCAGGCTGGAGTGAAGTGGCGCGATCCTGGCTCACTGCAACCTCTGCCTCCCAGGTTCAAGCGATTCTTGTGCCTCAGCCTCCCAAGCAGTTGGGACTATAGGCTTGCGCCACCACGCCTGGCTAATTTTTTGTATTTTTAGTGGAGACGGGTGTTGCCATGTTGCCCAGGCTGGTCTTGAGCTCCTGAGCTCAGGCAATCTGCCCCCATCAGCTTCCCAAAGTGCTGGGATTACAGGCATGAGCCACCACGCCCTGCCCCGACTCAGATTTACAAGCTGATGATCATTATTCATGATGACATTATTGGACAGCTTTCACTGGGGGAAACAGGCGGCCAGGCACTATGACTGGTGGGGAGAAGGATGGGCAAGATACAGCACGAGGGCCCGGAAAACAGGGCCCTCTCAAGTCCCTGGTAGAGGCAGGTGAAGCTCCCGTCTACCCACACTTGAACCGTGAGCTGTCACCATTACCCATCGGTGGGTTCACACAGCCCCCTGCCCTCCCTCTTTGCGCTCTGGCCTTCCACGCCCCCTGTGTTCCTTGCACGCCCATGTCTCTCCCCAGCTAGGCTGCAATCTCCGTGGGAACAGAGGGGTTCCTGTCTTGAATCCCCTACAGATCTTTGCATAGTGCTGGGTCCTCCATAGGAATCAGGAAATGCTTACAGATCTGTAATTAACCTATCACCTGAGTAAGAAACCACACATGCTTCTAAGGTGAATCAGCAGATGGAAAGGTAAACAGGCCATCTTCTCCAGGAGCTTCACCCCTGTCCTGGCTATCTTGTGGATTCTGTTCTTTATCAAACCATCTTTTTACACAGGGGAGTACAGAGACAGAATGCAGTTTAGACAATATCAGTATAAGGTCCCCTCTAGCTAGTTCCATGACTCAGGAACTGTGTATTTGGGAAGCCTGAGGTCACAGGGTTGGAAGCCCTCGACTGTCCACTGGTTCACTGTTGAGGGCTTCGGTTCTGTTTCTGCTTGTGAGCAGCTCATCTGTTTAAACCTGGGTTGTCAACCTAACCAGGGTGGGAAGAGTCACTTGCCAAGCATGGTGCTAATGGCTCAGAGCCATGTCTATAAAGCTTAGTACCCTGCAAGGTAGGTATCATTTTTATTATTTTTTATTTTTTGAAACGGAGTCTTGCTCTGTTGCCCAGGCTGGAGTGCAATGGCATGATCTCGGCTCACTGCAACCTCCGCCTTCCAGGTTCAAGCAATTCTCCTGCCTCAACCTCCTGAGTAGCTGGGATTACAGGTGCGTCCCACCACGCCTGGCTAATTTTTTGTATTTCTAGTAGAGACGGGTTTTCATCACGCTGGCCAGGCTGGTCTTGAATTCCTGACCTCAAGTGATCCGATCGCCTTGGCCTCCCAAAGTACTGGGATTACAGGCGTGAGCCACTGCACCTGGCCTATCATTTTTTATCGTTTCATGGATGAGGAAACTGAAACACAGAGAGGTTGAGTGACTCACCCAAAGTCACACAGATGTTCAATGGTAGAGGCAAGTCTGTGTTGTGCTGCTGGGATTGGACACACCCAGCAGGCAAGGGCCACAGTGGAATCCCTGACTTAGAGCGGGCCTGTGAGGTATCAAGTCCCAGGAGGTATTAGGGGATACTGGTGATGCCATGAGAGCTGTTTTTATTTTGCTTTATTTATTTATTTATATTTTTATTTGTTTTTTCCCACTCTGTCACCCAGGCTGGAGTACAGTGGTGTGATCTCGGCTCATGCAGCCTCAGCCTCCCCAGACTCAGGTGATTCTCCCACCTCAGCCTCCAGGGTAGCTGGGACTATAGGCATGCACCACCACATCCAGCTAATTTTTTGTATTTATTGTAGAGATGGGGTTTCGCCATGTTGCCCAGGTTGGTCTTAAACTCCTGGGCTGACGCAATCTGCCCACCTCAGCCTCCCAAAGTGCTGGGATTACAGGTGTGAACCACCGCACTGGCCTATTTTACTTTATTTCTAGTTTAAAAACCTGTTTAAAAGTAAAATAGAGACAGAGTCTCACTATGTTGCTCAGGCTGGTCTTGAATGCCTGAGCTCAAGCGATCCTCCTGCCTCGGCCTCCCAAAGTGCTGGGATTACAGGCATGAGCCACCGTGCCCGGCCTAGAGCTATTTTTAAATGTGTGCAGGGCTTCACTGCCAGGAAGGCAGTGGCCCTGTTCTGACCATCCCCAGGGGTTATAAGTGTGACTGATAGTGGTAACAGATGCCATTGTGCTTGCGGTGAGCCAGGCCCTGCTTGGGGCCCTTCAAGCTCCCAATGCCTCTCTGAGGTGGGTACTATTATTATTATCTACATTTTACCCAGGAGCAAACCAAGGCACAGAGAGGGTCAAGGAGTCACTCAAAGGCACACAGCTAGTGAAGCGGCAGGGCTGGGCCAGGCCACCTGGCTCTGGAGGCTGTGCTCTTACCCACTATCCTTTCTCGCCTCTGTGCCGGTAGGAAGTCACAAAGAGACTTGGACATGGTTTTAAGAAGCACAAACTAGAAAAGTCTGAAAATGAAGCCTCAGAGCAGCCGTGAGCTCCTCCTCTCCTAATGTGGGCAACAGAAGTGAGCGTGTGGCTCCGACACTGCGGGAGGAGGATCTATGTACCAGGTGGGTGGGGGAATGAGGGGGCCTTAGAGATCATACAGGCCCCAGAATCTAAACGGAGGCTGATGGAGATGATCCTCTGGGCTTCCACTCCCAGCAGCAGGTCCTTCAAGCCCAGATGCCCCTGGCATGCAGCCCGTACCTTCTTTGCAGTCGTGCTTGTTGTCATGGAGGACGAAGCCACTGCGGCATTGGCACTCATAACTGCCGAACGTGTTGACGCAGTCCTGCTGGCAGCCGCCGTTATCCTTGGAGCACTCGTCCTTGTCTGCAGGGGAGCAAATAAGGGCAGACGCTGGGTCTGTGCAGGGCTGAGGTTGGGATGCCCCAGGGGAAGTGGAGGCCTGGCTGGACTTTCTCCCACCGGGACAGAGCAACAGCTGGCAGAGCTGGCCAGGCCAGGTGGCCGGGAGTGGGAGGCCAGGCGACAAGGGGGTCCAAAGGGGCACTGCATCCAGCAGGACCAGCTGAGCAGGGCCCAGCTGTGGGGAGAGGAGGATGGGGGTCCGAGCGGACCAGCATGGGTCACCATTACCTGCTTACTGGACAGATGGACAAGTGGAAAAATAGACACATGGACAAGCAGACTGCAAGAGAAAGGAGCAGGACGCAGGGGTCCCTCTTTTACTTCACAACAGGAAATGTCACAGACACCATCAAAATGGGAGGGGGTAGGGCACGGGGAAGGGTCCCCGGTCCGCGGACGGGCACAGTGGGGAGAAGAGAGCACCAGTTCTGTCCGGCCAGAGGGAGGTGGGCCGGAATGGCAGAGTGGAGGTGGGGGGTTGGTGGGCACCGAAGCCCCCATCCCATTCCGTCCAAGGTGAGGTTCCTGAGTAACAAGGGGTCCGGGAGGCCTGGCAGGCCTCACTGGGGGGTCCGGTTTCTTTTCTGCACTCGGAATTTGAGCTGGTGGGGGCGTCCCCGAGGGGGCTGCAGAGCTGGCCTCTTTTCTGAAACGAGAGAGAGAAGGAGAAAAGGGACCAAGGGGTGGGGGTGGAGGGCAGGGACCAGGGAGGGACAGCAGTGAAAACCAGACCCAGGGCCTCTGAGGTGGATCTGAGGGGCAGGGTGGGGCGGGAGGGCAGGCGGACACACATGCAGGGTGGCCATGTCCGGGCGCATCCAGGGCACGGAGGGCTGGGTTAGCAGGGGCAGGAGGCACAGCGACGGGACAGAGACAGAGCCTGTGGCAGGAGAAGGCCTGGAGGGTTGGCACACGTAGCCCACTAGGCGTGCATTGCATCAGGGAAGGAGAGAACTGGGGAGTCGTCGGTAGAGGGGAACAGTACTTGGGAAGGGCTGGGGAGAGCTCTGCTCTGGCTCTCATTCAGGCGGCGACATCTACAGAGTGTGTTAGACAGACACACGCACTCGCAAATACACCTGCAGACCCAGTGCATGGATGTACCGTCACCCAAATGTGGCAACACAGGTGCTGGTCCACAGGCACACACATACATGTGCACACGGTACACACTACCCACACACGCACAGACACACAGCTCCAATCTCCAATACACCATGCAAATGCAGATACAGACACAGCCAACCACATACGCATCCTCACTTGCCCGCCCAGCCTGTGTACAGGTGCATACAAAGAATACACACTCTGCATTCCCACCTATGTGTGAAGAGGCAGGCACAGATATCAACGCACACACAGGCACAGACACACCCAGGGACAGGACACATCTGCACACACAGGCGCATGGACACCTGGACATGGATACAAAGTCACGCGTAAAGGCAGAGATGTAGCTCATCAGCAGATGGCTCACAGAGGAGCAACGGCCACGTGTCACAGACCCACACATGCACTCACACGATGAACACACAATCTGTGCCCCAATGCACAGAAGTGCACTTGGTCACAGGGGTGTGTGTGCCGCAGCCACATACACTCAGGTCTGTCTGTGGTCACTTGGAGGATGGTGTGCCTGGCATAGAAGCAGGCATAGCCAGGGAAGATGAGGGATCCAGTGGACCCCCAGAATTCCATAGATGAACCATGAGGTAGAAAGATGTCTGCTGGCACTGAGCTGGCCAGGTGGGGGTCTGTGCAAGGGGGCCTATTCCTGATCCCCATCAGGACTGGGGCCCAAGCGCTGGAACATGGGCTTCCAGAAGGTCCTGCTTCTCCAACCCAGGATCAGGTAGGTTAGACCCCTAGGGGCCATGGGAACCAGGCCAAGAGGTGGAGTCCCCAAGTCCTTCCCAAGGTTTCTTGCTCAGTTAACACATCAGAGGGGGCCTGATCGAGAGCCCTCCATGAGCTGCCTTTGAATCAGCCCTGCAGAAAATGTGGGGGTGAAGGGCACCCTATGAGCCATCCTGGGGTTCACTAAGGACAACATCTCCAGTGACTGTGCTAGAAGCTTTGGGGGGCCCAGCTTACGGACTGAGCAAAGCCTTCGCTCCACCCCTTCCTCACATTTGTGCCCTAGAAACCTAGTCCAGTGCCTGGTACACAGCAGGGGTAAAATTACACCTGCCAAATGCGAGTGAACGCGTAAGTGAATGGCTGGATGAATGAGTGGGGGAAAGTGAGTCCTGAGGAAGGCTGCTTCAGTGTCCGGGGCAGGAGTGGGCAGCCTCACCTGGGAGCTGGGGGGAGCAGGTTGCAGGGGGGTGGGGTGGAGGAGGTGGGCATGGGCCCAGGCAAGGAGATGGCACTCACCCTACAGTGCCCAAATGCCCCGGAAGGTGGCAGGGGTCAGACTGAAGGTCTTCAGGCTCTTTCTTCTCCTTCTTGGCTTAGGGTCTCCTCGGTGGGTGTCCCAAAAGTCCAAATAGCTCCCCTCCTGGGGGGCCAGAGTCAGATGCCCCGGGCCCTGAGGGCTGAGCCTCGATGCCCCCAGTGGGGGTCCTCTGCAGGTTTCTTGTGCGATGGGGCAATGTGTGTGCACATGTGTGTGCGTGTGGGCGTGTGTGTCTCCGTGCAGGGCTGAGGGTGGGGCGGGCACAGTGTCGACCAGGGCATGGGGGCAGAGCAGTAACTCCAGGCCTGATAGATGTGAGTGTCGGTCCCCTGCCCCCTCCAAGACTGGAGCAACAGAAGGGCAGGAAGAGACGAGAGTAAGCAGGTAATGGTTTCCCGGGGCAGAGCCTGCCCCGAGTGGGTGTTACATCCTCTCAACCCTCTGGTGAGCACCTCTTAGGAGTCCCAGGTGGGCACAGGGAAGGAAGAAATTGGCCTGGCATGGGGAGGGTCTCAGCAAGCGGGGGTTGGGGGCAGGAGGTCAACGGGCCACTGTAAGCAGAGCAGGGTGGCTGGCAGTGCCAAGCAGGGAGCCAGTGCAGGGGCAGGTGCATGGCATCCGGGGGTCAGGCAGGGGTGCAGGGCAGCCACAGAGGGGGCTTGAGGATGCAGGACCCTGGGCGAAGGAGGGGAGAAGGAAGGCAGCATGGACTCGGCCGTGGGCATCCTGCCTTCCTGCCTATCCCCTGTCCGGCCCAGCAGGCAGGCCGGGAGTGAGGATCCATGGGCCTGCTCCAGCCAGACTCTGACCTCCCTGTCTCCCCTGCTCAACTCCACTCCTGCCCTTCACTGCATGGGCCTGGGTCCTGTTACCTCTGGAGACCACCAGCTACCTTACAGCCTCACCCCAGGGTGAAGGGCTGAGTGATTCACAAAGAAGGGGAGATCTCCTGGACCCGGAGGATCAGCTGAGAGAGGCTGGGCCAGGGGCTGCTGATCACCATTGAGACCACCTGAAGATGGGGCCATCAAAGGCTCAAATGAGGCCAAGGGACTGGAGCCCAGGCCTTAGGTGGGGCAGCTGTCAATCAGCATGTGCTAATTGGATCTGAGTTCCCGCCCACCGGTTCAGGGGAGCCCCAAGGCTTTGGTATTGAAGGAAGCAGGTGACTCATCTTTCTCCTTTTTAAAAAAATTTTTAGAAACAGGGTCTGGAGTGAGTGACGAGATCATCGTTCACTACAGCCTCAAACTCCTGGGCTCAAGCAATCCTCCTACCTCAGCCTCCTAAGTAGTTGAGACTACAGGCACACACGACTACACCCTGCTAATTTTAAACTTTTTTATAGAGATGGGGTCTCGCTATGTTGTCTAGGCTGGTCTTGAACTCCTGGGCTCAAGTGATCCTCCTGCCTCGGCCTTCCTGAGTGCTGGGATTACAGGCGTGAGCCACCGCGCCCGGCCACGACTCATCTTTCTGAAGGCCCCAGTGTGAACCTATTTGGCGTGTGCAGGGTCTGATTAGAAGTCCGCCACTGCCAGAGACTCTGCTCCACACAGTCCAAGGCAAACACCTGTCTCTCCTCCATCCACCCACGTTCTTGAACTGCCTGTTCCTAGGACCTGCCCTCTCCCAGGCCTTGGCTTGCATAGCTCCTGACACCTGGAATATCCCCTTCTTCACTTCTGGGTGCTGATTTCTGAATGCTTATGTTCTGCCCATCCTCAGGCCCCAGTCATTACAGTCCTGAGGGCTCAGGAATAATGAGATTTGGATACTGGAAGGGCTGGCTTGATGGGAGAGTGAAGTGGTGGGGAGCAGGGGGCAGACTCTGCCTGCCTGGCACCAGGGAGGGCTGGGGAGTACAGGGGTGCAGGGGCAGGGAGAAAGGGAGCCCTGTTCTCCGAGGAGAGGTGGGGCTAGGAGCTGGGCAGTCCAGGGATACCTGAGAAGAAGTGGGCCTTGAAGCCCTTTTTGGACACGGTGTTGTCGGACTTGAACTCCACGCGCATGTTGTTGTACTGGGAGGTGATGACCTCGGGCTTCTCAGAACCACAGAACTTGCCATGCAGCTTGGAGTCAGCTGTGAGTCCACTGCGCACCTCCACGAAGTCGTACTTGCACACCTGCAGGGAAGCCCAGCTCCAGGCCCGCCTCCTCCAGGAAGCCTCTCTTGACTACTCCTGCCCTCGGGAAGCTCTCTGTTCTGCACATCCTTTAGCCTTGACTTAGCTACGCCCCCTCACTGGATCCTCCTGTACTCGCCAAGCCAGCCCTAAGCCTTCCCTTGCTCCACACGCCTCCCTAACTCCATGTCCTTCCTCCCACTTGCTACATGTCCCCCCGCCCCCTTTGGGGCCCTCCCTGCTGGGCCTCCTGTGCTTCGTGAGCTGGGAGCAGTCTCTCCTCGATATTTGCAGAGTGTTTCTGCCGGGCCCCCTCTCAGAGGACAGGAAGCAGGCACTGAGCTGAATGCCCACGCCTCACAGCTTCCTGCCCCACCTCAGCCCCTGGTGGGCACTTACATCATTGCCCTCTGTCTCAAAGAAGTCAAACTGCAGGGAGATGCGGTACTGGGTGGGGGCCACCAGCTGCCAGATGCAGTTCTTGTTGGGGGGGTACTCCTTGGGCCAGCCCGGGCTGGTGATGGAGCCGTTGAGCTTGGTGAGGAATCCGCCACAAGCAGCTGCGGGGACAAGGAAGGTGGCATCGTCTGCGGGGAGCCCCTGCCATGGGGAAGGGCTGAGATGTGGGCTGGGATGCAGTAAGGAGAAGATGGGGAGCCTGTGGACTCCCCAAGGCTCAGGGACCTGTGTCTGGTCCCTCTGGGGCGGACGGGAGGAGGCAGGGTGGCCTGGGTGTCCTCAGGGGTGGGCCTGTAGGGAGGAGTGGGGGAGCTAAGGGGTCATAAGTGTGGCCATTTCTATCTTCTCTGCAAATGAACAGGCCAAGGTCCTCCAAGAGGGAGTGAGCGGGAATAAGGGGCTCAGGGAAAGCAGTTCAGGGAGGGGCGGTCCTGGGAGGTGCAGGAAAGGGAGCAGCTCGGGGGCACAGCAGGATCGGCCTAGTGAGCTGGAGCCATTAGCCTCGGAGTGCTGTCCCCAGCATCTCGGGACCATGCGTGGAGAGGCGGAAACAGTGTCTGTCCCACAACAGGGGTTTCCCAACCTGTAGATCATAACACCCTGGTGGGTGGTGATATCAGTTAGCAAGTCAAGATGGTCATTTACAAAAAAAACCCGAAAACACCCCAAGAATGAAAAAACAAAACAAACCCAAAGCCAGAATGCGGCCTACGGGGGGACAGTGTGTTCTCGGGGTTGCAATGTGACATGTGTTTCTTATCCATGAGCTATGAAAAGAGTGTTGGGGTATCCATCTAGCTTTTCCAAGAAGGGGTCTGTCCAAGGGCATAAGAAATCTTGGCAGTGACTCAAGCCTGTGATCCCAGCACTTTGGGAGGCCGAGGCAGGAGGAGTACTTGAGGCCAGGAGTTTGAGACAAGCCTCGGCAACAAAGTAAGACCTCATTGCTACAAAAAAAATTTTAAAATTAGCCAGGCAAGGTGATGTGCACCTGTAGTCCCAGCTACTTGGGAGGCTGAGGTGGGAGGATTGCTTGAGCCCAGGAATGGGAGGCTATGGTGAGCTAAGATTGAGCCACTGTACTTCCAGCCTGGGTGACAGAGCAAAAGCCTGTCTAAAAAAAAAAAAAATTCTGGGCAGGTGGGCTGGTGCCAGGGAAAGAACAGGGTCAGAGGCAGTCTGGGGGCACTCACCCTCACAGCGGCGCTTGTCTGGGGCCAGCTCGTACCCGGGGTCACAGCTGCACTTGTAGCTGCCCAGGGTGTTGAGGCACCGCTGCTCACAGCCCCCGCGGTTGGGCCGAGAGCACTCGTCCACCTCTGTGGTGGGAAGGAAAGGGTGTCACAGACTCCAGGCATTCAAGGGAAGAAGCTGGCTGTGAGCCTCACTTGTCCACTCAGCCCCAAGACCCACCCAGCTCCCCGATGGCTGGAACCCCACAGAGCCTTCCTTCAGAGCACATGGACTGGGCTGGTGTCTCTCACGTGCTGTTCCCTGACTAAGGACCCCTCTTTCATTTCTCCTTCAATCCTCATGTGAAGCCTGTGGCGGAGGGACTGTTACTGTGCCCATTTTACAGATGAGAAACTGAGGTTCAGGGAGAATATCCTGCCCAAGGTCACACAGGTAAAAAAAACCTCCAACTGCCTTTTTTCCTCCCTGAATCATACAGCAGGTCCTGCCTCTAATCCACATTGGGGGACCTCTTCTCCCCAGCTAGCCCAGAGCTCCTTAAGGGCACAGCCCTGGGGTCTCACTGGTATCAATATGCCTCCTGGAGTCTCCGTGTTGAATGAGTGAGTGAAGAAGGGATGAAGGTCACGAGGCACCTTGGGGCAGGGGAGAGTAACAGAGGAGGCACCTTTGAAAAAGTTGACGGCAAAGCCCGCTTTGTTAATGGACCCGTCAGAGACGAACTTGAGCCAGAGGCGGCTGGACGTGCTCTTGATGTCATCAGGCTTCTCATAGCCACAGTAGCGCCCGATGAGGGTGCTGCTCTCACTGTGCCCGTCGCGCACCTCCAGATAGTCGTAGGCACAGCTGTCGTGGCGCTCAATCTAGGGGTCGAGGCTTCATCAGTGGAAGGGGCTCTGGCTGCCAGAGACCCACCCCTGGGAGCCCAAAGAGAGGCAGCTGTCCCAGGGAGCAACTGCTGGATTCAAAGGTCAGATCACAGGGCCACTGACCTACCTCAAAGGACTGGAATGTGAGGCCCACGTGGAAGCCCTCAGACACCTGGATCCGCCAGATGCAGACTTTGCTGGGCCGGTAATCGTCTGGGTAGTTGGGCGATTGAATGTGGCCATAGTCCTTTTTCACATCACCCCCGCAGATGGCTGTGGGGACACAGGATGGGGTGGGAAGGGGTGGTGAGTCAGCATGCTTTGCCCTGCTAGGGAGCTCTTTTCCCCACTCCTCCAGTCCCTCCCATGTCCCCCAGCTTTTCAGTTCCCCACCAAACCCCCAGTCCCAGGCAATCCCATCATTCTCTCTGCTTCTTCCCTTGGGAACCCACAATCTTGCCCCTCAGGTGCCAGGAGGGAGTTGTTTTACCATGCCCAGAGACCTCCTATCTGACTCCTCCCGCCCGCCGCCTTCCTCAGTACCTTCGTAGACTGCAAAGAAGCCCTTTCCAACCCAATTGCTGCTGCTGCGGAATTCAACCCAGAGGCGGCTGTCAGTGGAGACGATAGGCTCAGGGAGTTTGGACCCGCAGAAGCGGCCTGCACAGACAGTGTGGATGGAAGAGTGGTGAACCCTGAGGACACCCCCTATAGAGGCCCCACCTCTCCAGGAGGCTTGGGTGCTTGGGCCCTGATCTGTGGCCACCCTACTTCACACATTCCCAAGACTGTATACCCTCTGGTTGGCTTCTGTCTGGTCCAAGGTCCAACTTGGCTTTGGAGAGCCAGAGACCACTTGAGGGATAGGATATGAGTCTATTTCTAGGAGGAAAGGTAGATCTTTATTTTTCATTTTATCTTATTTTATTTTTTTGAGATGGAGTCTCGCTCTGTCACCCAGGCTGGAGTGCAGTGGCACGCTCTTGGCTCACTGCAACCTCTGCCTCCTGGGTTCAAGCAATTCTCCTGCCTCAGCCTCCCAAGTAGCCGGGGCTACAGGCATCTGCCACCACACCCAGCTAATTTTCGTATTTTTAGTAGAGATGAGGTTTTGCCATGTTGGCCAGGCTGGTGTCGAACTCCTGACCTCAGGTGATCCACCCACCTTGGCCTCCCAGAGTTCTGGGATTTCAGGTGTGAGCCACCGTGCCTGGCCAAGGTAGATCTTTATAATGTCCAACTATATATGTGTTCTATTTACCTTTCTAAAGAGCATATTACCATCATTATTTACCTTTTCTTATTTGGTCTCTATGCAAAGAAGAGACCAAATAAGAAATAAAATCAGAAATATAATCAGAAATAAACATGGCTTTCTTTACACATTACAAACTGCCCTCACAGACATGTTTTTATTTGGTCAAATGCAAGGGATGCCCCAGGACCCTAAATAAATCACAGAATCTGGGGACTAGCTCACAAAATGTCCACTTTGAAATAAAAATGAATAAGAATCAACATAAGTGAATGAGGTCGGCCATCTGTGGAATTCTTTGTAGTCAAGAATCAACTAGGAATGAGTTGTGTGTTCCTAATAAGGCCGGTGTTTCCCAACATTCAGCAAGGGACAGAGGGTGCTGGCCCAGGAATGTAAGTTATGAAAAAGAAACTCCCATCTTGGAAAAACACTAACACGTCTACGAGAGGAAGTGTTGTAAGGACAGCTGCTTTGAGTGACCAAAAAGAAATATTTAAATATCGGAAACTGGGGGGAAAATAGAGGTTAGCAATATCCGTCTGGCTGTTTTAGGCATAGGCTGAGGAGAAGAGGTTCTGTTGCCAAAGAGTGGTCCTGAGCTCCTTACGATCACGTCCAGCTAGGAGGAGATTCACACGGCTCCTCGGGCTTGCTGCAATACCCTCTAGGATCACCTGCCTCCCTTTGCCCTAATTCTAGGTTCATTAAAGCACCTTCTGTTCTGTGCTTCTGACCCACTTACTCCCACTGACTCACCTCCTGCCCCCTACCCTCCTCGGGACAAAGTATCCTATGCAGACAAGGTCGGGCCACGGCGCCCAGTGTGCAGCCCTCGGCAGTGAGTTAGGAGATGGGCTGGCAGGTTATGATGACTCTCTTTTGAGCCAGGCTGCACTGTGGGCACTCAAAAACCAGAAGGGCAGATAGAAAAAAATAGTGGATCCTCTGAAAGTGCCCAGATGAGGAAGAGAGCCTGGGGCCATGGGGATGCGCAGAACAGCCTGTCTGTCTCTCTCAGTCAATTCTGATGACTCCTTGCACCCGTAGGGTGACAGCCAACTTCACAGGGAGGCCCAGAAGTCTGGACTGGGTACTCTGAAGTCCAGATTGAGGACAGGACTTGCCTGAAGTCTCGCAGCAAGTGAGTAATGCAGCTATCTGGGACTAATGATGCCAGGACTCCTGGCTCCCATACCAGGTTGTCATCCCTGGCCAGTGTTGGGCCCTGGAGGGGGATGAAGAGTGTGATGAGGGTGGCTCAGAGAGGGAATCAGCATGGAGGGGGCAGGGGGTGGCTGGTGCCGTTACCTCGGAGGGGCGCCTTCCTCCAGAAGCCATCTCGGACCTCCACATAGTCGTACCAGCACAGGCGGCTGCGGTACAGGTCCAGGGACGTGAAGTTCAGGATGATCTAGGGCAACAGGGGAGGAAGAGGGTTAAGCTGTCCCGAACATTGCACCAGCCCTCTGCCAGCCCCATGATGACCACCGCCCGCCTTACGCGAGGCAGGTCCCCCTGGGCGAGAGTTAAGGGGCTCCCAAAAGGAGCTCCTGGCACAGAACCGCCCCTCCTCCACAGTTGTCTGTGTATGGTCAGCTTTCTTCCTAGAAGGCCCAGGAGGGGAAGGAGACGTCACTTTGGGTAGAACCCCTGGCTCCAGCTCTCTTCATAGTCAATTAGATAACACAACCCACAATATCTTCAAGAGGAACTGGTCTCTACAGTGGTAGGAAGGGCCAAGGGCCGCGTGAGGGTACTGGAGGGTCTGAAGTAGCGACGAAGGGTCCCAAGAGGAGAGGCAAGAGGAAAGAAGGGCTGAGTCGCCAATCATCACTTTTTTGTTTGTTTGTTTGTTTTGAGTCAGGGTCTTGCTTTGTCACCCAGGCTGGAGTGCAATGGTACAATCACAGCTCACTGCAGCCTCCACCTCCCAGGCTTAAGCCATCCTCCGATCTGAGCCTCCCAAAGTGCTGGGATTACAGGAGTGCGTCACTGTGCCCGGCCCCATCATCATTTATTGAGTACTGATTCTGGGCAGGGGGACACACTAACTGCTGAAAGGACACCAGATCTGAATCCGTCCCTGTCCTCAAGAAGCTCCAGGCTTAGGGAGGGATGAGACATACGCGTGAGAAAGCTCAGACCCCAGTCACAACAGCCTGGGTGTGAATCTCCACTCTGCATTTCCTGCTGTGAGTCATCAAGCAAACCACGCAACCTCTGAGCCTCTGCTATGTCCTGCGTGCAATGGGGAGAAGAGTCCCTACCCTGACATCACACTTCCAAGGCACAGGCACTGTCTGTCCTGAGCACCTCATTTCAGGCTCCAAGCTCAGGAAACGCTCGCTCGCTACTGGAGGAATGTTACATCTTGGTAAGTACCAATCCTCCTTAGCAGGTGGGCATTTTAACAGGTAGAGAGTTTAATGGCTTCCCTCCACTTCCGGGGGGAAACCACTTCCTCGGTAGGTCCCAGAGTGGGCCCAAAGCCTGCTGTGTATTCAGAGTTCCAACAAGTAGGGATTCCAGGGATGTGTTCACCGTGACCTGCGAGGCCAGTGCAGCGGACACTCGATGGTTTCAGGGGTGTCCTGCTCTGGGAGAGCTGGGTTCTCTGCTAGAGAAGGGGACCGTCTGCCTCCCTTGTACCTTCTTAGAGAGTTAGAGGCAGAGTGGAGGCCAGGATGAAAAAGATTCCAAGGTGGGCACTGGCAGTGGCTGTCTGTAGCCAGCATCAATGCTAGTCGGGGAGGAGCTCCTGGCTCCTGGTCACTCTGACACGGGCCCTATCAGAATACCTGGTGATTCCAATGTCCGCCTAGAGGACCCTTCCCACTTCTTGGCCGCTCAGTTCTGCGACCTCCTCTCTCCACCTCTCTATACCTTCCCGGCCACACACCAACACGTCACGCCGTGCAGGCCGGCTTCATCGAAAATTGTCTGCCCCTCCATAATCTCAGTTTCAAGGGCCCCACTCTCCATTCAGTTTCCAGCCTTTCCGTCAGTTCTCATCACTGCGACTTTCAACCCACTGCACCCAGGGCAATGCCACTGCCGGTCACCCCCATCTACTCTCTCTCCTTACCCAGCTTAGCTCCACAGCCCATCCTTTTTCTTCTATTCTTTTTAAAAATTCATATATGAGTTTAACTATATTTATTTGGGGGACCTTTTATTAATTGTGGTATTCTGTGATATAATTGAGTAAGATCATGTTTTTGAAAAGCACACTACAGGCCAAGCGCGGTAGTTCACTCCTGTAATCCCAACACATTGGGAGGCCAAGGCAGGTGGATCACTTGAGGTCAGGCGTTCAAGACCAGCCTGGCCAACATGGTGAAACCTCATCTCTACTAAAAATACAAAAAAAAATTAGCCAGGTGTGATGGTGGGCATCTGTAATCCTAGCTACTCAGGAGGCTGAGGCAGGAGAATCGCTTGAACCTGGGAGGCAGAGGTTGCAGTGAGCCTAGATCATGCCACTGCACTCCAGCCTGGGTGACAGAGGAAGACTCTGTCTCGAAAAAAATATAAAATAAAATAAAGAAAAGCACACTATATATTACTCTTGGTTATTATTATCATCATCAAAAGTTATTGTTACTATTATAAGTCCTGGCATTTTGAAACTCTGAAGATGCAAGTCCATTCTAGCTCTTGCGAGGGAGTAGATGGCATCTCATTACCAAATGTGGACCAGGCATGGTAGCTCATACCTGTAACTGAGCATTTTGAGAGGCTGAGGCAAGAGGATCGCTTGAGTCCAGGAGTTTGAGACCAGCCTGGGCAACACAGTGAGACCCCCATCTCTAGAAAAATTAAAAAATTAGCCAGCTATGGTGGCATGTGTCTGTAGTTCCAGCTACCAGGAAGGCTGAAGTGGGAGGATCCCCAGAGCCTAGGAGGCTGAGGCTTCAGTGAGCCGGGATTGCACTGGCTCACTGAATGGAAATTTGGTTTTATTATTTATATTATATATTATATAATATATAAGATATGTGTGTGTGTGTGTGTGTGTGTGTGTGTATCTCCATCAATAGAGACCTCAGGGGGCAACTGAATAATTAAATTGAGAGAAATCAAGACGATAGTATTCTAAGCAGCCATAAAAATGACTGAGTGCTGGCATGGAACGGCGACCACAATTCATTGCTGAGTGCAAGGTATGTTGCAAAAGACCATATACGTGTGCATACAATTCCTTTTTGTCTTGTATATATATACATACATATATACTCATCCATGCTTACATGCACATATATACCTAGAAGGGTCTGGAAGGAGACACCAGAAAGTGTTACCAATGCTTAGTCACCTCTGAGGAATGGGATCCGGAGGAGGGTCAAGGGGAGAAATTTCACTTGTTATTTTATGCATTGCTAGATTGTTCAAAAAGTTTACTGTGTGCATATGTTATTTGTATATCTAACAAACAACAAAAACAAGAGTTGCTGGGTGGAAGAAGGGATGCAGAGGGCCGAGTGAGGGCGCTCTGGCTCCTGACTCACACCCTCCACCACTCCTCCACGTGGCCTTCCTGGGCCTGCCAGGCAGTTCTGCTCAGCAGCTGTGCTGAGGACAAGCGCCCGCTTTCCTTCATCCTTAGAAGCAGCCTTGGCTCTGTCTGGGGAGGATGACGTCACAGCTGCTGAGGAAGAAACCACGCCCAGCCGGCAGAACCCCAGAGGGCCCACCCGAGAGCTCCAAAGAAGTAGGAGGAACCAGAGGTCACATCGCTCAGGAGGAAGAAACCTGCATTGGCCAAGAGAGGCATCCTACAGAGAGGCCCAGTGATGGCTATACTGAGACCAGAGGTGTCAAATTAAGAGTTGTACTGGCTTCTGTCGTGTGGAAACAGCTGTGCTCTGGTGGCAGGGGCAATGCCCTTTGCCAGAGAAAACCTGGCCTGCCCCACCGCTTCCGGGCTGGTGACTTGGGCCTGTGGCTCGGCTTCCTTAAGGCTCAGTGTTTTTGTCTGAAATTGAGATGGGGCCGGGTGCGGTGGCTTATGCCTGTAATCCCAGCACTTTGGGTGACTGAGGCGGAAGGATCGCTTGAGCTCAGGAGTTTGAGACCAGCCTGAGCAATACAGTGAGACCCCATCTCTACAAAAAAATTTAAAAATTTGCCGGGCATGATGGCGCATGCCAGTGGTCCCAGCTACTCAGGAGATGGAGGTGGGAGGATCACTTGAGCCAGGGAGGTCCAGGCTGGAATAAGCCATGATCACACCACTGGGCAACAGAGCAACTCTGTCTCAGAAAAAAAAAAAAAAAAAAAAACCCAAAACTGGAAATGATCATAATGGCTCCACTGGGGAGTTGGGAGGATTCAATGAGATATGGGGTACAGAGTCTTCTGGTGCACCCCGAATATAGGAAATACTCCTCATGCTTGCTGCATGCTGGCAGGGGAGAAGTAATAGGACACCTCTCTTCTGGCCACAGTGTGCCAGTTAAACATGTTGCCCCTTGGTGACTCACTGTCTGGCTTCAATCTGACCTTGCCGCATGATCTTTAGGCCCATCAACCAGTTCCTCTGTGCCTCCGTGTCCTTATTTCTAAGAGGGTAATGATGATACTATCTGCCTCCCAAGACTTAGGGGAGTTCAATTCATATACGTGTAAAATTTACAAGTGCCCAACACACAGTAAGCACTCAATAAATGTTAACTTTGCTAGTAGAATGAAGTTTGCTTAAGATTTTTTGGTATTTGGAATGGCTCAGACTAGAATCCTGGAATTAGAGAGAAATAGCGTCCCTGGGGAAGTGGACCAGGATTTCCTCATTTAAAAAGATTAGGGGCTGGGGGCCGGGCACGGTGGCTCACACCTGTAATCCCAGCACTTTGGGAGGCTGAGGTGGGCGTATCATGAGGTCAGGAGATCGAGACCATGCTGGCTAACACGGTGAAACCCTGTCTCTACTAAAAATACAAAAAAAAAAAAAAAAAAAAAAAAATTAGCCGGGCGTGGTGGCGGGCTCCTGTAGTCCCAGCTACTGAGGAGGCTGAGGCAGGAGAATGGCTGAACCCGGGAGGCGGAGCTTGCAGTGAGCCGAGATCATGCCACTGCACTCCAGCCTGGGCAACAGAGCGAGACTCCATCTCAAAATAAATAAATAAATAAATTAATTAATTAATTAAAATAAATAAAAGATTAGGGGCTGGCCTGGGCGTGGTGGCTCACGCCTATAATCCCAACACTTTGGGAGGCCCAGGCGGGCAGATCACCTGAGGTCAGGAGTTTGAGACTAGCCTGGCCAACATGGCAAAACCCCATCTTTATTAAAAATATAAAAATTAGCCGGGTGTGGTGGCACGTGCCAGTAGTCCCGGTTACTTGGGAGGCTGAGGCATGAGAATCACTTGAACCCGAGATGCAGAGGTTGCAGTGAGCTGCACTCCAGCCTGGGCAACAGAGTAAGACTCTGTCTCTAAAAAATAAAATAAAATAATTAAATAAAATTAAAAGATTAGGAATATAGGAAAGATAGCAGCAGTTAACATTGGTTGGGTTCTCACTACATGATAGGTACTACTCCAGGGACTTTATGTATATTAATTTGTTTAATCCTCATACCTTTATGAGGAGGAGACGGTTTTAAGAAGGGAATCACGGTTAGCAGATCAAACTTGATAGTATCCCCCTTGTGGTAGGTACTATTGCCAGGCTCATTTTATAGTTGGGGAAACAGGCCAGGCATGGGGGCTCACGCCTGTAATCCCAGCACTTAGGGAGGCTGAGGCAGGATCACCTGAGGTCAGGAGTTCAAGACGAGACTGGCCAACATGGCGAAACCCTGTCTCTACTAAAAATACAAAAATTAGCCAGGCATGGTGGCACGTGCCTATAGTCCCAGCTACTTGGGAGGCTGAGGCAGAAAAATTGCTTGAACCCAGAGGCAGAGGTTGCAGTAAGCCGAGATCATGCCACTGCACTCCAGCCTGGGCAACAGAGTGAGACTCCATCTCAAAAAAATATATATATAGATAGACGGGGAAACAAAGGCACAGAGAGGTTAAGCAACTTCCCCAAGACCACACAGCCAGTACGTGGCACAGCTGCGAGTCAAACTCAGGCACTCTGGCTCTTAAAGTTATACCCTCCTCCAATCCTCCACATGGCCTCCCTGGGCCTGCCAAGCAACTCTGCTCAGCAGCTGTGCTAAGGACAAGTGTCCATTTTCATCCTCAGAGCCCCACACCCTTCAAGAAGCAGGAACTTAGGGTAGGATCCAGCACAGGCTTTGCAGAGAAGGGAGGGATCCCTTTGGCCTGGCTGGGGATGTGGAAGTCGGGGAAGGTATTAAGAATTTGGGTTGGGCCGGGCGTGGTGGCTCACGCCTGTAATCCCAGCACTTTGAGAGGCCCAGGCTGGCGGATCGCCTGAGGTCAGGAGTCCGAGACCAGCCTGGCCAACATGGTGACACCCTGTCTCTACTAAAAATACAAAAATTAGCCGGGCGTGGTGGCAGGCGCCTGTAATCCCAGCTACTGGGGAGGCTGAGGCAGGAGAATCACTTGAACCCGGGAGGCGGAGGTTATATTGAGCCAAGATCGTGTCATTGCACTCCAGCCTGGGGGACAAGAGCAAGACTTCGTCTCAAAAAAAAAAAAAAAAAAAAAAAAGAAAGACAGTGAAACCCTGTCTCTGCTAAAAATACAAAAATTAGCCAGGGGCGATAGCAGGTGCCTGTGATCCCAGCTACTCGGGAGGCTGAGGCAGAAGAATTGCTTGAACTCGGGGGGCAGAGGTCAAGGTGAGCTGAGATCGTGCCACTGCACTCCAGCTTGGGCGACAGAGTGAGACTCAGTCTCAATAAAAAAAGAATTTGGGTTGGACCTTGAAGAACACGTAGCATATCAGGAGGCAGGGATGGGAATGAGGGCGGATATTGCCAGCTCCAAAAGTTCTTATCTTCTTGGCTCCTCTGCAAATGTTTGATCCTCTGACCATGATTCCCTTCTTTTTTTTATTTTTATTTTTATTTTTTCCTTTTTTGAGACTGAGTCTTACTCTGTTGCCCAGGCTGGAATGCAGTGGCACGATCTTGGCTCACTGCAACCTCCACCTCCCGGGTTTGAGCGAGCGATTCTCCTGCCTCAGCCTCCTGAGTAGCTGGGACTACAGGCATGCACCACCATGCCCAGCTAATTTTTGTATTTTTAGTAGAAACAGGGTTTCACCACGTTGGCCAGGCTGGTCTCAAACCCCTGACCTCAAGTGATCCACCCGCCTCGACCTCCCAAAGTGCTGGGATTACAGGCATGAGTCACCGCACCCGGCTGATTCCCTTCTTAAAACCGTCTCCTCCTCATAAAGGTTCTCCTCCGTTGCTGGGGAAACACTGTCAGTCCTCTCCGCGCCAGCTGCTAATTACAAGAGTGTAGACTTGGGGGATCCAAAAAGAAGGCTTTCCAGGTGGCTCTTTTACTTTGACATACCCATGACAGGCAGAATCAATTATATATGGCAAGATTTACCTATCATTCACATTTCTGGCAATAAGCTGAGAATTGGGAGGCAAATGAAAAACAACTTCCCCACAGCCAAAATAGACGGCAAAGTCCATCCACTAAAGCAGGCGGCATTATTTCAGGTTTACCTTTGAAAGGCCATAGACTTTGGAGTCAGAAAGTCCTAGAACCAAATGCCAATTTCACCACTACTACCTGTGTAAACTTGGGTAGATTTACTCAAGCGCTTGAAGCCTCCATTCTCTTGGCTGTACAGTAGGGATAATGGTACCTAGGTTGTAAAAGTGTTATGGGGAATAGCGAGGTCCGGCATGTAAGGTGCCTAATGCTTTCCGTGGTACCTGATTGTTAAACAGTAGAGAGGCTGTTAGTATTCTACTACACCAGGCTCTGCAGGCCCTTTCAATGTTCACGTCCCCAGGGTGCCACTTGGCTTCCCTTACAACTCTCCAATTTCATTCAGGACTGTGGCTGGTTTTTACTTCGTGTACTTCTACAACCATGCGTTGATTAATCTGGAATTTTTATAGTTAGCCCTTTTCTCTTTCTGCAGCTCCAGGCAAGCTTCTGAAAAAAAGGACAGGAGTCCTCTGGGAATTGCAGCGGGAGCAGCCCCAAGGCAGAGAGAGATGCTTTTGGGGCAAGGCCATGTGCGTCCACTAGAGAGACTAGTGCTAGCCCAGGCCAGCCAGGAAGAACAGGGAAGGAAGCTGATCCTAGCCCAATGCCATACCCCAGCCGATTGCAAAAACTCCCGGACAGGAAGGTAAGTAGCGTGCCACCTGACTCCACTGCTCAGGGCCAGGGACCGTCTTGTGCATCTGTACATCCCTGGTGGCTGACCCAGTGCTGGGCACATAGCAGGCACACAGGTTTGCTGAAGAGCACTAAAGTAATTGTTGAAATGCAGCAGGGCTTTAGAACACACATAGTATTGAAATCACCAACTCTTGTGTCATAATCCAATTTTGTGTAATTTTGGAGAAGTTACTAAATTTTTCCAAGCCTGGTTTCTCATATCCAAAACAGGGATAATGTTAGCATCTGGCCCATAGTGTTGCTGTACGATAATGTTGGACATAACACACATAAAGAATTTAACATGGCCAGGCGCGGCGGCTCACGTCTGTAATCCCAGCACTCTGGGAGGCCGAGGCAGGCGAATCACCTCAGGTCGGGAGTTCGAGACCAGCCTGACCAACATGGAGAAACCCGTCTCTACTAAAAATACAAAATTAGCCGGGTGTGGTGGCACATGCCTGTAATCCCAGCTACTCAGGAGGCTGAGGAGGTTGCGGTGAGCTGAGATCGTGCCATTGCACTCCAGCCTGGGCAACAAGAATGAAACACGTCTCAATAATAATAATAATAATAATAATAATAATAATTTAACACATACCTGCTCAATCAAATATTCAATCATTGTTAGTTATTGCTATTATTATCGGTGGGTGAGATTTCCCAAGGATGGAGTAATGGGAACCCTCTAGAGGGAAACAAAGGAAGCCAAGGCATAGCTGGTAGAAAACAGCAAAAAAGGAATGTAATTTTTTGTTGTTGTTTTGAGACAAGATCTCGCTCTGCCCCCCTGGCATGAGTGTAGTGGCGTAATCATAGCTTACTGCAACCTTGAACTCCCAGGCTCAAGCAATCCTCCCACCTCAGCCTCCCGAGTAGCTGGAACTACCAACACCCACCAGACACCCAGCTAATTTTTAAAATTTTTTGTAGAGATGGAGTTCCGCTATGTTAGCCAGGCTGGTCTCAAACTCCTGGCCTCAAGTGATCCTCCTGCCTCAGCTTCCCAAAGTGTTGGGATTACAGGCATGGGCCATATACTGGCCAGAACTGCCATTTTTTAAGTGAGATTCAGAACAAGGAAGAATGGGTTCACTTTTAAGGGAAGATGGTAGAATATCAACCAAGAGAGAAGCCAGAATTACTCAACTCTCAATAAAAATCTGTCCACGTAAGAATGATCTTCAAATTACAACAAATGAAAATAAGCATTGTTTGAAAAGGAAATAGAAGCTCAATAACATAGAAGGAGGAGAGCCCATGAGCACCTCTCTACATTGGTTTTTGTCTCCAAGCTCATCAATTAAATCAGAGGAGACACTCAAATAATTTGCAGATGTGATTAGCATGTGTAATCTGCAGGACTCAGAGTAAAAGCTTTCCCAATCTTCAAAGGGGTGTGTGTGCTGGGAGGAGAGTAAGGAGCGGATTCTGGGAATTGCAAACCACTGGGCCAAACGTCAATCCCCAGTGAAACAGATGGTCTGTGACCATTTAGAAAAGAAACACTTGATTACTAGGAGCCAGTTTGGGTTCACTGAAAACAAGGCAGGTCGAACACATTTGTCTTCCTTTTAAAAGGGGTTTTGTCAACGGGTGGAACAGTAGATTTAATTTGGTAAGGCATTGCATCTTACGTATTCAGCATTTATGAAACACTTCCTGGGCCAACGACAGAAAGATGACCAAGGTATGGTCTCAGAAGGAGCGTACATCCCGGTCAACTGGTGGTCACCTGTGGCTGGATAGTAATGACCTTAAGTGGCATCATAACTGGTGTAATAACTCTGCTCAAAGCCTAGATTAAAAGATTAATGCCAATTTGGAGGGAAATCTTGGTTCTTCTTTGGTTTGTGTGCTGTTCTATGTTTTGATCAAAGGCCAGGACGAAGACCTAGAAGTCATGCTTATCAAAGGAGCTCATGGCAGAGGTAAGAGGAGGGCTACCTGATGGATGGTGAAATTCTGATTCAAAATGATCTTGAGATGTCGAAATGAACAATGCAATCAATAATAGAATTGAATCCAGCTCAACGCTGCACTATGACATTAAGAACCATGCCCCAATCAAGGAAAATAAAGTCTTGTAGCTTGGGAGCAATAAAAATATGGACACAGAAGGTCTGGGGTTGGTGCGGAGGTCCAGAGTCTGTGTGAAAAGACCGGGAATGGATCTAAGAAGTGATGGGAGTAGCCTCCCCACATTAGGAGGGCTGACATGGGAAAGAGGGAGTGAGTTATCCTGCATTGCTCTTGAGGAAAGTACTGGAGCAACTGGGGGGCTTAAGGGAGAAGAAGAGACGTTGTAACATTAAGAGCTGGCTACAGGCCAGATGCGGTGGCTCACGCCTGTAATCCCAGCACTTTGGAAGCCTGAGCCAGGAGGATCACTTGAACTCAGGAGTTCGAGACCAGCCTGTGCAACATGGCGAAACCCTGTCTCGACCAAAAATAGAAAAAAAATTGCCGGGCATGGTAGCGCACATCTGCAGTCCCAGCTACTCCAGAGGCTGAGGTGGGAGTATCGCTTGACCCTGGGCGGCAGAGGTTGCAGTGAGCTGAGATCGCGCCACTGCACTCCACCTTGGGTGAAAAAGTGAGATTCTGTCTCAAGAAAAAAAAAAAAAAAGAGCTGGCTAGAGAACAGAATGAATTATTCTGAAAAGTAGTGAGCCTCTCATCACCTTAGGTATTCAAACAGGGCTAATCAACCATGCAGTGGGAAACCTGACCGGACAGGCTCGGGGGCCCTCCCCACACTCGGTGTCCACCCTACTTGCCACCAATTAGTAACGAGCAGGGAAGGCTTCCTGAAGGAGGTCACATCCGAGCTAGACTGTGAAGATGGAGACAGCTCTGACCCGATCCCGTAGTATGCCCGAAGCCAGCCCCACGTGGCAGCAAGTATGAGAACTGGGTACTTCCCCACAAGGTAAGACAGAAGGTGGAGCTGAGCTTTCTCTATGGATCAGAACTGATATAGCAGGTGACAGGTAGAGGGAGGAGAAATAGAGTGCCAGTGGAGAGCCAGGCACAGAAAATCAGGCCCACAGAGCAAAGACTGGAGGGTCCTGGCCTGAGCAAGGGGAAGGATGGGTGAGAAGGAGAGACCCACCAGGCAGCATCCTGCTGGAGGCGCCTGCATCATTCCTTAATTGTTCCCAGGACTAGAGCCTGTCAGAATCGGGAAGAGCCCTTCAGGAGCCCCTGGCCCAAGCCCTGATGAGACGGATGAGAGCTGAGCGTCAGGCTGAGCAGTTCATCCAAGGGAACCCAGACCTGAGAAGAGCTCCAGTCCCACCTCAGTCCTTGTTAGCTGTGTGACCTTGGGCAAGTTACTTAACCACCCTGTGCCTCAGTTTCCTCATCTGTAAAATAAAGGTGGAGGTAGCCGTAAAAACTAAAAGAGGTGATGTAGGAAAATCACCCAAGAAGAACTAGATAATCAAAATAGACCTACACAGCAAGTGCTATGTGCAAATTAACACTAATTTATAATTATTGGGAGATGCCAGGGAAGGCGGTGAATGCCAGGAGCCCCTTCCTACAGCCGTGCTCCATCAGCGCTCTGGACTTGATACATTTACGGTAGCCAGGTAGGTCGCTGGCACCCATATTGACCCCCACTGTGGGAGAAGTCCCTGAGGTATGGGGACCCGCAGGGGAGGGGGAGGCTCAGAGGCTGAGCCCACACGTACCTTCTCCCCGGGTGTGACAGAGATGCGCCACACGCAGTGCATGTGAGCAGAGTAGCCATTGGGGTATTCAGGGGAGGAGAAGTTGCCTGTGCTGTCTTGCAGGGTCTCTCCACAGGCTGTGAGGAAAGGAAATGACAGGGCAGGGCTGCAGGCGCCAAATCCCCCCATCTTCTGGCTCACCCACCCCTGAACCTTGGCATCCTCTGGGGGAGGGGAGAATGCCTGAGGAGTGGGAGGGTGTCTGCAATGGTCCTGCCCCTATAAGATCCACCCCCCTACCTCACATATAGCACACGCCATCCTACCTCCCAGCCCAGTGCTGCCCTGTTTGTGAAGGCAATATGGGTTCCAGAGCTAAGGTCAAGCTCCCTTGGTGGGGCTCCGTGCCACCTCCCTCTCCTAGGATTGCTGTTCTCCCCACTTCCGCCCCTACAGACCCTCAGAAGGTGGCGGCTCGGCTTCTGACCACCCACCTGAGCCTACCCCCAGCGGCCTCCTTCACTTGGACACTGCCCCTCCTATGGGGTCCCCTCCCCCGCCACACCATTCTCTAAGACTTGCAGCCTAAGCCTTCTTGGTGGCACCAGGCACCTGGCCTCTGCCTCCCTCAGGCCCTGCCCTCCACGCCCTCACCCATCCCTTCTCTGCCCTGACCTGGGCACTTGTAAAGCTTGCGGGCTTGGGCAATGTCCCCCTTGCTGAGCCGTGTCCTTTGGCCAATGGGAGGTTTCACCCCGTTCACCTCATACTTGGGGACAATGGTATCCAGGAAGATGCCCCTGAAGAAGAGGGAGAAAAGTAAGGGTGAGCGTCTCATGGACAGTGGGCAGGGAGTGGGTGGCATGCCCATCTGTACCCACAAGTCACGACCCTGCTGGAGCTCAGACATTCCTCAGCAGGGTCAGGGCCGGGTGGAGTCGTCTCACCCTGTCATTATGCTACCCACTGACCAGCAGCCACCCTGCTCCGTGGCAGCCACACCACAGGAGTCGGGGGAGCCCCAGGAACACTTTGGGAGGTCAGGGATGCAGGTCCAGGGTGCCCTTGGACCCACTGGTGCTCCCAGCTCAGGCTGGCCACAACTCCCAGCCCCAGGAAAGCTACAGGCCCCTAGCGGGTCATCTCTCTCCAGCCCCACTGGGCCCCTGCTTCTGCAGCCCCTCATGCTGCTCCAGCCCTAACTAAACTTCTCCCAGGACTCCCCAGGCCAGCTCCTCACCCTGCTGGCACAGGCTGCATCTGAAAGCACCTGGAACAAGGCCAAAGGCAGATTCCACTGCAGCCAGACCAAGCCCCGGGGACAGCCCCACCAGCTCCCAATCTATCAGTGTCTCCTGTCCTGGCCATTCCTCCCTGCTGAATCCTGGGTGTTTGCACTGGGAGGAGCAGAGTGAAGGGGAGGCAGGCAGCCCTCCACCTCCCCAGGGCCCCTGACTCACACCCAGCTGGGTGGATCGCAGCAGGGGGTGGGGTGGGATGTGGTGGGAAATGTAAGGCCGGGTCTGTGGGTGTGGGGGGCAGAATGACCTCACCACCCTTCCTTGGTCTCTGTTCCTGCAGGTCTGCAGGCAGGAAGAGCAGATCGGGTAGAAGCACTGAGAAGAGGGGGCAGGGCCACTGTCTGGGACACAGACAGAGGATGAGCAAAGCACCAGGCCTGGGAATGGCCAGGCCAGGAAGGAGTTTGAGGAGGAGGGAGGTGCCATTTCCCACACTGCTAAGGAGAATCTTGGGGGAGGGGAGGCTGGGCCACCACCTTTGAGGGCTCTGGTTGTGGCTTCTGGGGACCTGGGCCTCAGATAAGGAGGATGTGCTTCGGAGCTGGGCATGGGGGCTAGTCCAGGGCAGGGGTCAGGCTTCGTGCAAACTGGCCAATTACAAAAAAAGCAGACTAATTAAAAAGGAATGGCTGGGCATTGGTGGCTCGCGCCTGTAATCTCAGCGTTTTGGGAGGCCGAGGTGGGAGGATCCCTTCAGCCCAGGAGTTCGAGACCAGCCTGGGCAATATAGTGAGACCCCATCTCTAAAAAAAAAGGCACGGTGGCGTGTGCCTGTCATCCTAGCTACTCAGTAGGCTGAGACGGGACGATTCCTTGAGCCTAGGAGTTTGAGGCTGCAGTGAGCCATGACTGTGCCACTGCACTCCAGCCTAGGTGACAGAGCAAGATCCTGTCTCAAACAAAAACAAAAACAAACAAATGGCCCACAAATAAAAGCTCAGCACCCTTTGGGCTGATAGTTTGGGGCTACCCCACACTGCTGGGCTTGCAGAGTGGCTGGGTTCAGCCTCCTCCGCCAGGTGCCCTGGGTGCACACGGTGGTAAGGCCCTGCCACAGACCCACCCGTGGAAGAGGACAGGAGGGCAGGCAACATCCACGGACCCTCTGCTTGGAGGCCACAGCCCCCCAGAGGGCCACTCTTTTCCTGGGTCACTGCCCCAGAAGTGGGAGGCAGGAGGAGAATAGCCTACAGAGGGCAGGGTGGGGCTGCCCGAGCAGAGGCCCAGCCCCAATCCCGTCTCCCACCTGGAGAATGTGTTCCGAGCGTAATGCATGATGCTGTCGAAGTCATAGGTCTCCCCCAGGGACTCCACCTCCTGAGGCTCCATCTTCAGGAAGTTATACTCCTGCCCTGCCAAGATCAGGAAAAGGGTGTGGGGGGAGAGGAGGGGGTGGGTCTGCCTGGGATGCAACGCTCACTTTCCAGGGCAGGGAATGGAGTCCTTCCTGTATCTGAGAGAGTCCCCCTACCTGAGGGTCCGGGGAGCAGCCAAGGGGAGCCTGGGGAATGGGGAGGGTCTCAGGAAGAGTCCTGTCCAGCAGAGGGCCTGGTGAATGGAGGACTCAAGGGAACATGGGAAGGAAGCACCATTTCTAGAGCCACAGCTGAGAAGGAGCAGTGAAGAGTGGAGAACGCCTGGGAGAGAGGGAGGAGGCGGGAAGGGAGGGACAGAGACATCGAGAAAATGAGAGAAAAGCCCTCGGAGGGCAGACCAGGCAGAGGGCAGATAGTGGGCAAAGGTGGGGAGAAAGGCCTGAGCAGTCCCCAGGACGGCCCACTATGCCCATGCCCCACCCTAGAGGCTGCCCGGGCTACCGCTGTCCAGGACCAGGACCTGGCCCAGCCTCCCAGAGGAGCTCCACAATGGATGCGGGTCCTTGATCTGACACGGAGGAGGAAATGCCTCAAGGGCAGGGGCTGGCTCAACCCAGGCTGTGGGCAGCGCTGCGGGCCCAGGCGATGACGGCTGGCTGGAGCGGCTGCCACTGCCCCCAGGGGTCCTGGAGGTGGGGGCTGGGGCGGGAGCCGCCCACCAAGGCCGCACCGAGGGGCAGGTACCTACCTGGCTGGATGTTCTCACGAACGATGGAAACGTGGCGGTCCCGGTCTGGCCGAGTGTGTTCGTGCCAGAAGCCGACGACGTGGCCCAGCTCGTGGACCACAATGCCGAACTTGTCACAGTTCTTGCCGATGGAGATGGCCTGGGGGCCCCCGCCGCGGCGACCCACGTAGGAGCAGCACCTGGAGGGCGGGGCCAGCTCAGGGGGGCGGTCCCGAGCTGGGGGAGTGCATCCACTCAGGGGCGGGGCCAGGCTGCCGGGGGCGGGGCGGCAGGGGAGCGAAGGGGAGGGGTGGGCCCTGAGCACCGAGTGCCCAGGCTGTGTGCTGGAGGTCACAGCCGCACAGGGGGCAGTTCCTGGGTAGATGCCCCATAGCAGGAGGGGATAAAGGGACCCAAGGCTGTGCCCAGCTGGGGGCAGTGGCAGGGCCCAGGGCAGAACCTGGGTTGGGGCAATGGCGGAAGGTACAGCGCCTAGGGCTTCCTGCTCACCCGCAAGGTCGATAGGTGAACACAATATAGCTGTCCTCGTCAGTGCGCTCCAGGAAGGTGACACAGGTGTGCTTCTCCCAGTGCCTCATGGCCTGCCGGAAGACTGCCCTCTGGCTACCTGCCAGGAGGAAGGAAGCCAGGTTGCCACGGTGTCCAGGCAGTCCCACCCCCTACCCACCACTGAAGAGTCACAGCCATTCTGAGGGCAGACTGCCTGGAAAGGAATGTGTGGGCACTCGGGCTGCAGGTGGCACCCACGCCTCCGTGCCTGGCAGGGCTGCCACAAGGCCAGGCCCGGAAGCTGGTTACACTCTGGGACCCACAATAGCACGCTCACCAGTGAAGTTTCCCCCAATGACAAAGGGGATGACCCCATCGGGCCACACACGCTCTGGTCGGGACGTCGCCGCCCGCCGGCTACGGGATCTACCTCTCCATCTCCCACAGGCTCCCCTCTGAGGCTGCCCGTTGGTGCTCTGGCAGCTGGGGGTAGAAGTGTTTCCTGGAACTGAGAGAGGAAGTCATGGTGACTAGTGAGTGGAGAGAAAGAGGAGGAAAGCAAAAGCATAGTCAAACCTCATTTTTCATGGATTCTGTGCTTGCAAATTTGTCTACTGGCTAAAATTTATTCGTAGTCCCCAAAATCAATACTCTCAGGGCTTTCACGGTCATTTGTGGACATTTGCAGAGCAGTGAAAAATTTCAGTCACCCAACATGCATGTTCCCAGCTGAGGTGGAATAAGGCAACGCTCCGCTTTCTGCTTTCGGCTCTCATTGTGTAACCAAGTGTCCTTTTTGAGGTCTAGTTAAAGTGCCCTGTTTTTTGTGTTTTTGTGCGCTTTGTTGAGGGTTTCGCTGTTTAAAACAGCCCCTGAGCATAATGCTGAAGTGCTCTCTGGTGTTCCCAAGGGCAAGAAGGCTGTGATATGCCTCACAGAGAACATACGTGTGCTAGGTAAGCTTCTTCGAGGCATGAGTTAGAGTGCTGTTGGTCATGAGTTCAATGTTAATGAATCAGCTCCATATTAAGTAAGGTGTCTTTAAAAAGAAACACTCATAAAACAAGGTGATGCACTGATCAGTTGACAAAAATGTTGTGACCAGAGGCTTGAAGGAACCTGACCCTGTATTTTCCCTAGGAGCAATGGGTCAGTATTTGCTAATGTTTTCAGTGACTGTACAGAGTAACTATAAAGTTATTCTATAACTTCCATAAATAGCAAGAATTGACAATAATCGTAAAAGAGAACAAAGGTGTACTCATTTTCTAGGAATTGTGGGGATCTGAGATTAGGAAAATATCCCTTCTCATTGAATAAACCTTGACATTTGTGGAGCATTCAGAACTCTATGCCTTCTTTTGATTTCCCAAATTCATGTTTGCATTTGACATAGGAGCTCTAAGGCATGTGGACAAGTGTCGTATTGTATTTGACAGATGAGGAAACTAAGGCCAAAGGTTTGGCCAAAGTCACCTGGTGGGTTAGCAGGGGACCCCTCCATGCAGCTTTCCGTTGTGCCATACCTACTAGTCCCCACTAAGGTCACATGAGCCTTACTTGTTAGCAGGCCACCAGGTCACCCTCCAATGCCACCTGCCCTCTGGGGTACTTTATTCCATAAGGTGCCCACATCAGGATCTTCCCTCAAGCTGGACAGGACAACTTCAGGCACACCACAGTGTTCCCAGAGCAGACCCTCAATAAGAATCCCTGCCCTTTGGTACAGTGGCTCACGCCTGTAATTCCAGCACTTTGGGAGGCCAGGGAGGATAGTTCGCTTGAGGCCAGGAGTTCGAGACCAGCCTGGCCAACACCGTGACATCCCGTGTCTACTAAAAATATAAAAAATTGGCCAGGCGTGGTGTTGCATGCCTGTGGTCCCAGCTACTTGGGAGGCTGAGGCACGAGAATTGCTTGAACTCAGGAGGTAGAGGTTGCAGTGAGCCGAAATGGTGCCACTGCATTCTAGCCTAGGTAACAGACTGAGACCCTGTCTCAAAAAAAAAAAAAAAAAAAAAAAGACAGAAAAAAAGAAGAAAGAATCCCTGCCCCTGCCCTTTGGGAAGGGGAGGGCTATTTGTGTGCTCTCAGGACCATGTCTCAAACATCAGCACTGGCAGTGAGGAGCTTTCACCCTTCTACAGAGCAGTAAGGGACTGGAAAGAACAGACACAGCCCAGGCCCTCATCCCTCCCATTCCTGTATCCATGCACAAGTACCACATGGGTTTTTAGGAGTTTGGACCACAATCAAGGATAAGAAGAAAGCATCCCTGACCTTAAAGAGCTAGGGAGACATAGGAGCAAATCCTTTCAATATGGTGTGATAAATGACAGGGTAACAGTGTGATCACAGAGGAGGGAGAAAACAGGGAAAATGAAGGGACAGTCATGTTTCGGGGGCAACTGGGAAAGAAGAATAGGAGAAGCTCCTGAAATGGGCCTCAGAGGATGCACAGAAATTTGCAAAGTGGGAACAGAGAGCCCAGGAGGGATTGCAGTGTTGGGCAGAGTCTCAGGTCTGGAGTGAGAAAGCTTGAGTTCCAGTCCCAGCTCTGCCACTCACTAGTTGTGTGATCCTGGGCAGGTCACTTTACCTCTGTGAATCTTAGTTTCTGTACTTGTAAAACAGGAGTTGTCCTGACACCACCTTTAAAGGTGGTTGGGGACAGTCAGGCTAGACAATACTTTTGAAAGTGGTTTTTAAACTGTAAACAAAAAGAATGTCAGTTCTTAGTTGCTGGGGATATCTATATTTACTACTCCTCTGGGGAAGGGATGAAGATATCCCGAGGGAAGATAGACCCATGTGCTGGGGTCAAACTCATGGCCTCTGTCCTGGGAGGGCCTGGCTGGGAACAGGGAGATTCCTTGTTTCCCTAAGCCTGGAACCCATTTCTAGGACACAGAGGGCCCATTGGCACCCGGCTTACCTGCAGCTTTGATGGAGGACTTACGAGCTGTGTGCCGTCTGAGATCCACAGCCTGCTGTACCTGGAAGGCCCTCAGGTCCTCTTCGTCCAGGGCAATGTCCCCAAGAAAGGCAGCTAAAGAGAAAAGAAGAAGCCAGGGCTGAGTTAATCCTCCTACCCAGCCCTAGGTGCACCGTGCTTCTAGCCCCAACCCTGTGGGCACCAGCCCCCAACCTCCACAGCGACTGTGATCCTCAAATGCCATCTGAACGAGAAGGAGAAGGGCAGTTAGGGATCAGCTTATAGAATTTCTTGGGAAGCTCATGCTTACTTTTCAGTTAAAATCCCAGTAAAGCTGATGCTCAGCCCCTACCAGTCTGTTAGCTCATCATTCTTTGGGGAGTGTGGGGCAGATAGGGTCTCACCACTGTGCCCAGCTAATTATTTAAAATTAGCAGGGTCTTGCTATGTTGCCCAGGCTGGTCTCAAAATCCTGGCTTCAAGTGATCCTCCAGCCTCCTCAGCCTCTCCAGTGGCTGGGAATACAGGTGTGAGCCACAGAGCCATCATTCTTCAGCAAATACTTAGTTAACATACTACTGTGGTCCAGACAATACCCTAGTTATTAGCAAGACAGAAGAGGCCCCTGCTTCGGTGGAGCTAACCTTCCATAATATGCAAGTAAATAAATACTGACCTAGGGTCTTCCAGATAGCAATGGGAGCTATGAAGAAAATAAAACAGGGTGTGCTGAGCATGTGGTGGTCACTCAGCAAATGCTGTTTCAATTTAACTAAGGGGGTGTCTATGAGATAAAATAAGCCAGGTGCAGTGGCTCACACCTGTAATCCCAACACTTTGGGAGGTCGAGGTGGGTGGATCACTTAAGCTCAGGAGTTCAAGATCAGCCTGGGCAACATGGTGAAACCCCGTCTCTATAAAAAATACAAAAATTAGCCAGACATGGTGATGCATGCCTGTAGTTCCAGCTACTCACTCAGGAGGCTGAGGCAGGTGGATCAATTGAACCCAGGAGGTCAAGGCTGCAGTGAGCTGAGATGATGCCACTGCAATCCAGCCTGGGCAACAGAGTGAGACCCTGTCTCAAAAAAAAAAAAAAAAAAAAAAAGAGGAAATAAAATTGTACCATTTTTCATTAGAACAGATAAGCATCTTTGGGAAACGAAGATACCTTCTGGGAGCTTCCCAGCTAGGAGGAAAAAGTTTAACAGTTCTCAAGTAATTCCTATTCCAAGTCTTAGGCTGCCCAAGCAGAAAGGCCAGAGGGGAAGAGAGCCTCCCTAAAGGGCCATTCCGATTCCAGTATCTGGAGCTGAGGAGGGATGTTTCCAGAGACCCGGCTGAACTGTCTGTCTTCCTTTTGAGAAGTCTGGAGAAAAGGAAGCAGAGGCCATAGAACTGGCCGCTTTGTAAGGCGCTCAGATGGGAGCTGCATGCTGAGCTGGGCTGGGCTGGGGGAAGTGGGAGGCTGGGCTACAGGTGGGACCCACAGCAGCTTCCCTGCAGCTCCACCCACAGCAACATCTGCTTCTCATCCAGGCAGAGTGCTATACAGGCCTGGCGGTCGCGTTACACAAATTGTTTTAACCTTGAAGACTTCTACACAGGTTTCTCCTCCCCAGTTGGCCTCACTGGTGAACACACACACACACTGACTTCATCACATACAGAATCAGACACCCAAGGTTAGTGTTCCTACAGACATATGGTGGCGTCCACACCCTTGCCATCCAGTGCAGAGCCATCAAAGCCAGGGACACACATCCTTGCGCATGAAAGCAGCAGCCAGCACTGCACTTTCAGGCGGGAGGCACTCCGGGATGTTCGAATGAATGAATTGCCACGCTGATATTCTTCTGGCTTGCAAATACATGCCCAGAGACACACCCTCACCTAGACAGGATCAACAGAATGTGGGAGTGACTGTGGCAGTCATCGAGGCCAAACTTCCATTTTATAGATGAGGAAACTGAGGTCCCAAAAGCAACAACTTAACTGAACCTACACTGCTAGTCACTGGAAAACTGGACGTATAACTCAGGCCTCCCCATTCCCAGTGCAGCAACCACTGCACTCTCTAGAACCCCTACTGTAAATACATATATACAAAAATAGATACTCAGACGGACACATCCACAACAAAATACACACACAGTCACACACGGTTTTTAAAAAACACACATGCACAAGCTCCAACATACACAAACCAGCTGCAAGCTCTGGACCCATTAAGCAAATAATAGTCGTGATAATGACACCTTATGTAAATGTTGAAATTTTTGTGGTGCTTTCCAATTGGCAAAGTGCTTTCCCATTAATTAATTTAATCCTGGCCTGCCCACAACATGCCCAGTAAGCCACACTCCACACCATGCTCTTGCAGAGCATTAGAAACTCTCAGAGAGAGATAACCTAAGTGGCTAGGTTTAGGTTCCAGCCCACCTCCCTGACTTTAGACATCAGAACACTTGAGCCTATGAAGGGCGATAACTCACTCAAGGTCACCAGCCAGTAAGTGACCCCAAATCTCTTCCAACCCATGAGAAAGCTACTCTTACTTGAATCGCCATCCTCGGCAGGTGGCCTTGGCTCAGCAACTGATGGGACGGCAACAGAAGATGCTTCCCAGGTGACATGCAAGAGTGGCCTTAACAAGGACATGGGATGGGAGGTACACTCCAAGGAAGAAGCAGTGGGTTCATACTCACCAAAGTTCACGTAGATGTGCATCTGCCACACGAATGCCTCCACACTTAGGCTTGTGTTATACCTTTCTTTCTTTTTTTTTTTGAAATGGAGTCTCACTCTGTCACCCAGGCTGGAGTGCAGTGGTGCAATCTCAGCTCACTGCAACCTCTGCCTCCTGGGTTCAAGCAATTCTCCTGTCTCAGCCTCGCCCAGCTAATTTTTGTATTTTTTTTTTAGTAGAGACGAGGTTTCACCTTGTTGATCAGGCTGTTCTTGAACTCCTGACCACAGGTGATCCTCCTGCCTTGGCCTCCCAAAGTGCTGGGATTACAGGCATAAGCTACTGTGCCCGTACACACATATTATACCTTTCACAGGCATTGTACCTGCAGGCTCCCACACCCAAACCCACAGGCATCACCGCATACAGGTGTGGCTGGACATTTAGACTCACCTTTGGACATAGAGCAAAGGGCAAGGTCTTTGGAGTCAGACAGACCTGTCTTGGAATCCAGGTTGGCTACTATTAGCTGACAAGTCATGTAAACTCTTCTAAGCCTCAGTGTTCTCCTACATAACAGAATCTGTCTCCTAGGATTACTGCATGAAATAAGACATATACACGAACCCCCAGCACAGAGCATGCAACACGGTACGCACCCACCAGCCACTTTAATATTATCCCAACACAACCCGTAAGCTCAAAGTCAGCTCTAGACCTCCTCAGGGAACGCTGGCTCACCCACACTCTCTGCCCCCACTCCTCCTTGAGTGAAACCCTGGTGCAGAGGCCACAGAACTGTGCTGGCCTGCGGGTCCAGGGCCAGTGTAGAACCAGGGCAGAGCAAGTGCAAGGCAGGGCAGGGCATGGCCCTGGCTGCTGAGCTCCTGGAGTGAGGATGTCATGGCTGAAGAATGCGTGGGAACCAAGTGGGGGTGGGGAGAGAGGAGATGGGCAGGAGAGCCTTAGGGGCAGGAGCTGGGCCTTGGGGCTCTGTGCTTTTGGGCTGCCCTCTGGGGAAGCGAGGGAATCTGGATGCTAAGGAGTCTAGGAGGTCTCTCCTTACTCAGAGGAAGCCCTGGGGTCACGGTCAGGGTAGTAGTTATTTTCAACACAAGATAAAAATTTTTTGTGTTGTTTTCCAGCTGTAAACCTGCCAGGAGCACTGTGGCTGAGCCCATCTGTGTGCTTGTGCCTGGGAAGAATCTCACTCTTTCAGGTCAACCTCTGGACTCCACCGTCTCCTCCCCCAGGGCATGGCAAGGCCTCCCCTTCTGGGGAAGTGGGGAGAGGAGGCTGGCTGGTGTAATGAGCCCCAAGGCTATATGTGCAGGACTGATGCATGTCCCACTGCACAAACGCAAGCTTCTAGCTGGGGGATGACACACTCAAACCCCTGCAAACATGTGGATGGACTTCATCACATGTGAACACTTCTGCAGAGGTGCATGTTTGCCTCCATGCCTGCATGTACTCAGGAAGACCGATCACAGGTGAACATGCTTGCCTACAAGGCAGCGACACACCCACGCATATGCACAAACACACACTCAACCACTTCCCCGTGCAGGATCTTGTGTTTTCAAACACACACATAACTGCAGGCATGCACCATGTTTCACAGGCCACACTCCCCAAAGGACAAGGGCGCACTTAGAAATGGACAGGGATGCACTTGTGTGAGACAAAGAGAGCGAGGGAGGGAGAGAGAGAGATTAGCTGACTCCCTTGGATCTCCTTAGGAGGTTCTTAGTGGACTGAGGAGTAGCGCTTCTACTCCCCCGACCGCAATATCTTCTCCCCAGATCTCTGGAGAAACTAGATTTTTTTTTTTTTTTTTTTCACAGAGTCTTGCTTTGTCACCCAGACTAGAGTGCAGCGGCACAATCATAGCTCACTACAGCCTCCAGCTCCTGGACTCAGCCTTGAACTCTCGAGCTCCAACTCCTCCCAGCTAAGCCTCCCAAGTAGCTGGGACTACGGGTGCATGACACCATGCCCAGCTAATTTTTAAATTTTTTTGTAGAGATGGGCATCTTGCTGTGTTGCCCAGGCTAGTCTTAAACTCCTGGCTTCAAGTGATCCTCCCACTTTAGCCTCCCAAAGTGGATTACAGGCATGAGCCACTGCCCCCTGCCTAGACTTCTTAAGAATCCCTTCTTCCTGGGGAACCCCACTGCCCCGCCCTGCCCCATGTAGGGCCCAGGGAGAGTACAAATTTTTTCCTCACCCCTTGCGGCACTGAAATAAGAAGGTGACTCAGGGGCAGGGGCCTGGGTGGGTGGGGTGACTCAGCTGTCTAGAGGGGGAATGTGGTCTGGTGAGAGGAGAGATTACTTCTCGACCTCAGAGGGTGTACCCTAATCCTCTATGGCTCTCTGATGTCCAAACCTTGGCCAGGCGTCCCCCTGGGTGGGATGGGGATGTGGGCTGGTAAGTGCTGCCCCTCCCGCTCCTGCAGACTCTGGGCTGTCAGATGAGGTTGAGGTGGTAGCAGGGGCCTCACTGGCACAGGGTCACTACCCAGCTCTGGGTGTGACATGCTTCTAGCCCCACCCCTGTGGGGTCAGGCCCCTGGGCTTCTCTGATTTTGGGATCAACTGTGTCCCAATTCCTGCCTCCAAGGTCTCTCCGGGGGGGTGTTGGCTAGTCACCTGGGGCAGCCAAACAGTGCTGGGAATCTTGCAGAAGGACCCCCTTCATGGTTTGGCTGATTTCCTGACATACAGGAAATCAGGCCTGCCTCAAAATCTTCCTGGGCAAGGGCTAGTGAGGGCTTGGTGGCACCAGCTCTGAGCACACAAACAGACCAGCCTGCCTTCCTGCCCAACGTCCTGGTCTCACCCAGAAGGTCCAGGAACCTCTCCAGGGTATCAAGGATATTAATTTTGCCCTCACTACAACGGCAACCATAACTCGGCCAGTAATGGTCCAACGAAGGGGCGTGGCTACCCTCAGAGCAACTGGAAAGGTCACAGGTAAGCTGTGGGAGTCAAAGGAGCTTTCAGTTCCAGCCCTTGAAAAGAAGCAGAGACAGCATGCCTGCCATCATCACCTCCAGCATCTGGAGGTCAGGGCTGCAGAGGATACAGGAAGCAAAGCCAGGCAGGAGAAGGAAACGTGGAGAACAGAGCTGAGGGACCTGTGGCTGGAAGGCAGTGGCACAGGGGTGTGGGTGTGAGTACTTAGGAATGCCCATGTGAGTTTCCTCTGGAGGTGGGCAGCAGATCTCAAGCATCAGTCACACCCGAGAGGGAGGCCTGATCTGACCCAAGGCCTGGCCTTGTCAGGCCCGGGGGCCCTCTCAGCCGCCCCCAGCCCTGGCCCAGCGCCCCACCAGCCTCACTTCACCCAGTTGGAGTGCTTTCTCCAGAGCCCTTACTTGAAGCTCCAACTCAGCCAGCCCCACCCTAGCATGAAACCTGAGACTGGGGGGAGAGCCCTCAGCCTCTTGCTGCTCTGAAAATCACTCCCATTTCCAACAAGAAGGGAAAGACATCAGAATGGCTTCCCACCCATTCTTTAAGGCCAGGCCCCAGCCCCACCTCCTCCATGAAGACCCCCCCAGACCTTCTCAGCCTGCTGTGATCACTTTTCTCTGCCACCACCAGGCTGCAGAGGGGCAGGAAACTCCCTGAGTCTTTGGCATCCTACCCTCCAATGTGGCACTCAGTGTGGCTTGGTTTGTGCTATTGGTTATGTCTGTAGGTGTCTTGGGTCCCTACTGGACTGTAAGCTCCTTGAAGGCAGGGTCCTAGCTTGTACGTCTCAGTACCTCCCACAACATCCATTCCAGGCCCTAGCACATATTAGGTATTGATGGATTGATGGATAAGAGGCACAAGGAGACACCAGCAATCCCACACCTCTCAAAAAAATGAAGTGACAGTCTGAGGCACAGAAAACAGGGAGTAGGGAGCCCACATTTATTTAGCGCTGACTGTGTGTTAAGCACTATTAAGTGTTTTATGTATGTTTTCATATTTAACCCTTACCACCAACTCTATGGGAAGATGCATGATCAGTTCCATTTTACAGGTGTGAAAGTGGCAGTTCAGACATGATCATTACCATTCTGAGGTGGTACAGCTATAATGAGTAGCAGGGTCAGGATTGAAAGCTAGATGTGCCTGCCTTCAAAGTCCATGCGCAGTCCACTCTGCCCTGTACCCACTCCCAGCCCCCAGCGAGAAAAATGACAGCAAATGTCCTGGTTTACCCGCAGCCCAGCAGGTGTAGAGGGGTAAGGGCTGAGGGATTTGCCCTGATTTCCTCCATTGGATGGTCTCTTATTCCTGCCTGTGGGCCACCCTCCCAGGAGAGTCCCTGAACAGGGTCTCCAGAGCCAGGACTAGAGCAACCTGCCCCTCCGCCCCTGGTGCCCCACACAGGCAGTCCAGTTCTAGCAACTATGCCACTTCCCCTGGCTCTGGCTATTTGGAGATGAGCTGAAGTCAGAGAGGCAGGAAGTCAAGGAAAAGTTCTGATATCTTGTCCCTGTGTGTCCCCAAACAGCCTGCCCAGGGTCATCCAATCAGGCAAATGGCCCGAGTGCCTGGCCATCTGGTCACTCCAGGGGCAGGACCCTTCTGGGCTCAGCAGGAGTGATGGGGTTACATAGAGTCTTCAGAGACAAAGAACACACACACATACAGGCAAACACACACTCCGGGGTCCTGACCTCAGCTAATTAGCCTCTGGTGTCTCGGGGGTGACAGAGCTGATATACAATATCTGGGTTCTCTTTGTATTTTCCCTCTTTCCACCCCAACTTGGCCTTGGCGGGGGTCTCTGGGCACATAGGGACAAAGTTAAGTCCCCCTTCTGGGTTGGCTTCTCTGACTTTGACAGCTGTCTCCTAAGTCCCAGAAAGCTTCAGCTACTGGTTAAACTACGGGATACCCAGAGAGCACGATCTCAGGGAATCCCTGGAAAAACTTTCTTCTTCCACTTGGGCTGGGTGGTGGCTGGGGGACCTGCTCCTTGGAGACTCAGGCCTCCCAGATCCAAGCCAGACAGATGTGCAGCCCCAGGGCAGCCCAGACAGGCTGGAAAACACCCAGCTCCTGGAGCAGGAGAGATGGGGGAGAAGGGGAAAGAACACACACACACACACACACACACACACACACACACACACACACGCACGCACAGGAGTTTGGCCAGAAAAGTTTCCTACAGAAGGAAAAGCCGCCTTGCCCGCCGGTTTTCCCGGGACGCAAGGAGACTTCCTCTGGAATCCTCTGGGAAGATGAGAGGCAGCGGCAGCAGCTTCCACCAACAGCGGCAAAACTTCAGTCCGAAAAGTCCCCCAAATCCCCCTCCCTCTCCCCCTCGTTCTTTTGTTCCCCACTGCATTGCCAACCAGGCAGCTCCCGGCTTCCCACACTGGACTGTCCTCCCCCAACCCCAAGCCCGAACCCGCCCGCGCCTCCCCGCCTGGCCCGTCGCCGGGGGGCCGGGGGGCGCTCACCCGCCTTGCAGGGGTCTTTGTAGTTGAGGGGCTCCGAGTCGTCCTCCTCCGCCAGGTCATAGGTGTAGTCGGCCAAGTCCAGCGGCCGGCCGGGACGCGGGAGCAGCAGCAGCCCGAGCAGCAGCGGCAGGCGGGCCACGCCGGGCATGCTGGCGGGGCGGCGGCGAGGGAAGCGGCGCACTGGAGGCCAGGGGAGGGCGTCCTCTCGCCCGCTTGCTTGCTCGATCGCGACCGCGACCGCTCCCGCCCTCGCTCCCCGACCTCTTCCCCTTCCCTCTGCTCGCCTCCCTCCTTCCTGTCTCCCGCCCCCCGCTCGGTCCGCGGCTCCGCGCTCGTCCTCGGGCTCCAGCCGTCTCCCTCTCCCTTTCCTTCTTTTTCTCTCTTTCTTTCTCTCCCTCCCTCCCTCCCTCCGACTCCCCCCCCCCTTTTTAGGGAAATGAGCTCGCTGGAGGGCGGGTTTTCGCCCGAGCTCTGCCCCCCTCGGGGCCGGGACAGTGCTCGGCCGGGCCGGGCCGCGCGCCAGCCGGGGCGGGGAAGGCGGAGAGCCGCGCGCCCGGGGAGGGGGCTCGGGCCGCCCGGGCCGCGGGCCGCGGGCCGCGAGGCCGGGGCTGGAGCTCGGGCCCCGGGGTGCCGGGAGGGCTGTCCCTCCTGAAGTGCCCTCTAGCGGCGGCCTCCCCCGCGGGCGCGCGGCCGAGCCCCCGCCCCGCCGCGGGACACGCTGTCAGGTCCTCGCGCCGCCCCTGCCCCGCGCCCCCGCCTCGGGTCGGTCTCTCCGCCCGCGTCTCCCTATCTCCCCTTCTTGGACCCTCGCTCTCTCGCGTCTCGCTCTCTGCGCTCTGTCTCTCTCGCTGTCTTGGTGTCTCTCCCTCCTCCGGAGACGCCGCTGGAGGGCGCCGAAAGCCCGTGGATGGCTCCCTGCGAGCCCCTCTCCCCCGCCGAGGTGGACCCAGTGCCCCAGCGCCCTGGGACAGAGGGCGAATGGCAAACCCCACTTTGCTCTCCCAAGGCCCTTCCCTTCTTGGCCGGCCCCCGCCAGGGCAGGACTGCGCCCTGCAGGAAGACAGAAGCAGACCCTTTGCTTTTCAATCAGGCTGCTTTATTCTGTTGTGGCAGGAGTTCCCGGGCCCCTGGGCGCCACCTCTGCCCACTCCCATCCTCTCCCCAAGCTCCCATTTCTCCAGGGCTTGTCCCTGCGGTGTGGGCAGAAGCAGCTTCTTGCCCGTCTGCAAAAGCTGCAAAAGACCCTTTGCCCGGGGCGTTTCCTTTCCCGTTGGGGCTTCCACTGACCCTGTGAAGCAAAGGAATGTTGAGGATGGACAGAGAGAATCAGGGGAGTGGGAAGTACCGGTCTGTGAGCTTCCCCTCCCCCGAGTTGCCTGGATGACCCCGCTTCAGTGGACGCCCCAGCGCCTGGTCAGCGCGAGCGCTCCTCCACAGCCCGGGCAGGTGGCCCGAGCGCTCCTCCGCTGCTGATCAGGGGCCCTGGGATCACACCTGCTCACCGGAGGCGTCCTAGATGTAGTAGAGCGGCACCTCGCCACACAGGGTGCTCACGGCCATGCCCAGGAAGGCCGGGTCCCCTCCGGAGGGTGCTGAGCCTGCATCTCGCCCCTCTGCCTGGCCCAGCTTAGACGTAGGCACTGCGGGCTTGGCCTGCAGAGAGCATTCCATCTGGAATGTAGGAAGTGAGTTTCTATCCCATGTGCAGCCCTTATTGTGGGACTTCAGGTATATCAGGCAATCTCTCTGAGCCTCAGTTTTCTCATCAGTAAAGAGGGGCTGTGCTAGAGTCAGAAGCCACCAGGTAGTGAGTGGACTCAGCTGAGCCCAGCAGCTTGGCAGTGGGGTGGGAAGGAAAGGAGTCGTGCAGGGGAATAGGAGAGGGGCAGTCAGCTGGCAGCCAATGAGGAACAGTGCTTTACAGGTGACAAATAGCCACCATTCGGACACTCCTCCCAGCAGCCCTGGGAGGGAGACAGCCCACTCTTTTCACCCACACACACACACCTGGAAGTTGTGGACTTTTCTAGTGAGAGCCTCAAGACTGGGGATGCTCTCTGGAGCTATCTTCATGATGTAGCAGCAGGTGCCAGGGGCTGGCTTGTAGGCGATCAGCAGCTAGGCACAGAATGCTGGAGATCATTCGGGGGTCCCTGCCCTGCTCTCTCCCTGACCCAGGTCCTTAGCCACCTCCCTCTAGGTTGGGCACGGGAGTCATACTAGAATCTGGGGCTCAGGCAAAAAAGGTCTGGAGGAGAGGGAGAGATGGATGTGGATGAAGTGGCCCAGCTGGGTGGCTCTAGCAGAGCCTTGTCATTGGTCCCAGGGTCAGGAGGTCTGGGCATACCCACCTGCTGGTAGTCATACACCACGAGGCCAGTGGAGCCGATGGAGAAGGTGGCAGTGGTAACCAGGTGCTCACTCAGGGCCAGGCGTTGCTGGGCTTCCGGCGCCCCAATGCTCATCTCCAGAACCTGGGGAAAGGGCATGGAGCCACCTGGTCTTCCCCTTTCCTACTCAGCCAGTGGTACCCATCCCCATACTCAGGCCTCTGTACTCAAATGCGCTTCCCTCTTTCCCAAGAGTTCAGGGAGGCTGAGTGGAACCAGGTGCTGGAGGGAGCTGGCTGTCCTGCTGCGGGGCAGGGGCCTTGTGGAAAAGCCTGAGCTGGGTTGCTGCCTGGTTCGTGCCTCTTTCCTTCTAGCTGTGCCCCTTGCCTCCTCCCCTCCACTCCCCTTGGACAGTTTCCTATCGCCCATCCCACCTAGCCCCGCTGTCTGGCATGTCCTGTGCCCACTGCTGTGCATCCCACACCTCTCACCATCTCCGTGTGTTTCTGGCTCATGTGGAGACCCATGAGCAGGGCTCCCACAATCACCACGACGATGAGGACCACCACCACCACCACGATAAGAAGGCGTTTCAGGTGCACTGGGCAGCAGGGAATGCCAAATCGGCCCCGGGGAGCTGCGGAGTAGTCCTGACACGGTGGGGCAGGCAAGGAGACAGGCATGAGGTCATGAGGCTGTCCCCTCTTCTCCCTATACAAGCTGAACACCCTCCCACGGCTGCCTAGGGCTGGACAGCCGATGCGATGGATGGACAGGGAAGGGCTGAGGAGATCAGAGAAGGCTTCTTGGAGGAGGTGGCCTGGATTCTAACAAACCCATAGACACATAGAAGCTTAGAAGCAGGGTCTAGTTTTGAGGGACCCAAGAGAGCCTGCTTCACCTGTCTCTCCCTGCTGCTTCCCCCAGCCATGGTCAGCCCCTCTCTCTCCCCAAGTGATCACCTCCATGCGGTGATACAGAGTCTCCCTCCTTCCTGGAATGCCTTCCTCCTTCTCCACCGGGCGAGCTCCTCCTTATTCTGGCTCCAGCTCGTATGTGGTTTTTCTCTGAGAAGTGTCCCCTGACTTCTGAAGTTTCTCATGGCTTCTGACTCAGGGCTGTCTACGGACAGCCCTTTCTACGGACCCCTATAGTGGCTCTTGGCCCACAAACAGCTCCCCAAGGGTCCCTGGCTTAGTGGTCTTGGTGTCCCCATCCTGACTTATCACAGTCCTAGGTTAGTTGAGTGAATGGATCTGGATAAGGAAACAGGCCAGGGAGGATAGAGGAGGCAGGGCCCATCACACACATGTGCGCGCGCACACATACATACACACACGCAACCACACTCACCGGCGGGCTCTCCATCAGGACCTCTTTGCTGCCCACATCCATCTTGCTGCAGGTGCTATGCTCTCCTCTCCTCCTCTCCCAGGTGTGACCAGGGTCTTATATGTGTCCGTAGGGAGAGGGGACAGAGGTGAAGGACCAAGCCCCCTGTGTGCCAGCCAAGCCCTTGGCTTTGAAGCCTGTTTGTTCCTGGCCCTCCAGAACCGAAGCCCAGATAAGCCCCCTGTGAGAGCCCCCAAGGGCCCTTGGCCCTGGCACATGAGTCCTCTTGGCCCCAGCAAGAGCAAACCTGGGTGAGTTGAGCAAACTTGCCCTCGGGCCATCTGCACTTCTCACCATGGGTGTCTTCCTGGCGTGCCTGCCTTCCTTGCTGGCACCTGCCCCTGCTGCCCTGTGGCTTTCCTTTTTCTTCTACCACCCTGAACCTTTCAGGTGGCCAAGGGTCTGACCATCATATTTCCCAGCAGAATTTCTAGATACATAGGGATGCGCTCCAGGAAGAGGGTTCTGGAGGCAGCACCTGTAGACTCTGAGAGGACTCTGCCCAAGGCAGGAGGTGCTTTGACATCAGTTTTCGGGGTTTCATAAATGTGCATTTCCCTGCAAGGACCAGTTCCAACTTCAAGTACTCTTTCCCTTACCTTGCCTCCTCCCACATATCTGGTACCAACCTCAAACTTGCCCCCAGTGATTATTTTCCTAATTCTGGAAACTCTGTCCCCACTGGTGGCAAGCTCTTACTCATGTGCAGTGCTTCCTTCTTTGCTCTGGGCTTGTCTGTCAATTGCAGGCTGTGCTGATGGCAGATTCCAGGTCTGACACTGCTTTCTTCTGCCCGGACAGCCCTGAACAGGGCTGGCTCTGGTCACTGGTGGGCTCCCAGTCTCCCCATCCTCGAATCAGCTCACTCACCCTGTGGTCTACACTCTACCCCTCTAGACTCCCCTTTCTGCATCCTCTGATCCTAAATTTGCCCTGAGAATAATACTCACCCAAATACGATCAGCTTTGAGGACTGTCTCCTTCTCTTTTCTCTGTCTTTCCTAGTGCCTTCCCAAAGCCATCTCTATGTATTTACGAGGTCAAATCTGCCAATGACTTTGGGCTGGCTCACCCTTTCTCTCAGGTTCCCTTTCACTCCTTGGGCCAGGTGGTCTCTAAAGTCCCTTCACCTCTAAACTCAGGTGACTGTGGCAGAGTCCAGGCCTGGGCTCGCTCCCTTAACCTCCTATCCTTTTGTTTTGTTTTGTTTTGTTTTGTTGTGAGACAGGGTCTCACTTTATCACCCAGGCTGGCATGCAGTAGCGAGATCACTGCTCACTGCAGCGTTGACCTCCTGGACTCCGGTGATCCTCACACCTCAGCATCCCAAGTAGCTGGGACTACCAGTGCATGCCATTGTGCCCAGCTAATTTTTGCTTGTTTTATAGAGATGAGTTTTCACCATGTTGCCCAGGCTGGTCTCGAACTCCTGGGCTCAAGTGATCTCGGCCTCCTAAAGTGCTAGGATTACAGGTGTGAGCCACCATGCCCAACCAGCCTCCTGTCCTTTAACATGCCACCCCAGTTCCTGTCCCCTGCCCCAGCCCCCTCCCACCTGGGCCCTGCCCTTCGGTCATGAGCTGGCAGGTTCCCCTGTCCCCCTCTCCATCTGGAGGGCCTTCAGCCCCAAGGTTGCATAACAGCATGGCATCTGAACTGAGAGCCCCTGAGAAGCGCAGGGAGGAAGAAAGGGAGGGAAGTGTTTGCTCCCACCACCCTCCTCACCCCCTTGCTGCCCCTTTAAATATTTGCCTAAGACTCCAGCAGCCAGAGAGTGTCCTAGGACAGTGAAAGGAGGGGAGGGGTGCCGGGAGGAGGGGGAGCCCACAGAAGCATCCTCTCAGCTCGGCCTCAGCTGTGTGCAGGTGCCAGATGTGGGAGACAGCTCGCCTGCAGTGCCCACCCCTGCCCTCCCCCAGGGCCCTTACTCCCGCCCCCATCATCCTGGCAACATTGGGATTGATCGGCTGACTCACGAGTACTGGGCCTGAGCCAGGTGGGCAGCTGGCCAGCGGGAGAGCCAAGCACTGCAGGCATCTCGGGGTCCCTGTGGGCATCTCGGGGGGCCATGTTGTTCTCACGTGGGACTTGTTCTTAGCAGGCACTGTGGGTGGGGTTTGCCGCCATCGCTGGGTGCTGGGAGAGGGATCTCTTTCTTTGAAAAAGCCTCTGCTCTTTCTGGTCCTTGGTCTCCCCTGCCTGTTGCCCTTAGGCTGTAGCTGTCACAAGCTCTGTGGCGGCTGCTGCTGCTGCTTCTTCTCCTTCTTTTTTTAAACCCATTTTTGCTTGCTTGAGGGCTGAGGGAGGGTGCCTGCCTCCTGGAGTGCTCACACCAACCAAGTGAAGGTCTTGGGTTCCTTGGAGAAGGAGACACAGAAGGACCTTTAGCTGGGTGTGCCAAATTTCCCCCTCCCCCTACCAGCCCTGTCTGCAGCCTTCTCACTTTTTGGCCTGTACTTAAGCCGTTTCTCCCTCTGTGAAAGCCCACCTCCAATCCCTCTCCACTTCTCCGGTTTTATTTTTATTTTATTTATTTAATTATTTAGAGACAGGGTCTCACTCTGTTACCCAAGCTGCAGTGCAGTGGTGCAATCACAGCTTCATAGCTCACTGCAGCGTTGATCTCCTGGCCTCGTGTGATCCTCCTACCTTGGCCTTCCAAAGTGCTGAGATTACAGGCGTGAACAGTGCATCTGACCTTCCACCTCTCTGAATGCCACCCACCCAAACAGGCCAAGAGCCAATGGCACCTGCTCTGCGACCTCACTCCAGTTCATGGTGCCCTCTGAAATCCTCAGCCTCTCTGTGGCACCTTCACCTGCCATTCAGCACACATGAATGTTCCCATGAGTTACATGGGCGCTTTTTGTTGCTCTATCTTCCAGCCCAATTGCGGGCCCTGGGAAAGAAAGGAGCACGCTTCCTGCGGGCTTCTTTGAACCTGCCACTGGGCAGGAAGCATGCAAACAGCCAACACTTAATGATAGTCAATGATGAGACCAATACCAACAGCGGTCAATAGTCCATGCCTTCAGTATGTGGAGGTCTCAGTGCTTCCACTGGCCAGCTCTGGGACCCAGCGTGAGTCGTTCTGCTTTGTTAGGCATTAGTATGTTCATCTGTGAGATGGGTCAGGTACTAGCTGTCCACCTCACTATGCTATTATGAGGACCTAATAGCATCATGGGTGTGACATCCAGTCATCCTCATTAGCATCATCTACTTCATCCTCTAGGGGACCTCTCACTAGCTAAGAACACAGCCCAGACTCACCCTCTTTGTCTGTTTCTGGGTTGACTCCCTCTGAGAGCCCTGAGTGATGGACAGCCCCACGGTGGCCACCCCTTCTGTGTGGGCCTCCCCGTTTCCTCCTCCAGCCCCTCAGCTGCAGGGGTGGGGACAAGATTCACTTTGCTCTTTGTGTACTGGGCAGAGCCGTGCCAGGGACGGGTGGGGACAGTTGCCCAGCTGCCCCAGCCACCTCCCTACCCTCACTGCTTCCCTCCCCCCAAGCTGGCATGGGGAGGGCGGCTAAATGTGTGGCAGCAAGGAGACATCAAAGGGCAGGGGCATCCCTGGCTGGGAGAACACAACTTAAGCTCAGACCAGAGAATCCCCTGCTGGCAGAGTCTGGGGACAGCTGGGGAAGCATCTTAAAGCCAGTGGTCTTCGTTCCCTGGACTGGTGTGCAAAAAGCACAAGACTAGAAGCCCAGGCAGCTGACAGCCAGGCTCCCCTTGCCCCGTGCCTATGAGCTCTTAGGACAGTCATCCTCCGCCACAGGGGAGCTAACGTGGTAGAGAGCAGCAGTCTTCAAGCTTTTTGTTTTCAGGACCCCTTAACACTCTCAAAAAGTATTGAGGACCCCCAAGAGCTTTTGTTTATGTGGGATATGTCTGTTGATATTTACTGAGAAATTACATTTTTATTTACATGTGAATTTAAAATATCAGTAATAAACCCAATATAGGTTATGACATAAATCACATTTTTAATGGAAAAACGATTTTACAAAGCAAAATTATTTTACAAAGCAAAATAAAATTAGAGAGAAAGTGTCATTTCTTTACAGTTTTGGAAATCTTTTAAATTTGGAGCTTCATAGAAGTGAAAAGGGCAAATCATGTCTTAACAATATTAGGAAAATTGTTTTTACCTCAGAGACTTCCTGAAAGGTTCTCAAGGACCCCCGGGCTCCCAGGGCTACACTTGGAAGAGCCGTGCATGGAAGGACGACCGTGAACCTTGAAGCTGGGCAGAGTGGGCGGAAATCCCTGCTGATACCTTTTTCTTCTGGTGCGACAGGCCTCACTTTTCTTGTCTGTAAAAGGGAATTACTATCACCTGCCTCAAACGATTGAGAGGATTAAGTAGGGAAAGTACAGAGCACTTGCGATAGCAAGCTTAGGGGGCCTCAGTTTCCTCATTTGTTAGACAAAGGGCTGGACTGAAAAATATCCAAAGCGCTTCCCAGCTTTAACAGGCTGTGGTTGAGCGTGAGAAATGTTCCAGAATTCCACACAGTCCCACTCCAGCTCCAGAGGCTGCGTTTCCCTTTTCAGCTCATGCTGACACAAAGGTACATTCTGTTCAGCGGCGCGTGGAAAAACATGTGAATCCGGTTAGAAGCGCACTTCAGACTCCTCCAGGACGCCCTTGTGCTTCTAATCTTGCATGCTAACTTAGATATGCGTCTGTCACTCACGACATGCCCATGATGCTGCCTAGGGGATGTGTCCCCCCATGCAAAGAAACCCAGGTAGACAGAAGCACAGGGATCCCTAACGCCGAAGCGCCTCCACAAGGCAGTGAGTGCATGTGCCCGTGCAGAGACAGGTGAGCACCGGCGCGCACAGTCGTGCCCAGCAGAGGCACAAGCACAAGCTCACACGCATGCACTCACGCGCAGCCCCACACGCGGATGGCCCCAGAGACCGCCCGGTAGAGCACACAGCGGCCACGCCTCCCCTTCCGTGACTCCCAGGCCCCGCGCCGCCCCGCGCGCGCCCCCGCCGCCCGCGCCGCAGTCCGCAGCCACCCGGCGCGGTCAGCCCCGGCTGCGGCTCCAGCTCCGCGCTCCGCTCTTCTCTCCCGAGCCGGATCGCGGGAGCGAGCAGGGGAGGGGACCGCAGCCGGCGCCCGAGGGCAGGAGGAGTCCGCAGGCGGGCCCCTGGCTGCGGTAGCAGCTGCCGGTGGCAGGGAGGTGCCAGCCCGCGCGGGGTGGCCCAGCCGCGGGAGCGGTGGGGCGGGGGCCGCGGCCGCCGGCCCCAGGGAGAGATCGCGGGCAGCATGGCGGGGCTGCGGGCCAGGGGGGGCCCGGGGCCGGGGCTGCTGGCGCTCTCCGCGCTCGGCTTCTGCCTCATGCTGCAAGTCAGCGCTAAGAGGCCCCCCAAGACGCCCCCCTGCCCGCCCAGCTGCTCTTGCACCAGGGACACCGCCTTCTGCGTGGACTCAAAGGCGGTGCCCAGGAACCTGCCCTCGGAGGTCATCTCCCTGTGAGTGTCCAGCCCTGGCCTTGGGGGTTGGGGAGGGAGAGGAGGCCGAGGACAGCTCTGGGAGAGGACAGGAGAACCCCCGCTCCCCCTCTTCAGAGTGCGGGGACCAGGGGGACTGCAGGGGTCCTCAGGGCTGGAGATTCCAGGCACCAGTCGGGCAGGGAGTTCTGCAGTTTTGCAGGCTCAGCGGCCATGGGTGGGGAAAGCAGGAGTTCACCACCAAGAATGAATCATCATCACCACGAGCGACAGTGAGACCTACTGTGTGCTGTGCTCCAGACTTGGGGGGGTTGCTTACACGAGCATGTGGGCCCCTGCCTGTGATGTCACACCAAGGGCAGGAGAGTGGCGGCCAGAGCAGGATGAGAATGAGCTATGCCCTCCCAGCACCCTGGCATGGGGCACATGCCCGCCACTGACCAGCCACTTGGCACTCAGCTCGGCCAGCCTGTCACTCACAACAGCCAGCCTCAGGGGCTCCCCCTTGTCTGTGGGACCAGAGAGGTTGTGAGGTCCTTGGGGACCAGGATGCCAGCCCCCACCCCCATGCCCCATCTCTCAACAGCACCCAGCCCATTGTGGGTGTTTGGATGATGATGACAACGGTGTGGGTGATGGAACCTTTTCTTGCCTGAGAGGGAAGCTGAGCCTGGGGCCATGGGTGCCCCAAGAGGCAATAGGGGAGGACCCTGGTGAAGGCAGGCAGTGAATTTGGGAGGAGAAGGGAAAGACACACAGATGGGGGCTAAATTAGGTGAAATGGGGCATTTCCAGGGCAAGTGAGTACAAAAGCTACTGCCCTCCGTGTTCACCTCTCCCTGCCTCAGCACAGCCCTTGCAGACCCCACAGTACTGACTCGGGTGTCCCCGCAGGACCCTGGTGAATGCCGCCTTCTCAGAGATCCAGGATGGAGCGTTCTCCCACCTCCCGCTGCTGCAGTTCTTGTATGGATAGGGCCTTGTGGAAGGGTTGGGGGAACTATGGGGTGGTAGCAGGGGACAAATCCTGGGCTGGGGAGAGGGAGAGTGGACAGAGGCAGCCTCTGCAGACGAAGATGCAGGTGTCCCTTGCTTTTGTTCTGATAGGATGTACCCAAAAGACGGGGCAGCCTTGAGTCAGGGGAGTCGGGGCAGCAGGAGGACAGCTAGGGATGGCACAGAGAAGCCAAGCAAGTGGGATGCGGGGATGGGCTTGGCTGCTCTGGAAACCCCAGAGAATTGGGTGCGATAGCCTGGGCTAGTGCCCAAGGTGGGCACTGTGGGGCCATCTTAGAGACAGGTGATCCCAGGAATCAGAGTTCCCAGAAAGAGCTGGGGGCTGAAAGAAAGGGATGGCAGGAGTGTCTCCAACCCTACAAGATGCCGTCCATGAGGGACAGTTGTCCATGAGGGGCTGGAATGGGACAGAATGAGGGTGGGGGAGAGGGAGAGGAGATGCCACCCGGGAGGACCAGGAGCTGGCTTGACAAGAGAGCTCTGCCTTGGCCCATGTTTAGGATCCAACAGGGACCCTGGGAGCTTCTGGGGCCAGAACAGGCTCCTGCCTGGCCTTGTTGCCCAGGTGGCCCAGGGATTCCCCATGGGGTCCCCAGGGGTAGCAGCAGGGCAGTCATGTCTTGGGGAAGCCCAGGGCTGAGGCAGCGGGCTGGGGGCTGGGGCAGCAGGCACACCCTTGGAAGCTCTAATTCCACCTTTGTCTCTGCAGGTTACTCAACTCCAACAAGTTTACACTGATTGGAGACAACGCCTTCACAGGACTGTCGCACCTGCAGTATCTGTGTGTGGGAGGGAAAGGGGCAATGGGAAAGCAGAAGGGAGGGGGACCCCAGGCCTGGGAGGCCGAGGGACTGGGTAGGGAGTGGATGAGAATGCCGCAGGAAGGGAAGGTGATGGGAGGCGAGAGCCCTTGCATCCCGTGATGGCAGGACCTGAGCAGAAGGTCGTTTCATTCATTTTGCCTCTACCCTACCTGATGCTCTATCTCTATGGCTTGGTGATGCCAGACTCCATTTGGAAACCTGTCTCGGGGACACGGGCTGAAATCTAGGCTGGGGCGTAGGGCGAGTGCTGCTGGGGGTCTGGCATCCTGTGTGAGCACTGAGGCAAGTTCCCGCTTTCCCCAGCTTCATTGAGAACAATGACATCTGGGCACTATCCAAGTTCACCTTCCGAGGACTCAAGTCCTTGACTCACCTGTGAGTACGTCACACATACACACACTGCACCAAAGCCCCACCTCTCCTGTGGCCTTTGGCCTTGCTCATGATCTTCAGATGACCTGGCGGTCTCTTTTGCAGCTCGCTGGCCAACAATAACCTGCAGACACTGCCCAGAGACATCTTCCGGCCCCTGGACATCCTGAATGACTTGTAAGGCCTGAGTCCTGCCTCTTCCAACAGTGCCGCAGAGGGCGCATCCCTGGAGGGAGTGGTGTGGGAGTCAGAATTGGGATGGTCATAAGGTCTTGAGAGGCTGGGAAGGCTTGGGTGGGGGGACCCTGAGGAGGTGAGGAGGTGGAGTTAGATATAGATGGTAGCCTTCCAAATTGGAGTTTCTCTCAAAGTGCACCTGAGACACCATGTGTGTATGTTTTCAAAATGTGTGTGTGTGTTTTTTTTTTTTTTTAATTATAGACGGAGTCTCACTCTGTCACCCAGGCTGGAGTACAGTGGCACAATCTCGGCTCACTGCAACCTCCACCTCTCAGGTTCAAGCGATTCTTCCTCAGCCTCTGGAGTAGCTGGGACTAAGGGACTATAGGTGTGCGCCACCACGCCCGGCTAATTTTTTGTATTTTTAGTATAGACGGGGTTTCACCATGTTGGCCAGACTGGTCTCGAGCTCCTAACCTTGTGATCTGCCAACTTCAGCCTCCCAAAGTGCTGGGAGTACAGGTGTGAGCCACCGCGCTCAGCCAAAAATGTGCTGAGCCACCGTGCTCAGCCAAAAAAAGGCTGGGTGTGGTGGCTCACGCCTGTAATCCCAGCACTTTGGGAGGCCAAGGAGGGCGAATCACCTGAGGTCAGGAGTTCCAGACCAGCCTGGCCAACATGGTGAAACGCCGTCTGTACTAAAAATACAATAATTATCTGGGTGTGGTGGCGGGCGCCTGTAATCCTGGCTACTTGGAAGGTTGAGGCAGGAGAATCACTTCAACCTGGGAGGCAGAGGTTGCAGTAAGCCAAGATCATGCCATTGCACTCCAGCCTGGGCGACAAGAGCAAAACTCAGTCTCAAAATATTAAAAAAAAAAAAAAAAAAGTACTTTAAAAAATTTTTTTTTTTTTTAGACAGAGTCTCGCTCTGTCACCCAGGCTGAAGTGCAGTGGTGCCATCTCAGGTCGCGGCAACCTCTGCCTCCCAGGTTCAAGCAATTCTCCTGCCTCAGCCTCCTGAGTAGCTGGGATTACAGGCATGCACCACCACACCTGGCTAATTTTATATTTTTAATAGAGATGGGGTTTCTCCATGTTGGTCAGGCTGGTCTTGAACTCCCGACCTCAGTTGATCCACTCGCCTCTGCCTCCCAAAGTGCTGAGATTACAGGCCTGAGCCACTGTGCGCGGCCAACATGTGCTTTTTTTTTTTTTTTTTTTGAGACGGAGTCTCACTCTGTTGCCCAGGCTGGAGTGCAATGGCGTGATCTCCGCTCACTGCAACCTCTGCCTCCCGGGTTCAAGCGATTCTCCTGCCTAAGCCTCCCAAGTGCTGGGACCACAGGTGTGCGCCACCATGCCTGGGTAATTTTTGTATTTTTAGTAGAGATGGGATTTCACCACGTTGCCCAGGCTGGTCTCAAACTCTTGACCTTGTGATCTGCCCACCTCAGCCTCCCAAAGTGTTGGGATTACAGGTGTGAGCCACCATGCCCAGCCTGTGCTTTTTAAATGTATGTTTGATTGGACTCTACATTAAAGTCCAATCAGCGGGAGGGGATTTTGAAAGTTTCGAGTAAGGAATATATAGCATATAGTAGTATATAGCAGAGCCACACTCATTTATTGTTATTTATAAGAAAATAAAAGCCTTGGATTGTGGGAGGCTTAGAGGAGCAGGGATGCAACATACAGCTGTGCAGGATGCACACTGCAAAAGCCAACCTAGCCAAAGAAGTCAGCAAGGACTGAAACTGATTCCATACTCTGCTGGCCAAGCCTGTGTCTGTGGGGCTACATCCAGCCAGAGGGAAACTTTTCTCTAATCTTACAAAGATGCATGTGAGCAACTTGCAGCAGCCTTGACCAGCTCTATTTCTGAAAACCTGGAGGGCCTGGGTAGGCAGAGCCCTGAGAGCATGTCTTTCTCTGTGCCCCCCTCCTCTGCCCTCATGATGCAGGGACCTGCGGGGCAACTCACTCAACTGTGACTGCAAGGTGAAGTGGTTGGTGGAGTGGCTGGCACACACCAACACCACGGTGGCACCCATCTACTGCGCCAGCCCGCCCCGCTTCCAGGAGCACAAGGTGCAGGACCTGCCGCTGCGGGAGTTCGATTGCATCACCACAGGTAGGAGGTGCCCCTGCCTTGGGTGTCAGTCCACGCCTACCCCAAGGCAGCTTTACAGACACGAAACCCCCCACCCTGCCCCACAACACCCAGCGGCAGCAGTAAAGCAACCACCATCACCCAAGCAGCCCTTCCCTTCTCCCTCTGGTCTTCAGTAACGCACCTCTCATCTTGCAGATTTTGTGTTGTACCAGACCCTGGCCTTCCCAGCAGTGTCGGCTGAGCCCTTCCTCTACTCCAGTGACCTCTATTTGGCTCTGGCCCAGCCAGGAGTCAGTGCCTGCACCATCCTGAAGTGGGACTATGTTGAGCGGCAGCTTCGAGACTATGATAGAATCCCAGGTACCTGCGCCCAATCTGGTTCTGCTGGCCCTTGCTAGGGGGAGGGGGGAGTGGGCTCCATCGTTCAACCCCATTGAGTTCCTGTAGGTAGAGGGATAGATGAGACATACCCTCTGCCCACAAGAACTTTCCAGTCTTTGGGAAGAGGCCAATGTATACACCGATAACATCCATATGATAGGCAGGTGTTAAGAGGGAGATATGAACATGATGCTCTAGCAGCACAAAGGACAAGCCTACCCTGGGCAATCAGGGAAGGCTTCCTGGTGGAGGGGGGATACCCAAGCTGAGTCTTGAAGAATAGAGGAAAGGGAGAACTCAGAGGTGATCCCCAGGTTTCTGGCTTACGTAATTAGATGGACCGGGAAATGAGGAGGAGACAGGAGTGACTGTTGAGCAGTTTTGGATCTACTGAGTTTGATCTGAGTCTTGAAAGCTGAAGGAGACTTAGCTAGGAGCAAAAAAGTGGAAAGAGTGTTTTGGCAGAGGGAACAGCATGAACGAAGTCAAGGAGGTGTGCAGTAACTTAGTATGTGAGTGTGTATATGTGTGCAAATCATAAGCAGCTTGTATGAAAAGGGATAAGGTTCAAGGTGGGGAGTGGCAACGAGATATTGATGAGTACCAGGTCATTGACAGGGTTTAAGCAGAATGTGTGATCCAGTCTGCATTTTAGAAAGCTTCTTGCATGGAAAAAGGCTAGGTGTGGGGCCATACATGAGGGCAGAACAGTAGGGGGATATGTGCCTGTCTGCTAGAGGGGTGCTGGAGCCTGGACACGAGACAGTAGCAGTGGGGATGGAGGGAGATATTTAGAAAGGAGGGTTAAACCGCCAGGTGCGGTGGCTCACGCCTGTAATCCCAGCACTTTGGGAGGCCGAGGCGGGTGGATCACGAGGTCAGGAGATTGAGACCATCCTGGCTAACACGGTGAAACCCTGTCTCTACTAAAAATACAAAAAATTAGCTGGGCGTGGTGGCAGGTGCCTGTAGTCCCAGCTACTCGGGAGGTTGAGGCAGGAGAATGTCATGAACCTGGGAGGCAGAGCTTGCAGCGAGCCAAGATCACACCACTGCGGTCCAGCCTGGGTGACAGAGCGAGACTCCATCTCAAAAAAAAAAAAAAAAAAAAAAAAATAGAAGGCTTAAACTGACACAAGATGAAATAGAAAACTTACATTGCCCTGTCTCCATTAAGGAACTTGAAGTCAGTATTAAAGAAAAAAACAAAAACAAAAACAAAACACCTTCTCCTAAAAAAACCTCCTGGCCCAGAGTGTTTCCCTGGTGAATGCTATCAAACATTTAAGGAGGAACTAACACCAATCTACATACACACTATTAGAAAGTAGAAGGGAAGGTTGTTGGGACTTGGGGACTGATCAGGGAAGGGTGAGTGGAGGAGACAAAGGTGTTAGGGATGACTGCCAGGTTTCTGGATTGGGAGACTAGTGGAGCCACAGCTGAAATCAAGAACAGAGGAGGAGCAGGGCAGGCTCAGCGATGGGTATGGAGCTGAATTGTGAGTTGTGAGTCCTGACTGAGTTTTAGGTGCTTGTGTGGGTGTGTGGGCCAGGAGAGTCTGAGGGAAGATCAGGAGCTGGGGTGTGGCATGGGGGTCATTAGCATCTGGGCAGGGCAGACCAAACCCCAAAGAAGGTATTTAGGCAGTGACTGCCAGAGCCTGAGGCTCTGCATAAATTTCTCTTGGGGGAAAGGTGGGGTCATAGTGAGAAGGAAAGAGGGGTGAACTGGGGATGTCAAAGTGGAGATGCCGGGCAGCAGCTGAAGACCCTGGGACAGGTGAGCAGTGTATGGTTTCATGTGCTTGGTGCCCGAGAAGGGCTCCAATGAAGCTGATTGTGAGTATAGGTGCACATGGGCATGCATTCTTGTATATAAAAGCCCTTTCAAAAGTGAGAACTCTTGGGAGGATGTGTTTTCATGCACTGTGATGCAAACAGCAAGGTGTCTTGGGTATACCTAAGATTTCTCTCCCCGCTGTGGATCCACTCAAATTCTCCCTCCCTTCCCTGCCTTGCCACTGCCAGTGGGGTAGCTTTGGGCAAGTCACTTGCTCTCTCTGAGCCTCAGTTTCTTTCTGTGTGAAATGGACAAAATCACAGGGTCCTTTCCAGCGTGATGAATTCCTCATCGATGTAACATGTGCTTACATTCAGCACAGTGACTGCACGCAATAAAAATTCAATTACTGACATTATGGTTAAGCAACGAGTCACTATCGAGGGACACTTATTTTGTGCTATGTCAGCTTATATTTGAACCCTAGGGTTATGGGTGGAACAAGGGTGATATTAAAACTGGTTATTAGCTGTGAAACAACTGGAAAGCATTGAGCGCTTAGTGGATGAACTTCAGTGTGGGTGGAATGGTATAGCGCAGAGTCTTAGTCCTGGCCCAAGTTTGGAAGGGACTGGCCTTCTCCAAGGGGGTTGGATGGAGTGGGAGCCGCCGGCCTGCCTGATGCTGTCTGCCTCTGTCCTGGCACAGCCCCCTCTGCAGTGCACTGCAAGCCGATGGTGGTGGACAGCCAGCTGTACGTGGTCGTGGCCCAGCTGTTTGGCGGCTCTTACATTTACCACTGGGATCCCAACACCACGCGCTTCACCAGGCTGCAAGACATTGACCCGCAGCGCGTGCGCAAGCCTAACGACCTAGAAGCCTTCCGCATCGACGGTGACTGGTACTTTGCCGTGGCTGACAGCTCCAAGGCAGGCGCCACCAGCCTCTACCGCTGGCACCAGAATGGCTTCTACTCCCACCAGGCACTGCACCCCTGGCACCGTGACACCGACCTGGAGTTTGTGGACGGCGAGGGCAAGCCACGGCTGATTGTGTCCAGCAGCTCCCAGGCACCCGTCATCTATCAGTGGAGTCGCACCCAGAAGCAGTTTGTGGCCCAGGGTGAGGTGACCCAGGTGCCTGATGCCCAAGCTGTGAAACACTTTCGTGCCGGCCGCGACAGCTACCTGTGCCTCAGCCGCTACATTGGCGACTCCAAGATCCTGCGCTGGGAGGGTACCCGCTTCTCGGAGGTGCAGGCCCTGCCCTCCCGGGGCTCGCTGGCCCTGCAGCCCTTCCTTGTGGGTGGCCGCCGCTACCTGGCACTGGGCAGTGATTTCTCCTTCACCCAGATCTACCAGTGGGATGAGGGACGACAGAAGTTTGTACGGTTCCAGGAGCTGGCTGTGCAGGCTCCTCGGGCCTTCTGCTACATGCCTGCTGGGGACGCCCAGCTACTCCTGGCCCCCAGCTTCAAGGGACAGACGCTGGTGTATAGACACATTGTGGTGGATCTCAGTGCCTAGGGGGTGCCGAGGCCTCTGGTCTCCTCAGGGTGGCCACTGGAGGATGGGTGGGGGCCTCTGTGAGCACCACGTATGCCTGTGTGAAGACAAGCGACCAACCTGCATTCATGCCCTTGTATCCGCACACGCCCAGTGTGTACAGGCGCACCCCGTGGACTGGCCCAGGAGGACGTGCATCATCACTGCAATCAGCATGAACACCAGGCACCCCTGGGACACCTAACGCCCAGTTCCCGTGACCCCAACTGCAGGCCCCCCCTACTCTGCAGCCTTTCCCATGCTCTGCCCCCTGTCTCATGCACGAGTGGTGCGGGGTGCTGGGAGCGAGGGGGGCCGCATCCTCCTGTCCTTGTGCTTCTCCTTCTGCCCCTCTGGTCTTTCCTGTTGGTGCTCCAGGCATTGTTTACCTGCTCTTGCTCCCCGCTGTAGCCCACAGCCATATCTGTCATGCTTCCCCGGGGCCACTCACCCCTGCCCCACCCCGTCTGCATGCTCACATGGACGCGGACGGACACACTCATTACACACTCACACGCCCCGACTGCACCCGGTGTCCATCTATAAACATGTCAGGGCACGTGTGCATACAAGCAGATTCAGCACTGCCTACCAGGCTCTCCTGTTACCTTGCCTCTCTGCTTGGAGGGGGCCCCCTCTGCTCACCCCCAGCGTGCCCCCCCCGGAACTGATAAGGATGAGAATGGTGGTGCCAGCTTCTGAGGGCCTGCTTGGCCTCCTGGGGGCAAAGCCCCTCTGCCCGAAGCAATAACAACAGCAGCAGAAGCAATCCCGGGGAGCTGCCAGGGGTGTCTGTCTCTGTTCTCCTTGGCGTTTCCTTCATGGCCGTGAATCCCAGCTCACCCATGGACAGAAGACCTCCCCTCATCTGAAAGCCTTTCTGCCTTCCTTCCTGTAGCTGTCGCTTTCTCAGGCTTGGACTGTCCCCTGGTTCACCCTGTCTTTGGGATGTGGCCCTTGAGCTGGGCGGGCTCCTTGGGTGGATTAGAGAGCTGGCCGAGCTGCAAGCACCTGAGTTACCTGCGAGGGTGCCCAGAGTGGAGCTTGGCCTGAGGGCGTGTTGCAGCCCTGGCCCCACCAGTCCACAGAGGCCCCCAGGAGCACTGCCTTTCAGTGGACCGGGTGGGGCCTGGTGGGAGGGGCCCCACTAGCTGAGCTTCTGCTGCCCTCTGCTGTCTGCTGAGATGCCAGGCTAGTGGAGAGGGCACACCATGTGCCCAAATGGTGTGATGCTCCTTGTAGCAGGATACCAGGGTACTGGGGGGCAATGCTATGATTAACTTGCTTCAAATAAAAAGTTCCCGCCCCATAACCGGCTCTCAGGTGTCATCAAAATGTTTCATTGAAAACGGAGCCTGGCCCTGCCCTGCCGCCCACGGGAGGCCTGGCAATGGTTTCCAGACCTTCTTCCTCCCAGCTCCCTTCTTTCTGAGATGTGGGCATCCCCAAGGTCAGCTGGGGCTGGGGGCAGGAGTTCACAGGGATGACACTCAGGTGCTGGTGTGATGAGTCTCCAGCACCTGGGGCTGACTCACAGCTAGTGTTCCTTCCTGGAGATTATAGTCCAGGGACGCGCGAAGACTTGAGTCTTTCCTGCCGTCAGGTCAACTCCAACCAGCAAGGCTGAGGATGATCTCAGCAGTCCCTCTTCTTTTACCCCGATCCCCGTTCCTCCACTGGGGAAATGTCTGTCATTGCCGCCACATCCACCCAGATGAGGCCTTGGAGTCCTAGGTGACATCTGGATCTCTCTTCTCCCATATTTCATAAGCCACCAAGTTCTCTCCATTCTTTGTCCCAAAGGTTTGCTAGATGGGCACTTTTTTGTTTTGCTCTTTCCCAGCTCAAAGCTTTGTCCAAACACTCTTCATCGCCCATTGTCTTGGGTCCCTTGCCAGCCCCCACCAACCCGCTTCTCAGTCTGATTTTTTTTTTTTTTTTTGGAGATGGAGTTTCGCTCTTGTTGTCCAGGCTGGAGTGCAATGGCGCGATCTCGGCTCACCACAACCTCTGCCTCCCAGGTTCAAGCAATTCTCCTGCCTCAGCCTCCTGAGTAGCTGGGATTACAGTCATGCACCACCACACCTGGCTAATTTTGTATTTTTAATAGAGACGGGGTTTCTCCATGTTGGTCAGGCTGATCTTGAACTCCCGACCTCAGGTGATCTGCTGGCCTCAGCCTTCCAAAGTGCTGGGATTATAGGCGTGAGCCACTGAGCCTGGCTTTTTTTTTTTTTTTTTTTAAAGATGGAGTTTCTCTCTTGTAGCCCAGGCTGGAGTGAGGTGGCCCTGTCTTGGCTCACTACAATCTCCGCCTCCCAGGTTCAAGTGATTATCCTGCCTCAGCCTCTTGAGTAGCTGGGACTACAGGTGCCCACCACCACGCCTGGTTAATTTTTGTATTTTTAGGAGAGACGGGGTTTCACCATGTTGGCCAGGCTAGTCTCAAAGTCCCAACCTCAGGTGATCCGCCTGTCTCGGCCTCCCAAAGTGCTGGGATTACAGACGTGAGCCACCACGCTCAGCCATCGGTCTGATCTTTCTAACACACACTTTCCTCCTGTCCTCCCCTGCTCAGGAACCTGCCTTGGCTTCCTGCTCAACAAACCCATGAGCCTCTGCCCACCATGAAGGTTCCTGTGACCTGGTCCCACCGTACACACCCAAGCCCTGTGGGCAGTCAGGGTCCCTCAACATCTCTGTGAGTGGAGTCGAGAGAGTCTAAGACAGTCAGATGGGGGCCGGGTGGGGGACAGTGCTCAGGGTGTCAGTGCAAGTAATGGGGTCTCGGGGACAGCACACTGAATGGCAAAACAGGTGTTGTCAAGCTGTGGGGACCCCTTTTCTCCTCTTCCCCCATGGGCTTGAGTAAATGAAATCCTTTTGTGGCCTTGTGTGGGTTGGTGACAGTGTAAGGGACAGGGGATGGAAACGGGGGAAATGATAGATCCTTGGGCAGTGGTGCTTGCTGTGTGACCCTGGGCAGGTCAAATCCCTTCTCTGAGTCTCCAGGTTTTCATTTGTCCTCCAGAGCCCCTCTCAGCTCTCGCATATCACAAAAACCCTTCGTTTCTCTCTCTTCAGCGAGCACCTGTGAGCAGCTGTGCACAGAGGAGTGGGGTCTGGAGCCTGGATAACATGGGTGTGAATTCTGGCTCAGTCCCTTTCCATGGTGTGAGATTTCAAGCAAGTCAGCTGATTTCCCTGAGCTTCAATTTCTCCTTCTGTGAAGCAGATTTAAAAACCCCACTTCATGGGTTCCTGATTCTGCCAGCCGGGTGAAACCAGCTAGTAACATTCAGCCACGTTACTTAGCCTATTTGTGCCTCGGTTTTTCTTATTTATAAAATGAGTATAATCGTGATACCTACCTGACAGGGTTTGTTGTTTGTTTTTTCCAGCTTAGGCTGGAGTGCAGTAGTGCGATCTTGAGTCACTGCAACCTCAGCCTCCTAGGTTCAATTAATTCTCCTGCCTCAGCCTTCCAAGTAGCTGGGACTACAGGAGCACGCCCCCACCCCTGACTAATTTTCATATTTTTAGTAGAGATGGGTTTCACCATGTTCACCAGACTGGTCTCGAACTCCTGACCTCAATGATCTGCCGTCCTCGGCCTCCCAAAGTGTTGGGATTACTACAGGCATGAGCCACCGCATCCTACCCTGACAGGATTATTTCTCATGAGAGTGAAATGCATTAGTATATGTAAGTCCATTTGTATAGTGTGTCCAGCACATGATTATGATTTGCCTTGGTCTATGGGAATATATGAAAACAGAAGTGGCTCAGAGAGGGGTGTTTTGTGCAAGAGGAGGAGGTGGATCTTTGGAGAGAACTGTCTGTGGGTGATGGTTCCTCACCCATCCTCAGTCTTGGAGCCCCTGTGCCCCATATCTTACCTGCAGCCTCTGACCTGGCCTCCTCACCCCCAGCAATAGGTGACTTACCTGCTTTTCACCTCCTCAAATATGCTCTTAGCTTAGCAGGCACCTCCATCATTCTGGGGAGGCCTGTCCTTCTTTTCCAAATGGGAAACGGGCCCTTATCCTGTGCTTGGGAGAGGTTGCCAGGGAAAGTGGGTTGAGTCTCCCAGACACGCTGGCACTCTGCTGCCCAGTAGAAAGATAAATATCACTTTGACAGCTGCTGCCCCCAGGGGGGAGCTCTTCTGAGGGGTGGGAGGCACTTTCCTCCCTTGGCCCGAGTGCCTGGCTTTCTGTGTGTGCCTGCTGGGTCACTTGCCCTGGGGCTTGTCCACGTCCAGAGTGCTGCTTAGCAACCCAGTGGAATTGGGTGACTGTGTCAACAGCTCAGGACCAAAGGCTGCAAGAGGCAAGGTCTACTCACTCTGCCAAGACCAGGGATGGTGACACTCCTCAGCTGCCAGCCTCTTGCCCTCCGTGCTGAGCCTTGCTGTCAGCGCAGACCTCTGACATCTCTTCTCTGAGATTTCCCAAGCACAGGCATTGGGACCAGGAGTCTCCATACGGGAGACCATCCCAGCTGAATGAGCTTTGGGCGGGCCCAGGTAATGTTTCCCAGCAAATGGGGGTAGACAGAGGCCTGTGATGCTGAGGTCAGGTGCGTGGCCCCAGAAGGCAGCCAGCAGGGAAGGGACAGTTCTGCAGCACGCACCAAAGGACCCGAGGCTCACGTGTGCAGTGACCTCCTGAGTCATGGATGTCCCTTTCAGCTGCTCCCCTATTCAGTCACAGCTTTCCTCCTTCAGGGAGACCCAGGACACTTTTCACCTAGAGAACCATGTCTGTGCCTAAAGATGGACAGTGGCTGGGGCCTTCCTTAGGAGTTCCTCTAGCCCTTGGCCTTTTTGGTTACTCCAATGTGTGTGTGTAAGGGGGGACAGGTAAATGTGAGGGTTGGTTAAGAGAGGAGAGGGAGACATGGGGCCTCGGGGAAGTTTCTCCTGTGGGCTGGTTTCACTGCTGGCTCTCACACCCAGCAATACCAATAAAACTGATGACAGTAATTAAGACCATATAATCACCGTGTGTTTATTTATCCCCCAGAAGCCTCCTTTCCCTGGCCCCATGATTACCTATTCCATCCTTATGATAGCTGGTGGGGGTTAACTGTGGCTCCAATAAAAAGCAGTAACTGCCTGTGTTTCCACCCCACATGCCCGGACAGCTTTGCTCCCACCCTCTGCAAGGTGGGGGGACACTATTTTCAGAGGGAACAACAGAGGCAGTAAGCTGAAGATGTCAAAAAGAATGAAACCTCACAGGGCAAGTAGTAGAAGCAGCAACGTTTGCCTTCTTTTTTAGAGCCTTCCCCCTTCTTCCTGGCATCTGCCTCCCTCCCAGAGGAACTTATCCGGTTCCATGGCCCTCTGCAGGGCCACTCAGCCTGCAGCTGCTGATCTCTCAGAAGACTGATCAAGCCAAGCATGTAGCCACCAGCCAGCAATAAATACCACTGGGTGATACCAGGAAAGTTACTTTTCACCACTGAGCATCCTATTTCCTACATGGTTAAAAGAAGTTTGCAAAGACTAAGACCTTGCGTGCAAACGTGCATTACAAAATGGCAATGGTTGATACTACTATTAAGGGCCCAGGGTTATTTGTGTACTTGGCTCAGAGGAATAGGTGGAATTTCAAACTTCTGCTGAAGGAGTGTGGGAGCTGAGAGCTCTACCCAGAATGCCTCAAATCATCGCGGTCAGCCTGCCCCGGAGTCAGGGATCTGGAAAGGCATCCCAGAGAGAAGGGAACCCCTGAAACCTGGTGGGGCAAAAAGTCCCTCAGGTTCCCTCTCCCCCCACACCTCCCCCCTTTCCCTCCTGGACCCACTGGTGTGAGACCCGGACTTGCTGGCGCTCAGCCAAGCTTCCTTCCAGCTCCTGACTGAGCCTGCAGAGGAGATCCTTCCCTCTACCCCACCAACCGCATCTCATGCCTTTACCCGGTTCACAGAGGGGAAAATGAGGCGAGAGGGAAAGACACCGGGAAAAGCCAGTGAAGGGTCGCTTAAACTCTGGAGTCCAGATTTTCTTTGTGTGCCGACCCCCGCACTCCCCCTGCTTTTTTGTTACAGCTTCCCACACGCTAATCTTTCCGATTGGGAAGGTGGCTCCACTGTGGGCCCCACGCGCGAGTCCCGCGGCACATCGCCCCTTTAAGGGGCCGGCCTCTCGCCTCCCTGACCTCGCCCCGCCCCCTCCGGGGCTACACTGCGCCTGCGTGGCAAGCCGGAGCCCTGGGGTTGGGCAGCACTCGGTTCCGTGCAACTTTCAAGTGAGTTGCGAACTCCGCCCTGTAGGCCGGTGCTGGTGGCCCGGCGCGCTGGAACCGCGGCGACCCGCTCCAGCGCGGGACCAGCAGCAAGGGCCGAGCGCCAGGTTCTCCGCGGCAGAAAGGGCGGGTGGGAGCTGTAACTGCCCCGGCCGCGGGGCGCGCCCGCTCCCAAGTCGGCTTCCTCCCCGCCGGGGCCGCTTTGCCTCGGGTCTCCCCATTCTCCAGGTCCCCTGAACTGCACAGTCGGAGGCCGTGGGCGGCGGGCTCTGCCTCCGCCGAGGGACAGCCGGATCGCCCCTCTGCTTCCCGCAACTGCCCTGATCACCCCCCGTCCCAGCCCTTGAGTGAACGTCCTTCTGAGCGGCTTCCTGGGGTCCTCCCCACGTCCCAAAGGCCGGCAAGATGGTGTCCTGGATGATCTGTCGCCTGGTGGTGTGAGTATGGCCGCCCTCAGACCTCCTCTACCCCGGGGTGCCGTCCCGCCCCTGTGGTGGAAGCTGTGGACGTCTAGTGGGAGGAGGAACTTTCTGAGCTCCACCCTCCAGCACTCCATGCAAGGGTTAACGGACCTGTGGGCTTGCACGCGGTGTCTGGGGCACCGCAGGCTACCCGCCCCACCAAGCCTCGTTGGCTGAGAACGACCCCTGCCGCACGCCACACACACTGCAAACAGATGCGTGGAGCCGAGGGCCACAGGCCTACCTTGCTGCCCCTTGGCAAACACAAGGTGATATGGCACGTTGTGGGCGGAGAATCCAGGTGCCTGCTTGCCATCTGAGCAGTCACATGACTCACCATCCTATTCCTCACCTTTGAGTATGCCAACATCTGGCTCACATAGCCCTATCTGCAACCCAGCAGTGTCAGGTCTGGTGACCCTGGGCCTGATTGCATGCCCATGGGAGGGGACAGTCTGGTGTTCTCACCCACTTCGTGGAGTGGCTGTCCTCTCACTCCATCATGCACCCATGGGCCACCGGTGCAGGCCTGGGCAGGCTTGGGATGTTTGTAAACAGCAGGGTGGGGAGGTGGCCTCCAGGGCTCTGACTCAGGCACGGGTTGTACAAGCCAAGCGAGAAAAACAGGGCGGGTACTGCCACCTTGCACCCCAGTGGGGGGAAATGGCCACTTGGCAAGGTGGGAGTGGGGCATGGTGCCCCTCACACTCCCCATGGCTGCTCTTCCAGGCTGGTGTTTGGGATGCTGTGTCCAGCTTATGCTTCCTATAAGGCTGTGAAGACCAAGAACATTCGTGAATATGTGAGCGTGGGGGTTTGGGTGTGTTTAATAGGACTTGGTGAGGTGGGGAGGGTCTCAGTTGGCCTCTCCCTCCTCCAGGGGCAAGGCTGTGTGGCACATCCTGAGTGGAGTGGGGAGGGAGAGAGAATGGGCCCTGTTCAAGAGGGTGTAGATAGAGGGCAGGCCATCGGGGTGCCTGTGGAAGATCTGGTGGGTGAAGCTTGTTGGAGGCGGGCATAGGAATGAGCAGCAGTTTCTCAGAGCTCCTGTCCAGCCATGTGTGGGGGAAAGCAGCTATGCAGCCGGACAGGCTCCCTGGAATCTCTGGGCTGGGCTGGCCTGGGTTGGGAGTTGGTGCTGCAGGCCCCATGCTGACCTCTGGGCGCTCACCCCACAGGTGCGGTGGATGATGTACTGGATTGTTTTTGCACTCTTCATGGCAGCAGAGATCGTTACAGACATTTTTATCTCCTGGTATGGACGCAGGGTCCGCAAGCCATGGGTCAGGGGTGGCCCCCCCAGCCCTGCTCCTTGGCTCACCCTGCCCCTTGTGCTGTGACAGGTTCCCTTTCTACTATGAGATCAAGATGGCCTTCGTGCTGTGGCTGCTCTCACCCTACACCAAGGGCGCCAGCCTGCTTTACCGCAAGTTTGTCCACCCGTCCCTGTCCCGCCATGAGAAGGTACCCCAGGGGGAAGCGGGAAGGGAGGCTTAGGGGTGGGTATGAGGGAAAGAGCCCTGGACCTGGGATTTAGGATGCTGGGGACACCGGGGTTCTATCCCAGTCCTGCTGCTATTGAGGGGCAGGACCTTGACAGGGCCCAGCCTACCTCATCTTCTGGGATAATCAGGTGGGGGTACACATGAATGACCTTTGAGGATGGAAATTGGTTTGGGGGTAGTGGTGGCGGCAGCTGGAGCATGGCCACTCATGGAGGTGTGAGCGGGTGGCAGCCCTGCTCTTGGTCTGTGTTTGTGGCCCGGATTTGTGGCTCTGGGCACCAGGTGGGGCTGGGCTGGGCTGGGTGGCGCCACAACCAGTGGCTTCTCAGAATCTGCAGAGGAAGAGGGACTCTGGCTGTCCACCTGAGCTCTCCTCCCCATTGGGTCCACAGGAGATCGACGCGTACATCGTGCAGGCCAAGGAGCGCAGCTACGAGACCGTGCTCAGCTTCGGGAAGCGGGGCCTCAACATTGCCGCCTCCGCTGCTGTGCAGGCTGCCACCAAGGTGCTCTGGGCCCCCAGCCCTCCAGCAGCCCCCATCCCACCCCTAAGGCCCTTTGGGCTCATTCAGCTCCTCTGCCAGGGAGCCCAGAGATGGCAGCCGGGGAGCAGGGGTGAGAAGGTGACGGGGGGGTATTGGCAGAAGCGTGGAGCTGGAGTCAGACCTTCCTTCCTGGCTCTGGCACTGAGCGTAAGCAGCGGCTCCTGCTCTCTGACTTTGGTTTCCTGTTGGTGCCACATTGGCGCGGGGCCAGAAGCTTGCTGAGCAGTTTTCACTTCTGCGTCTCAGCTCCGGTGATTAGCTGGTTGGCCAATATCCCTGGGCAGCCTCCCCGCTGAAGCCTCTTCCCCCTCGCAGAGTCAGGGGGCGCTGGCCGGCAGGCTGCGGAGCTTCTCCATGCAGGACCTGCGCTCCATCTCTGACGCACCTGCCCCTGCCTACCATGACCCCCTCTACCTGGAGGACCAGGTGTCCCACCGGAGGCCACCCATTGGTGAGCGGGCAGAGGGGCCCAGAGCCATGCCAGGAGGGATGGCTTCCTTCACTCACACCATGGCTTCCCCCAAGGCTCGAGGAAGGGCTGGCCTGGTCGCAGGCTTTCAGCTTCACCTCCTCCTCCACACAGGGTACCGGGCCGGGGGCCTGCAGGACAGCGACACCGAGGATGAGTGTTGGTCAGATACTGAGGCAGTCCCCCGGGCGCCAGCCCGGCCCCGAGAGAAGCCCCTAATCCGCAGCCAGAGCCTGCGTGTGGTCAAGAGGAAGCCACCGGTGCGGGAGGTCAGTGTGGGAGGACGACAGGAGGGAGGAGGGCTCTGCTGGCTGGTGCTCCCCACACCCTCATGCTGTGCCTCCCCTTTCCCCAGGGCACCTCGCGCTCCCTGAAGGTTCGGACGAGGAAAAAGACTGTGCCCTCAGACGTGGACAGCTAGGGTCTGCTGCATCTGCCCCCTTCTTACCTCGTGCCCTGCAGGGCTCCAGGGCTATTTGGAGGGACCTTGGGCTGCACATCTGGCCTGCCTGCACCAGCTGCCTGGGCCCCACCCTCCTGACTCCTGCTGATGGTTAAGGGCCGGGAGCAGATGCTGCCAAGGCCACATGCAGGGATGCACCCACAATGTACCAAAGCAGGCTGGGCCCAGGGTTCTATTTATTGCCTTGCTCTGCCCTCTCCCTTCCCCGGTTGTGGGACAAGAGCCCTCCCTGAACCCCTGCAACCCTCCCTGAACCCCTGCAAATGAAACCAAACGTCCACCTGGGTGTGTTCATTCCTTCCTGTCCTTCAAAGTACTTGATAGCCTTTCATAAGGCCTGGCACATGTGTCCTGGTTGTGTGTGTGTGTGTTGGTGAGTGAGGTCAGGTTTGCGAGTGTTTTGATAAATAAATACATAAAGGGGCTCTGTTTCTCCTGATTCTTACTCCCGTTGCTCGCCTCACACCCTTGAAATGGGACAGCCCAGTCCTAGCCTAGGTCTAAGGCTGAAGGAGCCCAGTCCTCTGGGGGAGACAGAACCATTGACAGAGAGTTGTGATGCAGCACATGGTTTCACGAAGGAGCTTTTGGGGAGTTTTGAGAGCACTGATGGGAAAGTGGGGACGAGTCCAGAGGACTGGTCAGAACCCGAAACTTCAGTTAGGCCTTGGCAGGAAGGTGCAGCTATAGAGAAACCAGTGGGAGCACAGGCAGGAGGGGCTTGGGGCAGCACGTTAGTCCCATAGGGAGGTCGAAGCTAGGCAGAGGAGACCTGGGGAGGAGTATCTCCTCCAGGAGCCTGGAAGAAGGAGCCCCCTGGGGCAGCTCTGGGGACATTAAGTTCTGTAAACAGTCAGGTACCCGCAGGGGCACCATTGCACCTCTGAGGAGTGGCCACGAGAGGGCAGCAGTGTCTGGGATCTGGGCTGCCCCCGGCTTCCAGGTCAAGGAGGGTGGGGTTGGGAGACTGGCCAGAGCCTCGCCCTGCTGGGCCTGGCGGAACTCAGTGGCCCTCCCTGCTGCTTGTGGTCACTGGTCCTTGGCCTGCCCCATCCAAGGAGTCTCTGCTCTCCTGAGACCAAGGCTGTTTGCCTGGCTGGCTCCACTCCAACTCCTCCGATCCCTGGGGCAACCGGGGTACCCAGCTCTGCCCTCTACTGCCCCGGTGCTGGTCTCACCATGATGCCCGGGGTGCGCCCCTCTGCCACTGCTGCACCTGCTCCTCCTCCCTGCTTTTGATTGATTAAGCAAAGAGGTGGGTGAGAGTGTGGGATGAGAAGAGGGGAAATGGGGTGGTAACCTGGAGTGGCCCCAGAGAGTGTGGATTAACTCTTGGTGTGGGGATTATCCAGGTTTTATTTGGGGGAGGCTCTTAATCTGCTGCGGTGATTTAGCTTCTCACGTATAGGGGCTCACTGGCGTCCAACATGGCCTGCCTTTGCATCGTGGGGTTGTCTTATCGCTTCATTAATTCATTCAAAAATGAATCTTTATTGAGCCTCGAGCAGGTACCAGACATGTTGCCAGACACTGCAGGGATGCAGGCAGTAGTAACGGCTGGCGCCCAGAGTGTGGCTGCCCACGCAGACGCTGCTCTAAGCCCCTGGCATATATTAATTTAATTCTCATAACGATCTTTGGGGGGTGGGTACACACTAGTCTTACAGTCTCCATTTTCCAAACAGGAAAACAGGCACAGAGAGGGCAAGTGATTTGCCCAAGGTCACATAGCTAGTACATAGCAGAAGGGCTTGGAATCAGGCAGTCTGGCTCCAGAGTCTGTGCACTTAATCACTAAGCAGTACCAGAGTGAAGGAGATGATTCCTGCCTGGGAGGCAAGGACATGGAGACTAACATGTATGGAATATTTGTTGTGTGCCTGACCTTGTGCTGGGCATTTTACAGAGATGATTTCCTTGAATCCTCCCAACAAGCCTGTCAAATAGGGACTATATCCATTTTTTAAAACAGGTTCTCACTGAATCACCCATGCTAGAATACAGTGGAATGATCATAGTACACTGCAGCCTCGAACTCCCGGACTTAAGGGATCCTCCCACCTCAGCCTCCTGAGTAGCTTGGACTGCGGGCACTCTCCATCACACCTGGCTAATTACCATATTTTTTTGGTAAAGACGGGGTCTCACTATGTTGCCCAAGCTGTTCTTGAATTCTGGGGCTCAAGTGATCCATCTGCCTTGAACTCTGAAAGTGCTGGGATTACAGGCATGAGCCACTGCACCCACAGGGCTATACCCATTTTACAGATGAAAAACCGAGGCTTGGAGAGCCACAACAACTTGTGTACCATTGTGCTGCTTGTGAGTCGGGGACCCTGACTCCTGATGCACCTCTGCCTGGGAGTTGCGTTGATAGAGGCGGGCTGGCAGGATCCATGTACCCAAACCAAGAGAACAAAACCAGAGGGGCGCCGGGCACAGTGGCTCACCCTTGTAATCCCAGCACTTTGGGAGGCTGAGGCGGATGGATCACCTGAGGTCAGGAGTTCGAGACCAGCTGGCCAACATGGTGAAAACCTGTCTCTACTAAAAAAAACAAAAATTAGCCGGGCATGGTGGCGCGTGCCTGTAATCCAAGCTACTTGGGAGGCTGAGGCACAAGAATCGCTTGAGCCCGGGAGGCAGATGTTGCAGTGAGCCGAGATTGCACCACTGCACTCTAGCCTGGGTGACATAGCAAGACTCCATCTCCAGAAAAAAAAAAAAAATAACAAACCCAGAAGGGCATATGATGAATGGCAAAACAAAACGGAGTAAAAGAAAACAAGAGTTGGGGAGAGGCCTGAAGTCGTGGGGTGGTGAGGGAGATTTCACTGGGGTGGGGGCTTCACTTGCCCTCCCTCCTAGGATGGGTGCTTGGAGGGGGCCACACGGCCACCCAGGCCCCTTGGCAGAGCTTGCGATGCCTTGTCCTCACCATCTCATCAGACTGTCTCATGGCTCCGTGTGGCCCTATGCGTGCTGGCCTCTGACATGCTCTTCCTCCACCATCCAACTCTGTCCCATTTCTACTTGCCCTTTGAACCCCACTGAGACATCACCTCCACTGGAAGCCCTCCGCAAGCACTCCCTCACCTCGGAGTGGTTTGCTGTCTGGACCACACCACCTCTGTTCTTGCACAGACTTCTGTTGTTGCCTTGAGCATGTGACCTTTTCTCCCCCACTGTGTTGTGACTTCATAAAGGACAGACGTATTTTACACACTGTTGTAGCTCAGCCTGGAACAAATGGTCTAACCGAAGTGAAATACTTTTGTAACTTCGCGACTGGGTGGTGAAGTCCTGATCTCATTCTCTGATCTCCTCCATGAAGTTCCCCTGACTTCCCCAGGGTGGGACTAGAAGCATCTTGTAATCATTCATGAACAAGCCCAACACCCCCAGCGCCCAGCACAGGGCCAATACCTAAGAAGCCTGGAGGAGTTTTGCTGGTGAAAGAACAAATGCGTGAAGTGACCATATGTTCTGGGTGGGGGAGGCCGGGCGGGTGGGATGGCCTCGTGATTTCTGCCTTTGTGCCCTGCATCGCCTGGGGCCCACCGCCAAGCCTTGAACATGCCAAGGCCCCTAGAACACGGGTTTGGTGAACGGCTGACTGCAGTTGTATGAATTCCAACACATGCTGGGGACAGAGGGGAAGGAGCCAGGAGAAGTCCAAATTCTGGGGCATTTCTGGGTGAGCACACATGGGACCCGGAGGCTCAGGGCACTGGTTGTCAACTGGGCTTCCCTGAGAGCCAGCCCTGCCTCTCTGAGAACCCCTGAGACCTCACCTTTGCCCAGCAGTTGCACACTTTGCCTCCAGTTGCACACTGGAGGGGGTTACTGTCTCACCCTCCACCCCCTCTGGCCTGGCCTCTCTTGGAAGAGGAGGCTGCATGCCAGCCTGCCTAAGCACCCCCAACCCTCTTCTCGCCACCAGACAGTGGGCCACGAGCAGGATCAGGGCTGGTGGGGACACAAAGCTGCCACAGCCAGTCCCCTTAGAGCTGCACACCTCTGCTGGGTCCTGGCCCCTGCCCCACTTGGTTTGTGCCCTGGTCTCACTCCTCACCTCCCCTGCAGCTTGTCTGCTTTTGAGGGGTTCCTGCATATCCACCCTGGTTTCTGGGTGCGGATCGCCCTCTGTTCTTGCCCCTCTCTTCTCTCTGCTCTCCACCCACAGCCATCCCTTGGCCCTTCCAGGTGGCTCCTCTCCCTCCCTGACTCTTCAGCCCCCATCACTGTCCCTCTAGGCCTGGGGCCCTCCGTGTCCTGGTCCCCTTCCCCGTCTCCAGCCTCCATGTGCGCCGCACGCACTGGCTGTATTTTTAGCTGTCACTGATTAGCCTCTAGTTCTGACACAGCCCTGGCCCAGGCTGGGTTGGGGCATCCTGGTTGGCACTGCCCTCCACCTTGAGGGGGTTAAGGAGGTGGCACTCAGCCTCTGGCTCCATCCTCTACCCAGCATCAGGGACCAGAGGTCTCAAGAGCTGGGTAGGGGGCAGACGCCTGGGCAGGAGGAGGATTCTCTGCTGCTGGAGAAGTCCTGGGGGCCACAGTTGGTGTTTCCGGGTAGGCACAAAGGTCTCAAGCCCAGGGCAGAGTGGAGCTGGCTTCCTCTCCCCGGTGGGTAGCTTGTGGGGGTAACCTGGAGGGGAGGGGAGGTGGGGGGAGGAGGAAGCGCACTGGGAGGTGCAGACTGAGAAGAGGAATTAGGTTAGGGATGTAGGTGGGTGGGCGGGAGGGGATGGCGGCATCTGCTTTGGAGCTTCCTCCGGGTTCCAAACGCATCCCCACACTTCCCTTCCCCTCCTCCCCACACCCTGCCCCCACCCCCGCGGGTCCCGGGAGAATTCGCCTGGTATTCCCCCTTCCCCATCCCCCACCAGGCGTTGCCACAGGGTGGGGGGTGGGGTGGGGGGAGGCCAGCCTCAGCTGTCTGAAGGATGGAGGGGCTGGGGAAGCAGGGCTAGGTGCCCAGACGGCCGCGTGTGTGGGAGGGGATGTCCTCAGATGCCCTCCACCCGGCAGTCCCCGCTCTGACGTGGGTGCCCCCCCTCTCCCCGCCCGGATTAGTGGCAGCTTGGCCTGACTCTCCGGGGCTCCTTCCCCCGCCCCCGCCTGCTGCCCTCCCCTGGGCCGGGGGCTGCTCCGCCCGGGGGGCACTGTGCTTGCCCAGGTAAGGGGCTCTGGGGATGGCATGAGGGCCGCCGGCTCGTGAGTGCTGCTGTGCCCGTCAGCACGAGCGTGTGTCAGCGAGTGAGTGTGTGTCAGTGAGCCAGGGGTCGGTGCGGGGCTGGGGCTTGGCCCCTGAATGGCTGGGGGTGCTGGTCAGCTTGCCTTTGTCCACAAGTCTGGCATTGTGTCCACGCGCCGTGTGGCTTTTCTTCTGTGTTTGTGTCTTTTGTGTGTCTCCTCAGCTCTGCTCCGTCTTCAGGCACAGAACAGCCGGCTACAAGGACTCTGTGGGCCTGTGGCATGGGCTCCAAAGCGGGATGGGGAGCTGGGCGAGGGTGGGGAAGGGGTCCTTCCTCCCATCCCGCGAGTCCCCACGAGCCCCTGGGCTTTTCAGGAGCCTGTCCCCAAGAGCCCTGCTACTCTAGTCCAGGGACCGTGGCCTGACAAAGCAGACATGGCAACTGGGGTTGGGGGGGATATCTGCCCCACTCCCCTGGGATAGTCCCCATCCCCTTTGGGGATGTCAGCGATAGGTCCTCAGGGTTCTGGACAGCGCAGGCTCCCATCTTGGCCTCTCCGAGGCCCCAAGCCGCAGGAATCTCCCCCTGGCACTCCCACAAGCTTCGGCTGCTGAGGAGGGAGCACAGAGAACACAGATGGGGGACCACAGACACACCCCAGCCCTTACCTTCACCCCTGGAGCCAGCCTGGGAGTGGGAGGCCGGGCCTCAGGGCCTGGGGCCTCCAGTCCATGTTAGACCCTCTACAAGCATCTCCCCTGGCACACTCAGGTCCCAGCCACCCTCAGGGGAGCTGGGGAGGAAGGGAGTGTTACTAACTCAGTCATGTAAACAACCCCTACCAGCCTGCCTTGCCACAGAACTGGCCTCTGGGGGCAGGCCAGGGGCAGGGTGAATGGATGCCAACATGGCCCAAGTCCGGCCCAGTGCCCGCTCCTTTAGACCCCCGCTCCCCAGGACCCCCACTCTTCTCAACCGGTAGAAGGCTCTAGGCCTTGCTCATCCCTTAGGAGGAAGGCTCCTGGCTATTCAGGGCTCCCCTCTGCAGGGATGGTGGTGTGACTTGGGACCAAGCTAGAGGCATCCAGAACCCATCGCTTGCAAGGGATGGGAAAGAGGGAGTGCAGCTTCTGTCCCAGGCAGGCCAAGGTTGGCTTCCGCAGGGAGGCAGGGGAGCCGAGGGTGGGAGGTGGGTGCCTGAGGGGAAGGGAAGCGCCCGTTGGGCGTGTGGGTTTCTGTGTGAGTCTGAATCTGTCTGTGTGTGTTTGAATCTGTCTGTTTGTGTCTGCACTGGAACCACCCCCGCAGCGGAGCCGGGATGCTTCCTCGGGTGGAGGGTGCCCTGCTTTTCCATTTCCTCTCCTCCTCTCTGCACTCTCCCGGGAGCCACTCCCATGGGCGCCTCTCCAGCCCCTGGCCTGGAAGCACCAGGAACCCTGGGGATGGGGCAGACCCTCACAGCCCGGGGTCTGGAGCCGGTGTCGGAGCTCATCTGGGCCCATGACCTCTCCAGACATTTGGCAAAATCAAGGCCCTTAGACCAGGGACAGACCCAAGCCCAGGCCCTCCCAGAGGTCCTAGGACGCAACCCTTTGTGCCCTTGGGCTCTGGAAGAGGTTTGGGAAGGGTTTGGGGTGGAAGATGGCAAAGAGCAGCTTGGCCAGGTGAGGATGAGGCAGGGCAGACACAGGCCAGTGGGGCGTGCCATGTGCCACAGATGGAGAGGACCAGGAGCCAGTGGCCCGGCAGGCACAGCCCGGTTGGCGTGGGCCAGAGCGCCCATCACTGACCCGTGAGAACTCGACTGCCCCTGCCAGCTCTGGCACTGCCCCCTCCCAGCCGCCCCGCCCTAGCACCCTGGGGGGCACCCCGCCCAACCGTGGCCTGGTCCGGCCCCTCCCGCCCTTTGCTCCAGTTCCCGGGCTTGGCACCTATAGTGGGGGTGCCGCCCGCCTGCCAGGCTCCGGGGCCGGGCCCACGGGAGGGTGGGGCGGCTGGGAAGCTGGCACGCTGCCCCGGGGGAGCCTCTCTCGGCAGGCGCCCGGGTGCCGCGGGGGGGAGGGGGAACAAAGGGCTCATTCTCCCCGTGCGCAGCCGGTGGCATCGCCGGGGCGTTGGCGGAAGCCCCCGGGGCCCGGGAGGGGGCAGGCCCAGGCGCGGCCGCCGAATCACGGGCTCCTGTTTCCCGCAGGGTGCTGGAGGAGGAAACCGGCGGAGCAGCTTCCCCACTCTCAGTTGCGCTTCTGGCGATGGCGATCAGAGGTCCTGCTGCGCTCTCCGCCGCGCTCTACCTCCATTAGCCGCGCTGCGCGGTGCTGCGCCCTCGCCGGTGCCTCTCTCCTGGGTCCCAGGATCGGCCCCCACCATCCAGGCACGACCCCCTTCCCCGGCCCCTCGGCCTTTCCCCCAACTCGGCCATCTCCGACCCGGGGCGCGTGTTCCCCCCGGCCCGGCGCCTTCTCTCCCTCCGGGGGCACCCGCTCCCTAGCCCCGGCCCGGCCCTCCCCGCGGCGCAGCACGGAGTCTCGGCGTCCCATGGCGCAACCTACGGCCTCGGCCCAGAAGCTGGTGCGGCCGATCCGCGCCGTGTGCCGCATCCTGCAGATCCCGGAGTCCGACCCCTCCAACCTGCGGCCCTAGAGCGCCCCCGCCGCCCCGGGGGAAGGAGAGCGCGAGCGCGCTGAGCAGACAGAGCGGGAGAACGCGTCCTCGCCCGCCGGCCGGGAGGCCCCGGAGCTGGCCCATGGGGAGCAGGCGCCCGGTGCCGGCCACGACGACCGCCACCGCCCGCGCCGCGACCGGCCGGTGAAGCCCAGGTAAGCGCCAGGAGCGCGCCGTCTGGGGACACTCGTGGCGGGGGATTTCTGAGCCGAGCCTGCGGTGCCCGTACGGAGCGTGTTCCCCGTGCCCCTGTGGGCTGGGCCACACATTCTGACACCTGAAAGTTAGGAAGCCCGACGCGGCCAGACCACGGCGGAGCGGTGGCTCCAGAAAACCTGGGCGCCCTCTGCCACTGCGCCGTCACCTCCCGCCTGGGGCTTCGTCGCTCTGGCCGAAGGGACCGCGCCAAGGCAGCGCTGCCGCTCTAGTGCCACCTGTCATCCTGGTCCCTTGCACGCACGTTCAATTTTCCCTCCCTTGCCTCTCTCTGGGGCCCAGCCCGCTTTCCCCGCCTCCTTCCCTCTCCCCTCCCCGCCAGGCTGAAGTTTCCAGCGGCGGTGGCGGCTGCCCTGGCACTGCTGGCTGGGCTAGGGCAGCTTGACCCATCCAGCTGAGGCTTCTTAATCCCCCTCCCCTGTGCCGGCGCGCTCTTCCCGCTGGGGGCCAGGGCGGGGTTCCTAGCCCCCTGCAGTTGTCCTGGGACTCTGCTTGAGAAGCCGAGAAACTGCAGGGCTCTGGGAAGAGGCTGACTCAGGGCCGCCCAGGTGTAGAGAGAGACACAGCCAGCGGCCCTGGCTGGCAGCGTTCCCCAGCGACTCCAGCCTGCCAGGCCTGCACTTCCCACGGCTACAAGCCTGGCTGGGGCTGTAGGCTAGGGTTGGGCTAGCAGCACCCCCAAAACCACGGATTGCAGGATGGGAAGAATCCTCTGAGCCGACCCAAGCCTCAAGGGCACACTGAGGCCCAGAGGAGTGACATGATTTGCCCAAGGCCATACAGCATAGGACAGAGTCAGGCTCAGGATCCAGCCTTTTTCTTCATTCAGTGCCTTCCACTTTCTGTCCTCCCTCATGGGTCGTGAGCAGATTCCTAGCTTGGTGAGGCCAGGACATGCCCTACTAGCAATGGCAGCCTCCGCTGAGGGGCACTGGCCCAGGTGGAATTTGGGGAAGGGGTAACATCCCCACACTGGAGGAGCAAGATGTGTCTGGCTGCATGTGGAGAGGCAGCATGGTGCCCAGTTGTGGGCTGGCACTTGCCTTACTGGTTTGAGCTGCCTCAGTGTTGCCAGGGCGGTGCCCACTCTGTGCCAGGCTGTAAGGTGCTTGGGACATGTGCCCCAGAAGCTCATGCTTTGATGGTTATGCTCCAGGGACCCCCCTCTGGGAGAGCCCCATGAGGGCAGGAGAGTGATGGAGAGTACGCCCAGCTTCCTGAAGGGCACCCCAACCTGGGAGAAGACGGCCCCAGAGAACGGCATCGTGAGACAGGAGCCCGGCAGCCCGCCTCGAGATGGACTGCACCATGGGCCGCTGTGCCTGGGAGAGCCTGCTCCCTTTTGGAGGGGCGTCCTGAGCACCCCAGACTCCTGGCTTCCCCCTGGCTTCCCCCAGGGCCCCAAGGACATGCTCCCACTTGTGGAGGGCGAGGGCCCCCAGAATGGGGAGAGGAAGGTCAACTGGCTGGGCAGCAAAGAGGGACTGCGCTGGAAGGAGGCCATGCTTACCCATCCGCTGGCATTCTGCGGGCCAGCGTGCCCACCTCGCTGTGGCCCCCTGATGCCTGAGCATAGTGGTGGCCATCTCAAGAGTGACCCTGTGGCCTTCCGGCCCTGGCACTGCCCTTTCCTTCTGGAGACCAAGATCCTGGAGCGAGCTCCCTTCTGGGTGCCCACCTGCTTGCCACCCTACCTAGTGTCTGGCCTGCCCCCAGAGCATCCATGTGACTGGCCCCTGACCCCGCACCCCTGGGTATACTCCGGGGGCCAGCCCAAAGTGCCCTCTGCCTTCAGCTTAGGCAGCAAGGTGAGTGCAGGGGCAGAGAGGGTACCTGTGGCTCTGGCCTAGCAAAGTTGCTCGGTGGTCCCCAAGATGCCCTTCCACTGTGATGAAAAGAGAAGGCAGCACCGAGGTAGAGGGGTCTATCAGCTTGGAGCTGTCCCAGGCCCCACAGTCAACCCCAAGCAAGCCCTACCCTGAGCAGCTCCATCTCTCTAGGCCTCCCCTGCCCTCGGGTCATTGCAGCCACTGACTCACCCATTGTCTGCCTAGGATAAGGTCCTGGGAACTGTGGCCTTGGAATGTGTGGCTTGTCCTGGGAGGAGATGGGTGGGCAGACAAGGGCCCTCTATCTGAGACTGGGATGTGCAGGGGACCCCATGGCCCATGTCTAGGGTACCTCCTCCATAGATGACTCCCACTCCCAGGGATGAGATGTTAAAACACTTAAAACTCAGTATGGCACAGGACACCAAATGGCCCAAACAGACCCCAGATGCCCTTTGGCTGTGCCAGGCATTCACTCTTTAGTTCTTAGACTTCCTTGTGGGGACGTCTGAGAAATCCTGGGGGAGGAGGTGGGGGTTGCCAGGACAGTGTCAGAGGCACTCCAGAGACCTAGGGCAGTGCTGTTTATTAATCAGAATGTGAGGGCTTCAGTATTCTCCCCTTCCTTCTTGCTTGTCAGTTCTGCCCATCCATTTAGGCATGGGGAGCCCAAGTCAGCTGAAGCGTAACACTTTCTCCCCTCTTTAGGGCTTTTACTACAAGGATCCGAGCATTCCCAGGTTGGCAAAGGAGCCCTTGGCAGCTGCGGAACCTGGGTTGTTTGGCTTAAACTCTGGTGGGCACCTGCAGAGAGCCGGGGAGGCCGAACGCCCTTCACTGCACCAGAGGGATGGAGAGATGGGAGCTGGCCGGCAGCAGAATCCTTGCCCGCTCTTCCTGGGGCAGCCAGACACTGTGCCCTGGACCTCCTGGCCCGCTTGTCCCCCAGGCCTTGTTCATACTCTTGGCAACGTCTGGGCTGGGCCAGGCGATGGGAACCTTGGGTACCAGCTGGGGCCACCAGCAACACCAAGGTGCCCCTCTCCTGAGCCGCCTGTCACCCAGCGGGGCTGCTGTTCATCCTACCCACCCACTAAAGGTGGGGGTCTTGGCCCTTGTGGGAAGTGCCAGGAGGGCCTGGAGGGGGGTGCCAGTGGAGCCAGCGAACCCAGCGAGGAAGTGAACAAGGCCTCTGGCCCCAGGGCCTGTCCCCCCAGCCACCACACCAAGCTGAAGAAGACATGGCTCACACGGCACTCGGAGCAGTTTGAATGTCCACGCGGCTGCCCTGAGGTCGAGGAGAGGCCGGTTGCTCGGCTCCGGGCCCTCAAAAGGGCAGGCAGCCCCGAGGTCCAGGGAGCAATGGGCAGTCCAGCCCCCAAGCGGCCACCGGACCCTTTTCCAGGCACTGCAGAACAGGGGGCTGGGGGTTGGCAGGAGGTGCGGGACACATCGATAGGGAACAAGGATGTGGACTCGGGACAGCATGATGAGCAGAAAGGTAAGGGGGCCAGGAGGGGCTGCAGGCCCTGCGTGGGAGGGGGCAGCCGGGGCTGGGGCTTCGCATGGGGCGGGGTCTGTAGGCTTTATGAGTGGACCACAACCAGTGGTCAGGCTCCCACCTGGATCACGAGGGCTCTCTGGGAGTTCCTCAGCATCTCCAGGCCAGAGCCTTCCAGCAAGTATCTTCTACCTCTGTCTCCTCCCAAGCCCTGGTGTGTTGGTGGCAGTATAATGACATAGTTCAGAGCATGGCTCTGGAGCCAGAGTGCCTCGTCCCTGACTTTGCTGATTGGTAGCTGTGTGACCTCGGATGAGTTGCTTCGCCTCTCTGGGCCTCAGTTACTTCATCTATAAAATGGGGAAGAAGACGGCACCTACCTCAGGAAGACTGCTGCAAAAGTTAAATGCTAGAATGATTCATAGCAAGGGCTTGGAAGAATTCCTGGCACCCAGTGAACACTCAGTAAATGTTCACCGTGATGACTGCGTGTGCCACAAATCCCTGTTTGGGGATTGCTTGTCCTGAAGGATCCCTTGTCCTGCGCCAGGAATGGCTGCTCTCTTGGCCAGGTGGAGCTGGAGACTCAGTTTGGACTCTGCCAGTGTTAGGGCTCTGGGCGCACCCTGGAGTCACTTGCTACACTGTGCCCTCCACGGAGGACCCTGGCACTGCCGGCTCCAGCCTTAGTTCTTTGGGATCACTTCGGTTTTTTCAGCTTCCTGGACGGCTGGGTGTGGATCAGCTCTCTCCGTGGCCTTGCCCAAATGCCCTGCACCTGGCATGGGCCTGTCTGTGCCCTCTGCCCAGGCCTCTGCCCTGGCTGGGAATTTGTTGGCCCCTTCGCCTTCTTGGGTTACTGCACCTGTGGCCTGTGTCGAAACTCTCTGGCCCTTCTCACCTTCCGGCGCCCTCCGTCCACGTTGGGATTGTCTCCTCATGTCACGCAGCCAGTGGTATCACTAAGCCCTCAGTGGAGCTATCCAAAGTCTACACTGGCTGGATCCTGCACTTGTGTCAGGACGATCGCCCCAGCTGCCCAAAGCCTTGGGCTCAACACACCAGACAACCTCTTCGCTCGGCTGCCGGTCCATGTCACGGCATCCTCAGACTCCCTGCTCAGCCTGGCGTGCGAGCCTTCCAGCTGCCTGGTCCACTCTTGCTGGTTCTGAATTAGGCTTCAGAGACCTGGGGCGAGGAACTGGGCTGGCTCTGAGTGTGGATGGGGTGGGCGCTAAGGTGAGGAATGGGGTTCTCAGCAGCCCAAGAAACCCAGATTCCTGACCTCTGCATTGTCCCCTCAGGACCCCAAGATGGCCAGGCCAGTCTCCAGGACCCGGGACTTCAGGACATACCATGCCTGGCTCTCCCTGCAAAACTGGCTCAATGCCAAAGTTGTGCCCAGGCAGCTGGAGAGGGAGGAGGGCACGCCTGCCACTCTCAGCAAGTGCGGAGGTGAGCCATTGCCCCTGGACACCTCCAGTGCCCCCTCGCCAGGGCTCCCTGCTCACCTCCCCCTGCCCTCTCTCCAGATCGCCTCTGGGAGGGGAGCTGCAGCAGGAGGAAGACACAGCCACCAACTCCAGCTCTGAGGAAGGCCCAGGGTCCGGCCCTGACAGCCGGCTCAGCACAGGCCTCGCCAAGCACCTGCTCAGTGGTTTGGGGGACCGACTGTGCCGCCTGCTGCGGAGGGAGCGGGAGGCCCTGGCTTGGGCCCAGCGGGAAGGTGAACAGGACCTCCTGGGTCTGCGTGGGGTCTCTGTGTGGGGAGCCCCAGGTGTCCCTCCCCTGACCCCACCCACACTGCCAGCTCCTAGACCTAAGGCAACCTCAGAAGAGCCCCTGGCCTGGGTGGGGACATCAGGAAGGTGTCAAACTGGGTACAGCCCAGTTCTCTGGGAGTTTTTGGGCTTGTTGGGAAAACAAGAATGAGTGCCAAGTATCTGCAAGGCACTGGGAGGTGGGGGAGCTCCTGAGGGCTTGGGGGTCAGGCGAAGCTCCCGGGCCTGGAGGGCTGACAGGACCTGGGCTAAGGTCCCCTCTGGCTGCAGGTGCTCCCTTCGGTCGCCCTTCCGCAGCACAGAGAGTTCCTCATGACCAAAGGCTGCTGGTCAGTCTTTGGGTGGAGACCCCCGGGGCTCCCTCTTGCCCCAGACAGGCCAGGCCCCTTGGTGCATCTTCAGCAGGCTCCCTGTCAGCTCCTGCCACTCCCAGCCTGGGTTCCCAGCACACACGCCATCCATCCTTCCCTTCCCGGCTCCCTGGAGCTTGTCATCCCCTCGGGCCTTGGCACTGGCTGTCCCTGTGTCTGGAATGCCCTGCTCCTCCCTTTCTACCTGGTGAATGAAAACTTACTCATCCTCTGGGGCCCACTTGGGAAGCTCTCCCGCATTCCCATCCTCACCCTTCCCTGGCATTTTCCATCTCCAGCACCCGCCTCGTGGTGCCACAGTCATCGCTGTATTTATGGGTCCATCTCCCTACCTGGAATGTGTGCACTGCGAGGCAGGGGCAAGTCCTAACCACCTCTGAGGCCCCTGCACCCAAAGGCAAGGCGTTCGTTGAATTGTACTCAGCGACACCTTTTCCACCTACCAACAATGGCTTAGTCTCATACTTGGTTCTTAGAAAACCCCACTCCTGGCTGGGCGCGGTGGCTCATGCCTGTAATCCCAGCACTTTGGGAGGCCGAGGTGGGAGGATCACTTGAGTCCAGGAGATGGAGGCTGCAGTGAGCTGTAATCACACCACTGTACTCCAGCCTAGATGACAGAGTGAGACCCTATCTCAAAACAACGACAACAAAGTCTCCTGGAGGAAATGGCACCTGAGCATGGTTACCACTTCTGGTAGCACCTAGGGCTTGGAGGGAAGGAGGTGGAGGAAAGAATGTGCTAGAAGTGGTGTGGATTAATAATTCAGGGCCAGTGGGGAAGTCCCTGGGGGCAGAGCTGGGTGTGGGGCAGGAATGGTGGAGCTGAGGCCTCCAATGTCCCTGGAAGGCTTTGCTGGAGAGGATAGTTTCTACAAGGAGGCTCTCGACAGGGCTGTGGAGTAAGCAGGGGGTAGCTGTCGAGGGGCCTGTCTCCCTTCCCTGGGGGGGCCCTCTCCATGGAAGCTGCTCCTTGCTTCTCCTGCCCCTCCTTGGATCCTTCCCACGTGAAGCCTTCCATTGGGGCCTGTTGCCTTCACCCTCTGACCCTGTTCTCTCCGTGGTCAGCAGGCCAAGGGCCAGCCGTGACAGAGGACAGCCCAGGCATTCCACGCTGCTGCAGCCGTTGCCACCATGGACTCTTCAACACCCACTGGCGATGTCCCCGCTGCAGCCACCGGCTGTGTGTGGCCTGTGGTCGTGTGGCAGGCACTGGGCGGGCCAGGGAGAAAGCAGGTAGGAGAGGGGCTGGGGGTGGGAGGGCGGGATGGAGCCCTCAGGGGGACTGCTGCAAGCCTGTGGTCATTCGTTGGCTGCCTCTCCCCAAAAAGCCCCCTACCCACTGCACAGCCCCAGCCTCAGCCACCATGGCTCAATGCCCTTAGAGCAGACTTCCCCTCTCTGCAGATCAGAGGACCATGCCTGCGTCCTTGACCACCCTTAAACAAAGGCGAGTGTGCCCACTCGGTGTCTCCCACTCTGTTCAGCTGGCACCTTTTAAAACCTGCTGTAACACTGTGAAGTGGGTATTACTGCTTTTGTTTTCCAGATAAGAAAAACTCAGAGGATAAGCGACTCGTCCAAGGTCACACAGTTAGTAACGTGTTGCAGCCAGGACTTAGACTCAGGTCTTCTGATTTCATCCTGTTCTTTTCATAGTTCTCAGCTTTCTTTCCCTTGGCTCAAGTTGGCCACGGGAGAGCTTGAAATTTCCCTGTGTTCCAGTAGGGATGACCAGAAAGAGCTCCAGGGTCAGACACGTTTTAGAACATTGTCTTCCACATGGTTAGCCTAAGGACCTGCAAAGCCTCTCAGCACGTTAAAGTCTGTAGCATTCTACAAGCAAAGAATGCTGTGTCTCTATGTGACCCAGGTTTCCCAGAAAGCACGAGTTTTGTGGACTATTGAGTCCCCTGGTTTAGGTATCATGTCCTGACCTTCTCTGACCTTAACCTGTGATTACCTTGATTTCTGGACCTGCAGCTTTTCCCTTCCTGCCCCACAGGCTTTCAGGAGCAGTCCGCGGAGGAGTGCACGCAGGAGGCCGGGCACGCTGCCTGTTCCCTGATGCTGACCCAGTTTGTCTCCAGCCAGGGTGAGCCATCTTGGAGGGGTGGGGCGTGCAGAGGTTGGGTCCTGAGGGAGACCAGCTTCCCGTCTGATTGTCCCTCCCCCCAGTGCCATGCCCTTCTGCTTGGCAAGGCCAAGCTGCCCGGGACTGCCTGTTGGTCTACACTCACCACCAACCTCCCTCTCCTGCCCACCCCCACCCCCAGCTTTGGCAGAGCTGAGCACTGCAATGCACCAGGTCTGGGTCAAGTTTGATATCCGGGGGCACTGCCCCTGCCAAGCTGATGCCCGGGTATGGGCCCCCGGGGATGCAGGCCAGCAGGTAAGACCCAGGGCATGTCACCGGTTGGGTATCGTGCCTGCAAATGGCTGACCTTTGCAGGGGTTTGGCCCCCCCTTTTCTTGGTGGGGATGAAGAGAGAGAAGCCTGTGGGATCAGGCTAATTCCCACCTTGGGGATCAGGAGCCATGCATGATCTCCAGCGCTGGCCCCTCCCACCTCCATGCCCTGGAGGTCCTCACCCCCTGCCTTCCTGGAGCATATCCACCCTACTCTGTGCATATTCTTGTTCAGCGCTTGCCACATCATGCTAGAGGTGCTTGTTGGTATGGCCAGGTCCCCAGGCCATGGTTCCTTCAGGTGGAGCGTTGGCCCGCCTTCTCAGTATCCCGGCACCTAACACCTAGCAGGCGCTCAATGTGCATTCTGCAAAGTTTTTTGAAGTTCATGTTCTTATTATAAAAGTCATCCATTCAAAATAAATAGTTCATTGAATGCATTTTGGGTTCCAGACACTGTGTTATATACCCATTGTGGAAAATTTGGAAAATACAGACAAGTATAAGGAAGAAAATGACGATGACCTTAATGCTACCATTAGTTTTGACATATTTATTTCCAGCCATTTGTCTATTTTAGTAGACTATAGACCCTATCATAGGTAGAAGTCCATGAGCAACTTTTTTCCACCTAATGTTATATCCTATGGCATTTTGCTCCTATAAACACGATTTTAGGACTGACAAGAGTCCATTGTTCATTCTTGTGGGTTCTGTTGAATTGTGTCTGCCATTTTAAAATCTCTGGTTGGATTGGGGGGGTGGTGGATGGGTTTAACAGAAGGAATCAACACAGAAAACGCCCCCAACTCCACAACCTTCCTGCAATGGCGACACCCACAGGACCAAGAGCATCAAAGAGGGTGAGCGGCTCCTCTTGCCCCTCGGCCTGTGCAAGAGGGAGGCTGGGCCAGAGTTTGAGGCAGGAGGGGACAGTCGCGGAAGTCTCCGGGGACTTTAGCAACTCCCCCCCACCCCCAATAATCTCCACTACTCCCCTCAGGACATGCCTCCAAACACCTTCTTTGGCCAGACCCCCCTCTGAACCCCTCTTTTTAGAGACTCTGGAGCTGCCTGCAGGAAAAGCAGTAGAGCGGGGAGACCCAGAGCAGAGCTGAGGTGGGGGATGCTGGCTGGGGAGAGTGGGCTCAGCCAGGAAGAGAGGGAAGAGCAGCATGGGCAAGAGGGCCTCGAGGGGAAGAGGAGGGACCAAACGCGAAGCCCCCCACCATCTTCCTCCCTGACAGAGACCCCCGATTCCGCTGAGACCCCAGCAGAGGACCGTGCTGGCCGAGGGCCCCTGCCTTGTCCTTCTCTCTGCGAACTGCTGGCTTCTACCGCGGTCAAACTCTGCTTGGGCCATGAGCGAATACACATGGCCTTCGCCCCCGTCACTCCGGCCCTGCCCAGTGTGAGTGAGGGCACGGAGGGAGGGCTAGGAGCCAGGGGACCAGAGGCTGGGCCTGCCCTCCCTGTGGGGCCCAGTGGGTCCTAAGCCCCTGTGCCCCTCTCTGCAGGATGACCGCATCACCAACATCCTGGACAGCATTATCGCACAGGTGGTGGAACGGAAGATCCAGGAGAAAGCCCTGGGGCCGGGGCTTCGAGCTGGCCCGGGTCTGCGCAAGGGCCTGGGCCTGCCCCTCTCTCCAGTGCGGCCCCGGCTGCCTCCCCCAGGGGCTTTGCTGTGGCTGCAGGAGCCCCAGCCTTGCCCTCGGCGTGGCTTCCACCTCTTCCAGGAGCACTGGAGGCAGGGCCAGGTGAGGCACCCCTCCCCTCCCCTCCCGGCCCTGGCCACCCCACCTGCCCCTCGGGGCCTTGGTCCCTAGGCCCAGACAGACCCAGTGGCTCAGGGGGAGCAGGAGGGCTGTCCCCGAGCTGTTCTACTGCCCTTACAACACGCCCTTGCCTGGCCATGGCGGGCACCCTGGCCATTCTCCTCATGGCCTCCTTCCTTTCCCACCACAGCCTGTGTTGGTGTCAGGGATCCAAAGGACATTGCAGGGCAACCTGTGGGGGACAGAAGCTCTTGGGGCACTTGGAGGCCAGGTGCAGGCGCTGAGCCCCCTCGGACCTCCCCAGCCCAGCAGCCTGGGCAGCACAACATTCTGGGAGGGCTTCTCCTGGCCTGAGCGTAAGTGTCCCCAACACAGGGGAGAGGGAGCTGGGAGCCCAAGCCCTAGGGATCGGGTGGCAGAGGAGTCCCAGGGTGACCCCGAGGGGCTGGAAGCAGGTGTTGCTGCCGCCGGGGCAGGGGCTTCAGGGCTGAGGAGGCCAATGGCCGTTCTGTCTCCTCCTGTAGTTCGCCCAAAGTCAGACGAGGGCTCTGTCCTCCTGCTGCACCGAGCTTTGGGGGATGAGGACACCAGCAGGTGTGTATGTCACCAAGGGCCAGCCCTACCTCCCCGCCACCGCAGGCCCCGCCTGGTTCAGCCCTCCCCTCCTCCTCTGCCCCCAACCCCCACCCCGTGGTCCCTGGTACTCTCATGTTTGCCCTCTGGGAGTTACCCCGGTGGTGGTGGGGCTTTGATGGGGTCTCTGGTGCCCAGGTTGGGCCTGCTGGGCATGACCCCCTACCCTGACAGGGTGGAGAACCTAGCTGCCAGTCTGCCACTTCCGGAGTACTGCGCCCTCCATGGAAAACTCAACCTGGCTTCCTACCTCCCACCGGGCCTTGCCCTGCGTCCACTGGAGCCCCAGCTCTGGGCAGCCTATGGTGAGTGTCCCTCCACTCCTGCCCAGTCTCTACTCCCATGCCTGTCTGCCTGTCATCTCGGGGCACACGAGCGTCTGTGCCAAGGCCCTGGGGCCTGAAGCGCTTCTCTGATTCCATTTCTTTCTTTCTTTTTTTTTTTTTTTGTTGTTGTTGAGACGGAGTTTTGCTCTTGTTGCCCAGGCTGGAGTGCAATGGCACTATCTCGGCTCACCGCAACCTCCGCCTCCCAGGTTCAAGCAATTCTCCTGCCTCAGCCTCCCGAGTAGCTGGGATTACAGGCATGCACCACCACGCCCGGCTAATTTTTTCTATTTTTAGTAGAGAGGGGGTTTCTCCATGTTGAGGCTGGTCTCAAACTCCTGACCTCAGGTGATCTGCCCGCCTGGGCCTCCCAAAGTGCCAGGATTACAGGCGTGAGCAACCGCGCCTGGCTCTCTGATTCCATTTCTAACTGTTCTTTCTCTATTGCCATGCAGGTGTGAGCCCGCACCGGGGACACCTGGGGACCAAGAACCTCTGTGTGGAGGTGGCCGACCTGGTCAGCATCCTGGTGCATGCCGACACACCACTGCCTGCCTGGCACCGGGCACAGAAAGGTAGGTCCTCGGCCAGAGGCAGGAGCGGGGACAAGCTACAGAGGTGAGTGTTTGTCGCCACCAGCCCTGGGCCTGCCTGAGCGCTCTTTCCTCCTCAGACTTCCTTTCAGGCCTGGACGGGGAGGGGCTCTGGTCTCCGGGCAGCCAGGTCAGCACTGTGTGGCACGTGTTCCGGGCACAGGACGCCCAGCGCATCCGCCGCTTTCTCCAGATGGTGAGGAGGCAGCCGGGAGCCCTCCCCTTCCCCCCGCCCAGCCCTAGAAGCTCGTCCAGTCCCACCCCAGTGTGCGGTCCCATGTGCTCGCTCCCTGCCCCACGCCCTCAGGTGAGCTGCACAGACCCAACTCGCACAGACAGGTGCAGAGAAGGCAGAGGGGACCCGGAGTTCTGCCGTGGGGCTCAGAGAAGGGGCAGGGGCTGCGGCAGGAGAGCCTGGACCCGATGATGAAATGAGAGCACCAGCTGCCCGAGGCTGGACGTGGTGCTAGGGCCTTAGGCACAATTATCTGTTACCCGTCTCAGCCCCCCGCCCCATGAGGCAGGCACTGCTCCTTTCCCATTGGCAGATGAGAACACCGAAGCTCAGTGGCAGGGCTGGGATCTGAGCTTCTGTCTGTCATGGCCCCAGGTCACTACTCTATGCTCTTCCTGGAGGCAGGCAGCCTCCTCTGCCTTCTGAGACTCCGTCCGGCTGCCCACCTTTTGGTATTTGCATCTTGTTAGGGGAGACTGCCTGGAGGAGATGCTCCCGGAGGGGCTAGCAAGGAAGGGGGCTGAGGGAAGTGGAGGGAGAGATGGGTCAGGTGAGGAGCCAGGGAAGGGGAAGGTGATGGGGTGGGCTGGAGGCAAGAAGCTTGAGGCGCAGGGGAGGAGAGAGTCCAGGGGTAAGGCGAGGGCAGCCCCGTGGTTCCCAAGTCCAGCTGAGCCCTCATTATCCTGGGGAAAAGACTTCCACCTAGTGTCACCCCTCGCCAAGGCACACACACACACGGAGACGTGCAGAGGCCAGCATGGTGTGCACCCCTCCTGCCCACAGGTACACACATGTGTAGATACACACACAGATGCTGGGACACGCAGAGGGGAGCAGACAAGCACACCTCCACACACAGATGGCCTCTTCTGGGCTGGGTGTGGCTGGCCGTGGGCAGTCACTACGGCCCAACCCAGTGACTCACGGGGCAGGGCTGAGGGGCACAGTCTCCCTGGGTGGCCTGGGAAACACTGCTCAGCTCCAGGATGGAGCTGAATCTCCAAGGGCAAAGGAATCTTGGCACCCAGCTGGGACTCCCCTAGGGTCCAATTTGCTTCACCAGCCTTCCCTTCCCCCACGCCCCATCTTGCAGCCCTAAGCCCAGGGGCAATGGCTGAGGTCCTTGCCAAAGGGGGTGGATTGGGCTGGTGGTGGGTTGGAGCACGATGCTGGCGTCCCCTTTGCACATGTTCCCTGGGCACCTCTGTCCTCTGCGAGTCCCTGCCTGCCCAGAGAGCTCCCTGCTCTGGTTAGGCTTGTGAGGTCCCCGTAGCTGTGGCTGCTGCAGAGGCCTCAGCCTGGCCGGAAAGCCTGTTCACCTGCTGGCACTCAGAGCCTCGCAGTGGTCCTTCCCTTTTCTGCATCCGGAATCTTAGGGAGACCCTGATGAACACTTTGAGTTGTCTCCCCAGGGACACACAGCTCTCTCCTCATCCACCACTTAGCACACAATTCTGGCCATTCCAAAGACTTCAGATGAAGAAGTCCTGGTAGACAGTTTATGAACTGGGATTATGCAGGACGTCTCCCTCGGATTTGCAGAAAGGGGTACCATTGAGAGAGGGAGGAGAGGGGCCGAGGTCACAGAGGCTGTTAAAGGCCTCCAGCCCCAGAAAAGCAGGGATTCAGTCTGCCCAACTGTAGGGCCTTGAATCCCTTCCTTCTAAGCTCCTTCCAGCCAAATGTGTGTTCTGCCAACCTGAGCTGCCCCAGCCCCAAACAAACTCAGCCATGCCCTCCCTGCCTGCCCTTCAAGACTTGACCCTTCGGCTCTTTTCTCCACCCCTGGCCTCTGGAAAGTCCATGCCCCATCCTCCTGCAGCCCTGCCCTTCCCTCCCCATCTCGCTCATTCCCCCTTCTCTTCTTTGAGGTGTGCCCGGCCGGGGCAGGCGCCCTGGAGCCTGGCGCCCCAGGCAGCTGCTACCTGGATGCAGGGCTGCGGCGGCGCCTGCGGGAGGAGTGGGGCGTGAGCTGCTGGACCCTGCTCCAGGCCCCCGGAGAGGCCGTGCTGGTGCCTGCAGGGGCTCCCCACCAGGTGCTTCCCAGCGGGCAGGGGCTCTGCGGGGAGATCAGGATGGCAGAAGCGACCCAATCAAGGCCGCAGGCATCCAACATCCCCTCAATACCCAAGAGCCGGGCAGGGCAGGGAGCCGCACGCTGCTGTGGGGAAGAGATAACGGGGGAGCCAAGAGGCCTTGAAGTCACTGAGCCCAACTGGGACTGGCGCCAGAGTCCACTCCTGGTCTCCTGGGCATGCTGATGTCAGGGGGCTCGCAGGGAGACTTTAGGGTCTCTCCAGCAGTTCTGAGTCCCGGTTTTGGCCACAGGCTTTGAGGTGTCCAGTGGTGCATCCAGGAATCTGCTCTCTGAGAGCCAGGGGTCGGGGGTGGTTGTCATTAGAGGAAGCGAACCTCAGGGACCAGGGGGACAGGGAGAGGATGTGTGATCTTGAGCCTCACTGTCCATGTCCCCCCGACACAGGTGCAGGGCCTGGTGAGCACAGTCAGCGTCACTCAGCACTTCCTCTCCCCTGAGACCTCTGCCCTCTCTGCTCAGCTCTGCCACCAGGGACCCAGCCTTCCCCCTGACTGCCACCTGCTTTATGCCCAGGTGAGTGGGATGTGGGCCAGCAGGCTGGGTGTGCTACCCAAGCCTCCCACCTCCCTGTGCCACAGCTGCAGTGGACATAGCAGATCCCACCCTGTGCCAAGCAGGCAGCCACCCTGTGCAGGGGCAGAGTATTCCTTTTGTTTAGTTTGTTTCATTTTGTTTTTTGAGATGGAGTCTTGTTCTGTCACCTAGGCTGGAGTGCAGTGGCACTATCTCAGCTCCCTGCAACCTCCGCCTCCTGGGTTCAAGTGATTCTCCTGCCTCAGCCTCCCAAGTAGCTGGGACTACAGGCGCCCACCACCATGCCTGGTTAAATTTTTTTGGGATTTTTAGTAGACGTGGGGTTTCACCATGTTGGCCAGACCGGTCTTGAACTCCTGACCTCAAATGATCCACCTACCTTGGCCTCCCAAAGTGCTGGGATTACAGGTGTGAGCCACCGCATCTGGCCAGAGTATTCCTTTTAAGTAGGGTGGGGGACAGCGGGTGGGCCCAGGAATGTAGTTGAAAATGCTTTGTCCTCTCTCTTTTTCCTAGATGGACTGGGCTGTGTTCCAAGCAGTGAAGGTGGCCGTGGGGACATTACAGGAGGCCAAATAGAGGGATGCTAGGTGTCTGGGATCGGGGTGGGGACAGGTAGACCAGGTGCTCAGCCCAGGCACAACTTCAGCAGGGGATGGCGCTAGGGGACTTGGGGATTTCTGGTCAACCCCACAAGCACCACTCTGGGCACAAGCAGGGCACTCTGTTCCCCTCCCCCTTAAGCCAACAACCACAGTGCCACCAAGCTCACACCTGTCCTTCTCAGGCTGGCATCTCCCCCACCCTGTGCCCCTTTTCATGGTACCAGGCCCGCACTGGGGGCAATTGACTTCCTCCAATCCCCACTCCTCCGAGACCCAGGAGACAAACAGCCCTTCCTTGGGGAAACTTGGGAATCATTCTGGCTTAAACAACACCTCCTCCTGCTGCTCACTCCCGCTGAGCCCACTCTACTGCCCCAGCTCCGTTTCTACCACCGCATCCTCACTGGGCTCACTGCAGGCATGCTGAACAAGGGGCCTCCAACCTTCTGCCCTCCTGCCAAAAGATCTGGGGAGTGTGAGGAGAGGGTGGCATCAGGAGCTGCTCAGGCTTGGCGGAGGGAGCGGCATGGGCGATGTCACTCAGCCCCTTCCCGGTCCGCCCGCTTCCCTCCTTCATGATTTCCATTAAAGTCTGTTGTTTTGTGACTGCTGCCAGTGTGGTTGGCCCTGCCCCTGCAGGCCACATGGTCCAGGGAGGGAGGGGGACATGGAAATCTGCCTTAGAGACAAATGGAGTAGGGCAGCCCGGAGCTGGGGCCCAAGGGACAGGACACCACTGCCTGCTCTTCGTCTGGGGCCTGGGGCCTTGCCTCCCACTGAGGAGACTTTGGGTGGGGTGGGGGGCTGTCCCCCAAAGATGCTCCTGAGTGCAAGAGCAGGCAAGGCAGAGTCCTGGGGCACAGCCACGAGGTGACCTCCCTGTGCAGAGACTCCCGAGCCCTACTCCACCCAGCAAGCTCCAGTCCGCCCCATCTCTCCCGTCTACCCTGACCTGGAGATCCAGAAGTATGGCCCAGAAGAGCCCTTGCCCCGCCTGTCTGCCCTTGGTGGCAGTGGCCATGGCCGACGCCAGGCCCAGCCACCCTGGGACTGAGCCTGACTGCTTCAGACAGCCGACCCCTCCTTGTCCCCGCTCCACGCCCGCAGCCTCCTGGTGGCGCTCCGCCCTCTCCCGCTTCCTTTGTGTATCTCAGCCCTACAAAGAAAAACACTCCCACTCTTGTCATACCTAATTGTTCCTGCTGTGGTTTGGGGAATTTTTTTTATTAAATAAAGTTTTTTATTATAAGGGTAATATACTTTCAGAACATTCAGAAAATAAGAAAGTCACCTTCTAGCCCATCATTACACACCTCCAACTACTATGAGTATTTTGGCATATTCCCTCCCAGTGCTTTCCCCAAGGATTTGCTGTGCACATAGCTGGATTGCTGTGTTTTGTCCTTGGTTTCTTTCTTTCGACACCATATCATAATCATTTTCTGTGTTGCTACCTAATCTTCATTTTAAATGACTGCTTATATTCCATTAAGTGGCTTTGCCATGATTTACAAAACTATGCTTTATTTAAAAAAAAAAATGTAGGGCTTCTTTCATTGTTTGGAGAACTCAGTTATTTTCATTTTTTTATGGGATAAAGAGGAGAAAAGAAAAGAAAAAACTGAGAACTCTACAGTTTACTTTGCTTTTGTTTTCATTTAATTTATCTCATCTGGCCAGGCGACGTGGTTCACGCCTGTAATCCTAGCACTTGGGGAGGCAGAGGCGGGTGGATCACTTGAGGTCAGGAGTTCAAGACCAGCCTGGCCAATATGGTGAAACCCTGTCTCTACTAAAATACCAAAAAAAAAAAAAAAAAAAAAAAAAAAAATTAGCTGGGCATGGTGGCAGGCGCCTGTAATCCCAGCTACACGGGAGGCTGAGGCAGAAGAATCGCTTGAACCTGGGAGGTGGAGATTGCAGTCAGCCGAAATCATGCCACTGCACTCCAGCCTGGGAGACAGAGCAAAACTCTGCCTCCAAAATAATAATAATAATAATAATAATAATAATAATAATAATAATTTATCTCATTTAATCCCTTTTATTAAAATGATCTCAGTTAATCCGTTATCAGGATTTTAAGACAGATAGGATTTATTTCCATTTTACAGAAGAAGAAACAGGCAAGCTACAATTAAGTAAATTACCCAAGGTCGCATAGCAATTTTAGTGGAAGAACTGGGATTTGAACCAAGTTTTCTGAGTCAAGACACCTTGTGTACATTATAGTCTTAACTCTTAGTGGAATTTAAAGACAGGCTTGCCCTCCTCTCTGTCCTTCTTCTTCCAATGTACGTGCTTTATAGCTGATCATGTTCCAAGTGGCCCCGAATGACCCATTCCTACCTACGTTTCATCTTTTGTTTGAGACAGGGTCTCACTCTGTCACCCAGGCTGGAATGCAGTGATGCAATCTCAGCTCACTGCAACCTCTGCCTCCCGGACTCACGCCATCCTCCCACCTCAGCCTCCTGAGTAGCTGGGACTACAGGTGCATGCCACCATGCCTAATTTTGGTAGTTTTTGTAGAGACAGGGTCTTGCCACACTGCCCAGGCTGGTCTCGAACTCCTGGGCTCAAGCAATGTGCCCACCTTGGCCTTCCAAAGTTCTGGGATTACAAGCGTGATCCACCATGCCCCACTTCATCTTCTGTAGCCATGTCCTGATGTCACCTCAGAACCCCAAATCTGGAGTATTTCCTGTGGGAAGATGGTTCTCTGAATTTTACCCATTGGGGTGGGAACAGTGCACCACTAAACCTCTGTCTTCCCCTCAAGACCTTATCTCCTCTTAACCGCCTCTGGCCTTCCAGGTGGGTCACAATGCCCTTGAGGACATATTTGGTCTCTTTGTAAACAGAAGTGAATCAATGTTCATTTGTTCCAGCACTGTTCCTGAGAATGCAGCCGGACCAGGTAGGGACTGACTCGGAGACTCGTCTTGGGGCACTCTGTGGCACTGTTCCTCAGAGACCCTTGGGCCTCTGCTGCTCACAGGGTCTACCAGCTGTGCTCTGCCTGCAGCCCCTCTGTCGCTCAGAAATCCCAGACATACAACCAGCCAAGCTGGAAGTGAGCGCAGGGTTGCATACCCAATGCCTTCTTTCCTTTTCTCTGATAAAATTCTCAGACTTTTTATTTTCCCTTTTTACCCAGGAGCATAGATTCGAGTTGCCCTGAATATACATGCTCAGGCTTTTTATTTTGAAATAATTTTAGATTTACAGCTGAGTCACAAAGATAGCACAGGAAGTTCCCAATTATCCTTCACCCAGCCTCCCCTATTGTGAACATCTTACATAACCATGGTGCCTTGATCAAAACTACGACATTAATATTGATACCACACTACGAACGAAGCAACAGGCCTCACCAGGATTTCACCAGTTTTTTCATGAATGCCCTTTTTCTGTTCCAGGATCCAACCATGCCTGCATTTGACAGATGGCCTGGAGGGTAGATGTGGCGTCCCCAGGGTCCCTCAGAGAGCTAGCCTGTGGCCAGCCCTCCCTCTCCCGCTGTAGCTTGGGTTCCTGCCCTCCTCACCTTCCTACCTTGTCAAGACACAGGCCTTGTTGCTCTGTCCATGGCTCTAGCATCACAGATGCCCTGATACAACCTTGCCCTGCCTGTCCCTATCCCCATCCCCATCCCCATGGTCGCCTACCCAGGCCTTCCTGCTCCTGTGCTCCCCCCATCCCACCCCCACCGCACATGCGCACATATGCCCTGAAACGGCTGGCTCTGGCTTGGCTCCCAAGGGTGCTGGGAGCATTAAGCTACTCCCATTCACCATACTGTGCGGCCCGCCACACTGGCCAGGGTTCTTCCCTCTCTGTGACTGGAGGACACACAGTTGACTTGATGGGGACACTGGTGGTTCCTATCTAGCCTCCCGTCCTCCCTCAGCTGCCTCCCTTGTCTCAGGGCCTCTCCAGCCTCTGTCTCACTGCTGTTCTCTCCCAAGGCCTTGGGAACTCCTGCCTCTTTGTTGTCTCAGCACTCCCTTCACAGTTTACAAGAGGCTTTGGGGGAGGGCTTTACCCCCCGGGATAATGGGAGGCGTGGAGCCACGGTTTGCTGCGGTCTTTGCTCTCTGGGCAGTGAGGCCTTCTGTTGTTTACCTTAGGCTGCCTCTGAAGCTCCCAGATCCCTGCCTAGACATGATCTCACTCTCTCAAATCATCCCTGCGAGGCAGACAGGAGTCTGGGTCCAACTTCCCCCACTTCACAGGTGGGAAAACTGAGGGATTCACACATGTGTGTGCCGCAAGACACACACACACACACACACACACACACACACACACACACACACAGAGCAAATATGTTGACAAGTTGCTCTGCAGTCCTGGGGTCCTGTGCCTGCAGTTATTTGGAAGGTGAGAGGTCCATGATAGGGCCTGGCCCAGCGGCGTTCAGCAAGTGCCTCAAAATTCATGGGCCTTCTAGTGATATCCCACAGCCTAACACAGGGCCCTGCCTCCAGGGAGCCTGTGGTCAGTATCAGCAGGTGAGAGGAGCCTAAAGAGATGCATCCTGCGTTGCTGAAGTTCCTGAGTCCAGTTCTAAGGCAGCTCTACAGGCACATTTCGCCAGGCATGGTGGCTCATGCCTGCAACCACAGCACTTTGGAAGGCCAAGGTGGGAGGATCACTGAGGCCAGGAGTTCAAGACCAGCCTGGGCAATACAGCAAGACCCTCGTTTCTACAAAGAATTAAAAATTAAAAATTTAGCCAGGCGTGGTGGTGCACACCTGCAGTCCCAGCTACTCAGGAGTCTGAGGCAGGAGGATGACTCGAATCCAAGAGATCAAGTCTGCAGTAGGAGCTGTGATCACGCCACTGCACCTCCAATCTGAGCAACACAGTGAAACCCTGACTCTAGGGGATAACAAAAGTCACATTTCATGAGGGCAGGCCTTGCGTGTGGTAGCAAGAGCTATGGTGGAGAGGGACCACCCCTGAGGGTTGGTGGGCTGCCTGGGGACGGTGCCCAGTGCTGGACAATCCACACAGCTCCTCTCCAATTGTTGTGGCTTCCCAACACCCCTGTAAAAGAAGAATTGCTATGATCCTGCTCTACAAATAAGAAAATTGAGGCCCACAGCTCACCCAGGAGCACAGAGCAAGCCAGTCAGCAGTGGCTGGCCATCTGGCTGCAGGTCCTGAGCTTTGTCCACACCACCAAGCCACAGTCTCCCTAGCAGGGAGGCGCACAAAACTATCAGAGGCAGAGGAAAGGGGTGGCCTCTGCCAGGTGAGGAGCCAGACGGCCTGCTTCGCAGATCCCTTCCAGCTGGCTTTGCCTTCCAGTGCTGAGGTGGGGTGAAGGAGGAAAGGCCGAGCTGGGAGAGGAGCAGGCGCTCGCCACAACCACCCCCACCCTGCTCTCCACGCGCCAGGTCCTGCACGCTGGGTGGGAGGGTGACGACAAGGATGGAGGAGCAGGGCCCCACCCCCGCCCTCCCAGGGCGCACCATCTGCAGCAGAGAGGGCCTTGAGCTGCGTGGGAAATGCGGTAGGCAGAGGGACACTGATGAGGGTGGGCCGGCTGACGGCAGCCTTCTCTCAGCCCCGGACCCCTCCCGCCATCCCCAGCCCTGCCCCCTCCCTCCTTCCAGCGCCTGTCACTCTTCCTGCCCAAACCAAGCATTTAGCACTTAGCCTCGAACCCTCAGCTGACTCCTCATCTAGGACTCCGTCCATCTCTCCAACTATTGCAGAATCTCCTTCAAGGCAGGGGTTTATGTCCCCCACCCCACGGGCCATGTGACATTTATAACTCTTTGGTGGAATGAGAAGAAAGGTATTTGGGATATGATCAACTCCGGCAATGCCATTGTGTGTTTACGGCAACAGCGGGACAGTGGTTCCAGGGGGCGGCCCCGGGCCTCCGTGACGTCACCGGATTGTCGCGTCACCGTCGCCTACCCCGGCGGCGCAACGCGCCCTGCAGGAAAGATGACGTCACCGTCGGAGCTCCTGCAGACCAGTGCGCGCTCGGGGAGTTGGCGAGCGGGTGGCGGCTGGGAGACGTCCCGAGCGCACGGGACTGACAGGCGGCAGAAGCCGGGCGGGGTCCGCTGGGCTCCGGACCCGTGCCCCCCCAGTTCCAGGGCGGCCCCGGGCGGCCCCGCCCCCTCGGTGAATGCCGCGGGCCGGCCAATCCGGGCAGGCCGCGGCGCCGCGCAGCCTATCAGCGGCCAGAGCTCGCGTGCGCTTCCGCGTTCGCGTGCGCTTCCGCGTTCTCGTGAGCTCCCGGCCCGCTGCCGCAGGGACTGGGAGCGGGCTCCGCAGCGCACTCTAGCCCGCGGCTCGGCTCAGTCGGTCTGCGAGGATCCGGCCCGCCGCCCCCCGGGGGACCCGATGGCCTCGGAGGGCCTGGCGGGGGCGCTGGCTTCCGTGCTGGCTGGCCAGGGGTCCAGCGTGCACAGCTGCGACTCGGCGCCGGCCGGGGAGCCGCCGGCGCCCGTGCGGCTGCGGAAGAACGTGTGCTACGTGGTGCTGGCCGTGTTCCTCAGCGAGCAGGTGAGCGGCCGCCCCCGGGCCCGCCGGGCCTCGGGAGCGCGCAGCCAGCCCAGGTGGGGACAGAAGACCCAACGGCCACAGCCAGCGCTGCCGCGTGCGTGGCGCTTCCCAGTTTTGCAAAGCACTCCCACTCCCACTCGCATCTGTGTCCTGCGTTCGTCCCGATATGCAGAAGAGGAAACTGAGGCCCGGGGCCTGTTTGTCTCATCCGACTAGGCCTCATTCCTTCCCTTCCCCAGAGTCTAGCGGAGTGCCCAGGGCCCCTCAGATAGCAGTGGCTCAATCCCGGCTTACCTTCAGGCCTTTGGTGCTGATGCCTGTAGTGGGCGATGTAATGACAACTAGACGGGGCCAGGGCCATAGGGCGGGGTTGTACAGAGCGGAGGTGGGGGTCGTGTTTCAAGCCAGACCCCAGTGTGAGGACCCATCACAGTTTGTAAACCACGCCGTTGGAGGCGAGAGATACACAGTGGCAGGTACAGACGCAAATCAATCCAAGACAGACAGACACATGGTGACCCTCACTCTGGGGCCTCATCTCCAGCCCCTGAAGCGGCTTCCAGGAATCTCAGCCCTTCCTGAAATGGAAGTCTTCCTAAATCCAGAGAGAGACGAATTGCAGAGAGGAGAGGGCTGCAGCCCCCAGCGACACGAGGGCAGGTCTCCTGGAGCGCTAGCTGGGTTGAGAGTGTCCACCCAGAGGGGAGTCTTGGGCGACTGTGTTTGAGATGCCCCCTGGTCCCGGGGCGAGGGAAGGCTGTGGCAGGAAGTGAGGATCCTCTCTCCTCTCAGGATGAGGTGCTACTGATCCAGGAGGCCAAGAGGGAGTGCCGGGGGTCGTGGTACCTGCCTGCGGGGAGAATGGAGCCAGGGGAGACCATCGTGGAGGCGCTGCAGCGGGAGGTGAAGGAGGAGGCGGGGCTGCACTGTGAGCCCGAGACACTGCTGTCCGTGGAGGAGCGGGGCCCCTCCTGGGTCCGCTTCGTGTTCCTCGCTCGCCCCACAGGTATGGCCCACCTGGAGGCAGTGTGAACAGGGCCAGTTGACACCTTTCCCCCAGCTCCTCGGTGAGGTGAGCCCCTCTACAGCCAGTCCTGTTATGGCTGGCACAGCCTGGCATGGGCAGATTCCAGCCTTTGGGCTGGGGGCCTCTCTCCTGGGTCAGGGATGTCTGTTGACTCTGCCAGAGCTGCACTTCTCTCCACACAGACCCTCCCTGCCCCATCCCCCACATCTCCCCCAGGTGGAATTCTCAAGACTTCCAAGGAGGCCGATGCGGAGTCCCTGCAGGCTGCCTGGTACCCACGGACCTCCCTGCCCACTCCGCTGCGAGCCCATGACATCCTGCACCTGGTTGAACTAGCCGCCCAGTATCGCCAGCAAGCCAGGCACCCTCTCATTCTGCCCCAAGAGCTACCCTGTGATCTGGTCTGCCAGCGGCTCGTGGCTACCTTTACCAGCGCCCAGACAGTGTGGGTGTTAGTGGGCACAGTGGGGATGCCTCACTTGCCTGTCACTGCCTGTGGCCTCGACCCTATGGAGCAGAGGGGTGGCATGAAGATGGCCGTCCTGCGGCTGCTGCAGGAGTGTCTGACCCTGCACCACTTGGTGGTGGAGATCAAGGGGTTGCTTGGACTGCAGCACCTGGGCCGAGATCACAGTGATGGCATCTGTTTGAATGTGCTGGTGACCGTGGCTTTTCGGAGCCCAGGGATCCAGGATGAACCCCCAAAAGTTCGGGGTGAGAACTTCTCTTGGTGGAAGGTGATGGAGGAAGACCTGCAAAGCCAGCTCCTCCAGCGGCTTCAGGGATCCTCTGTTGTCCCAGTGAACAGATAGAGAGGTGGGGGAGGTGACAGGGAGCTAGGCAGCCGTGCTCCCTCCAGTGCGGACTTGTCTCCCTCTGAGGGAGGCAAGAGGCTGGCGATCAGGGATCTTGTTGCATTGGGAGCAGGGGCGGCTCTCCTGGTCCCCAGGAGAGATGCTTTGAGGAGCATTCCTCTAGATTGCACAAGGGACAGTGCCTTTAACCAAGCGAGGAGTCCAAAGCTCAGGACCTGACTACCCTGAGGGCACGCTGACGCCTCTTCCCAGGGGGATGGGGAGCTTTCTGCACCCCCAGTGGCATCTCCTCATCACGTTCTGTGCCGTCCTTGGGAAAGGCCTGCATTCTGATCCTTCCAGGCCCTTCGAGCATGGAGGGGCACTGGGGAAGGTCCCCCGAGGGAGGAGCACGTTGCTGAGTAAAGAGGTGTTACTCACCTTGCCTCCCTGCCTACACGTCTCTGTGGGGAGAAAGTGATGGGGACTACTGTCCAGGAGCTGCTGCTCCCCTCGTGTTACCCACAGGCACCCATGCCTTTCCCAGTGCACTGACAGTGCGGGCCAGTCTGCTGTCCAGCACGGCCCCTGGGGCTCCCTCCAGTTGGCCTGCTGGCCCGGGATGTGACTCTGAGGGGACCCATCCCTAATGAAACACAGCTCTGAGCCCTCCAAGGGTTGGGCAGTGGGCGGCCCCAGAGGAACTTCAAGTGGGACAGGAGCTGCAGGTGCTGCCTCTGCTCTCTCCTTGAGCCTCCCTGGCGCAGACCACTCCCCCTGGCTCTCCTGCCTCTGCCTTTTCACAACTTCAGCCCATGCCAGACCAAACCTTTTCTTCATTTCCCCTCAGCCTCGCTGAATCATGGTAGGATTTTTTTTTTTTTTTTTTTTTTTTTTTGCTAAGTGGCCGGGCACAGTGGCTCACACCTGTAATCCCAACACTTTGGTAGGCTGACACAGGTGGATCACTTGAGGTCAGGGAGTTCGAGACCAGCCTGGCCAACATGGCAAAACCCCATCTCTACTAAAAATACAAAAAACTAGCCGGGCATGTTGGCAGATGCCTGTAATCTCAGATACTTAGGAGGCTGAGGCAGGAGAATCGCTTGAACCCCGGAGGCAAAGGTTGCAGTGAGCCGAGCTCCAGCCTGGGTGATAGACTTCGTCTGAAAAAAAAAAAAAAAAAAAAAGAACTTTGGCCAGGCACGGTGGCTCACACCTTTAACCCCAGTGCTTTGGGAGGCTGAGGCAGGAGGATCGCTTGAAGGCCAGAGTTTGAAGCCAGCCTGGGCAACATAGTGAGACCCTGTGTCTACAGGAAAAAAAAAAGGCCAGGCAAGGTGGTGCACACCTGTAAATCCCAGCTATTCAGGAGGCTGAGGCAGGAGGATGGCTTGAGCCCGGGAGGTTGAGGCTGCAGTGAGCCATGCTCAGGCCACTGCACTCCAGTCTGGGTGAGACAGCAAGACCCTCTCTCAAAAGAAAAAAGAAAAGAAAGAGGAAAAAAAGAACTTTACTGAAATTTAAGCAAAATCAAAGGAAATGAACAAATAAAATATATCAAGTGTTCTACGGTAGAGATTTCTGATTCTGAGCAAGGAAACACTAGCACAGGCTCCCCTTCTGAGGGCCAAGATGACCTCCAAGGCCCCTTTCCCAGCCCCCTCCCTGCCTCTCTTGGCTGCCCTCCTTTCTGGGCCCTGGAGGGTGGTAGGAATCCTTGTACCCTCTGAGGACAAATACCTCACAAATGATGGAACCAAACCCCTTTGTTTCAGTTCACTTCTCTCAGTGTCTAAGGGACCCACTGGCCCATATCCAGTCAGCCGGGCAATGACATTTGGCTATTTGCCCCCATTATTTAGCCTAGTAGTTTCCAACCCTGGGCACACGTTAGGGTCACCTGGGTTTTTTTTTTTTTCCCTCAAACAGGGTCTTGCTCTGTCACCCAGGCTGGAGTGGAGTGGTGTGATCCTGGCTCACTGCAGCCTTGACCTCCCAGGCTCAAGTGACAAGTGATTCTCCTGCCTCAGCCTCCCAAGTAGCTGGAACCACAGGCGCATTTTTAAGCTTTTAGTAGAGATGGGGTTCTCACTATGTTGCCAAGGCTGGTCTTGAACTTCTGTCCTCAAGTGATCCTCCCGCCTCAGCCTCCCAAGGTACTAGGATTATAGGCGTGAGCCACCATGCACAACCACCTGGAGAGCTTGAACTCTGGGTGTACCCCCAGCAACAATAATTTAACTGGTGATGGGGCACTGGGCATTGGGATTTTAAAAAGCCACCCAGTGATCAACACGAGTTGAGAGCCAACATCTGGCTCCTTTTCCTCCACGTTCTCAGCCTGCCCTCCCGCAGTCTCTTGGGGACCCCCCTCAGAGGATCCCCCACCCCTCCACACACATCTGAGGACAAAGGGTTTATTTATGTGTTAACTTTTCTTTTTCCCTGAGAACACACCTGTGAAATTTTTTTTTTTTTTTTTTAGACAGGGTCTTACTCTATTGCCCAGGCTGGAGTGCAGTGGTGCAATCGGCTCACTGCAGCCTTGAACTTAAAGACAAGGTTTTAAATATCAGGCCTACTTTATGACTAAAACAGGCATACAACACGCAGCATAAACACACCCAAATGAGACTTGCACACAGATGCTCCCACGTGGTCCATTCCCTCATGGTGTCTCCGGGGTGGGCAGACTCTCCGCTGCAGGTCAGCCCAGCAGAAGTGGCACTGCTCCGCCAAGAGTCTGGCTCCTGGCAGGCGCTGAGGATCAGCAGATCTGCACTGCCAGAGCCTGTCTGTTTACCGCCCACCCCACCTCCCTGCTGCAGCGCTAGAAAAAGAATTTGTCTTCCTTGGGGAGGAAGATGGGCCCGAATTAGCAGTGGAGTCCTGGGCAGAAGGTGGGGAAACTTGGCCAAGAACAGAGCCACGGTGTCCACGCAATCACACCATTTATTGCTGTGCTGTCCGGGGAAGACACCGTGCAAATGCCAAAGTGCACTGAGGAGAGGGGAGGGTCTGTGACTCCCAAACCCTCGAATATTTTATGAATCTAAGAGTCCAGACGCAGTTCATCCACGGAGATCTGCGCCCCGTCCACACCAACACCCACGTTTGTGCACCCACATGTGCACGGTGCTCTTCAGAGCGGCGAGGTCCTCCCCCGCGGGGAGGAATGTGGGAGAGGCAGAGGTCACTGAGTTTCCTCCTGTTTCGTGTCACCTCTTGGCAACCTGTGCCTGGCTTCTAGAAGCGGCATGGGCAAGAAAAGGAAGCAAAAGAGGCTCTGGCCTGCTCCTCCTTGCCCAGGAGCAAAGCCAGCAACTGTGTAGTCCCGCTGTGAGGTAATGCCTGGCGCCGCCCGTGTATTCCTGCAGGTCAAGACAGATTCGGGCCGGGTGGGGTGGCAGCCCAGCCACGGAGGGCATGCAGGGAGAACACCACCAGGACTGGCTGCCTGGGCCGCAGCCACTTCCCGCCAGGCTCAGGGGCCTGGAGTCAGGGGGCGTCCTTCCCTTATCTGTCCCCTGAGCTCCCTGGCTCCCCAGAAGGGTCTTCTATCAAGAACACTGGGCCCTGGGCAGAAGGGAGGGCAAGGCCCGGCCTCCCCTGGTCTCTGACCTCTGCCCAGGTGCTGTGGACCTGCTGAGACGGGTTCAGAAGGCGCCAGAGAGGAACCAGCTGGACCTGAGCCTGGCTCCTGGGCCCGCTCCCCTCCTGGCTGCAGCTGCACCAAGGTTCTCATTAGCAGGGGCCCCCGCCTGGGTGCGGAACATGCTTTGGGCATTTGCCATGAGGCGGCTGGGAGTTTTGCAACAGTTTCCAGGGGAGCAGAGCAGGAAGAGGGGCTTCCCCGACGATCCCATTCACTGCTCCTTCTCCATGGGCCAAGCCATGTAGGCAGGGGACAAAATGTCAGGTCTCAGCAGCTCCCATGGTACCTAATGTGACACAGACAAGGCTCCAGGCCCCATCTCACTGGCCTGGGCTCCTGACCAGTCTCGGAGCCATCAGCTCACTCCCCATCTTGCCCCTGGAGTTGAGTCACAGGCTTGGCCCTGGCCACAAATGGCCAGTACAGAAGGGGCCAGGCACACAGCACATGAGGGTCTGGGGTCTGGGTGCTCACCTGGCTGTCACCCAAGCTCCTCCAAGAAGGCCCCAAGGACCTTGCTGCCTGGAAAGCCATCTGTTTGGCTCCTTGGCACCTGGCATGCCCATTCCCTGAAACCCAGTCTGGTGTGGTCAACATGCCGCAGTCTCCTTGAGTGAGCCCGGGAGCAGAAGCCCCATCCCAGGAGGGGAGTGTGGCGGCAGTGCCAGGCAGGAGGCAGCTCTGGGGCAGAGGTGTGGACAGGAGTCTCCCACCGCCCTGGTGCTGGCTCAGACCTGCCCTTCCGGGGCTGGGGAGACGTTCTGGCGAGGATCATGTGGGGGAAACTTGACGAAGGCAATGGCAGCCAGCTCCTTGCAGAACTCCTCCAGCACCACCACGCCCTGGAGGAGGGTCTGGTGGTCCAGCCTGAGGGGAGATGGCACAGGGGGCATGGCTGGGTGGGGGCAGGACTGTGCCCAGCATGACAGCCCAGCATCCACGAGGCTTGACCCTGTGGCCAGCCACCTCTCCTCCAGAGGCGCTTTCCACTCTCCCACCCCAAGGCTTCACCTGGCACCCTTGGTACTCACTGCTCCCCAGGAGCCTGGCCCGTCAACTGCTTGCGCACCAGGAGCAGCTTGCCTGGGAACTGGGGTACCCTCTGGATTCTCTGCATCAAGTCCCCGATCACCTACAGCGGGAATCACAGGGGACTCAGATGGGGCCAGCAACACCAGTGAGTCCCCTGGCCCTGCCACACCATGCAGAGCATGGGAGACTGTGCTTTCCCTGGCACTGGCAAGGGTGCCCACCCCTCCAGCCCCCAACCACCTGCCCCGTTCCCTTTCCCTGATGTCCCCTCCACCTCACTAGGCACACTCCCTTGGGCCGAGGCGTCCTCACCCTCACCAACACGGAGAATAGGCTCCTGCAGCCGGGGGCCAGGCTGATGTACGGATCCAGCAGGTACTCATGAATATGGGGGTGGGGGAAGAGGGCAAGCCGGGACAGGACCGAGGTCACCTGCAGGTTCAGGCTGTATGGCTGTAGGAACATGGTGGACAGAGCCGAGGGCTGGCAGGGCTGGTGAGTATTTTTGCACTCCCCCAGCAAGGTGCCTGGCCACTGTGAACGTGTGTGGGGGTGGGAGGCTCACGTGATGTGTGTGTGTCATGGATTCCATGGGGCTGAGGGCCAGAACGTGTTAGGACGTGTGGAGCAGGGGTGAGACGGGGCTTCCCACCTGGGGAAAGGACAGGGGTGGCACCAAAGAACCGAAGCAGAGGCAACCCTGTGGCCAACCTCTGCTCTTGAAGGACCCCAGAGGCACCAGCCTGGAGTTCTCCTGGCCCAGGCCCACTAGCTACCTGATCCAGAATCCGGGACATGCGGTCAAACAGCACTCGGAGGAAGTGGCCCTCGAAGAAAGGTCGCTCGGGCTCATGGGGGTCCAAAGGTGTGGGGGTCAGAGGCCAGCCCCAGGAGGCGACGCGGGAGCTGCACTCCTGGAACTGAGACAGGCGGGAAAGTAGAGGCAGTGGGCCTGGGGACTGGGAACCAGCAGACAGGGCCCCACGCAGGAGGGATGGGCTGGGGTCCTTGGGCAGATGAGAGAGGCGGAACCCAGAGCTTATGACCCAGCTGTTCTGAAGGACAGGAAGTGGGAGCTGGTAGCAGGAGCCACTCACCAGGCCATAAGCATCGTGGACGTATGTGTCATAGCCTGTCTCCTCCAGGAAGGCAGAGGTCTTGGCTTCCTCGGGGACCAGGCACAGGAAACTGAGAGATAGAAGCCGGTGTGGAGGCGCTCCCGGCTCACCCTGCTCTCCCCTGCTTGTGGGACCCCATCTCCCTCCCTGACTGGACCCCAGGGCTGTGGCCAAAGAGTAAAACTCAGGGCAGGCACGGTGGCTCATGTCTGTAATCCCAGCACTTTGGGAGGCTGAGGTGGGCGGATCACCTGAGGTCAGGAGTTCGAGACCTGCCTGGCCAACATGGGGAAACCCAGTCTCTACTAAAACTATAAAAATTAGCTGGGTGTGGTGGTGCATGTCTGTAATCCCAGGTACTCGGGAGGCTGAGGCACAGGAATCGCTTGGATCCGGAACCCGGGAGGTGGAGGTTGCAGTGAGCCGAGATTGTACCACTGCACTCCATCCTGGGTGACGGAGCGAGACTCTATCTCAAAAAATAAAATAAAATAAAATAAAACTCAAGTGGTTCAGACTGCCTAACTTGCTCCCCACCTGTTGACGATCTCGGTCACTGCTGTTTTGCCATCGTAACTGGTAGCAGGAGCTAGGCGAGGCTTTGCGGGAGTTTGAAAGCCGGAATCCAGGAAGCTGTCGGTGAAGTAGGGGTCTTCCTCCAGGTCTCTGTGGCCAGGGCAGAGCAGTACGGCACCAGTGAATGAATGGACAGAGTGAGCGTGCGAGTGCTAAGGGCTGGGCTGAGTCCAAAGGGCGCCGGTTTCACTTACAGGGTGTCCTCATAGCTCTCAGGCTCTGGTGAGCCCCAGGCCACGTAAGGGCGGCCCTCAAGGTTGCGCAGGACCAGGCTGTGGATGATCCCCTCGTGGGGCTTCTGCAGCAGCTCCTCAAACAGCCGGAGTGTGGTGATGCTGATCTGGAGCAGGAAGGGGGTCGGCAGGATAGCCCCTTCCCCACCCAGCTCCCAGGGGTGCCTTGGCATGGCTAACCCAGATAAGAAAAGACCTCTGAGGCAGAGTCACCTCCCTTGGCTGGATGCTAAGGTGGCAGGTTTTGGGGGTAGTTGGGGGGTGTGGGCCTAGGAATCCAGAAGTCTGGGTGGTCCCTGGTATGTGACTAATTTGATGTGCAATTTCAGGCAAGCCAATTCGCTTCTCCGTGCCTTACTTTCCATGTCTGAGAAATGGGAGTATCAACCTCGCCTACCTCACGAAGTAGTACGTGTTAGCCTTCCAGCGAGCCAAGTGTGCAAAATATAAAATACTGTAAAAAAATAAGCTGGGAACAGTGGCTCATGCCTGCAGTCCCAGCACTTTAGGAGGCTGAGGTGAGAGGATCGCTTGAGGCCAGGAGTTGGAGACTGCAGTGAGTTATGATCACACCTCTGCACTCCAGGGCCTGGGTGATAGAGCAATACCCTGTCTCTTTAAAAAAAAAAAAAAAAAGTATATGATCATAGAAAATTAGTGTGTGATAAAAGTGGCTCGGCAGTGTTTTGCAGTTCAGTGTCTCAAAGGTGGAGTCAACTGGGAACACTAATGAAATGGGAAGAGTGTTCAGGAAATCCCTCTGGCAGGGGTGGTGAGAGGAACAGAGATGGAGGTCCCCCACTGTACCTCATCAGAGAGGTGGTCACAATGCCCGATGAGATGAGCATACAGGGTGTGGGGGTTGTCCCCGGGGGCTTCAGGCTGCCGGTCTGTGCCCAGGAGGAAAGCCACGGCCTCCCGCAGCAGCGCAGGGGAGCGAAGCTGGCGCAGCATGGCTGTGAGGAGGGCGGTGGAGGTCAAGATGCTCTGCTCGGACCTACGGGAAGAGGGCACCTTAGCCAGGCCCGGTGTGTGCAGACAGCACATGAGTGCGGGTGGCCGAACCCTTCCTGCTTGCCTCGCATGTTTGGCTGGTATGTCTGTGGTCACTTGCCCATCCCTGCTGAGGTCCTGCAGGGAAGGGTAGGAGGCCTTCGTTTAGCCCACGTAGCTCAGAGCCACGTGCACATCATGGGGCAGGCCTGGCAAACATCACCCAATGGGGTCCACAAATGGGATTCTGGTCAAGAAGGTGTCTGGCCTTAGGGACAGGACGAGGCTGGGTGGGGTAGGTGGTTTACTGTAGACCACAGTCATGCCTGAGGGAACTAGACACTTACACGTGCAGGAGCTGGGGCTGCAGGGTCTCCACGAAGAAGTTCTCAGCCACAGCCTTCGCCAAGGCGTCCGCAACCACCTGGGTGCCAGAGAGCGCCAATGTGTTTTGCCCTCATTACAATTCCAGCTGAGAAATAACCGTGTTCTTGCGCGGCGCCTGATGCCACAGGAGAGGGTCCCGGCCCGCCTGGGGCCCCGCTTAGCTCCTGGACCCCATGTTTCCATGTCCCTGCTCCACTTGGTCCTCGAGATGGAGATGGTACAGGGAACAGCATGAGAGCCCGGCCTCCGCCCGCCCCTGCTCACCGTGTGTGCCTCTGTGATGAGGTGGTCGCAGTAATCAAACCAGCCCAAGAAGGCAGCCAAGGCCTCCTTGCCAGGGAAGGAAGCCTCATCAGACGGGGCACTGGGTAACCTGAAGGAAGAGGGGAGTGAAGTCTCAGAGAGTGGAGAAGGAGCTTCAAGGTCTTCCTCAATGTGTCCTGAAACTGGGCCCTTCCCCTCTCCTGTGGAACCTCTGTGGCTGGGGATCAGTTATCTTGGGGGTTTTATGGACAGAGGCAGCAAAACCAGTACTTCCCTGGAGGGCAAGAAGTCCCCTGGGGATCAGCTGCAGCCTTGGGGAGAGGGTGGCCAGCAGGGGTCCCTAGCAACGTGGAACCCCAGGGGAGCTGGCCACCAAAGACAGGCAGGGCTGCCAGCAACTGAAGATGCTGGCCGGCCTTCCCGGGCTGGGCACCCACCTCCAGCTGATGCCCTCTAAGGTGGCAATGTCTGCGGGGTCCAGGAAGACAGGCATGGACCGGTACAACTGGCAAAGGTGCCGGACGATCGCAGGGCAGCAGGCGCTGCTCTGTACCAGGTAGGTGGCAGCTGCTGGGGAGGCCATGCTCACCAGGAGCAGCAGGTTCTCCTGGGCCTTCAAGGCCACCCGACTCTTCTAGGGGATGAGGATACAACTTCAGGGACATGCATGTGAGCCCCCAAATCACCCCCCAGCCGTCAACCCACCCTTCCCCCACCCCCAACCTCTCCATCTCTGCTGCCAGCACCTTGCTCTGGCACAGCCCAAGCAGGGAGGTAATCAGGTTGCTCTCTGTGGTCCCACCGTCCAGCTCCTCGGTCTCAGCAGGCATGTGGCTGTTCAAGGCCTGGGCCCCACAGGACTCCCCGTCCAGCTGGGGCCTGGCAGGAGCACCATCGTGGGAGCAGTCCTTGTCCCCGTGGCTGGTTGTGTCCTTAGGCAGGGCAGTGGGTTCTCCGCATGCTTTCTTCCTACCTACAATCTTTTTACCCTGAAAAGAGGGTGAGATGAGGCCAGACCTGGTGGGGACCACTTCCCAGGGTCCCCCACTGGGACCGCAGGGTGGGCTGCCAGCAGGGCGTCGGCCTGGAGCTGGAGGGGAAGCTGCCTGCGTGCCTCCCGGGTACCTGATCTCTGCTTCTGCCTCCTCAGGAGGGCAGAGGGGGCTTGCCCTGGGGTTCTGGGCCCTCCCCCTCCTGTTCCCGATCAGAGTGCTCACTTCCAGGATGTAGGCGAGCAGCTCTGGGTCCTGCTGGATCTTGGAGCAGAGGACGGTGGTGAACTGCACCTCCTCCTTTTCTGTAACGGATCCGGAAGCAGTCCCACCAAGTCGGAGGAGTTTCTGGAAGAGCACCAGGACAGAAACAGAGGGGAGAGGGGTGGCAGGGGAGAGAGGGGGCCTCACACCCAGACACCCCTTGGCTTCCGGGCCCCTCACCTGCACAGGCCTGTGGACGCTGAGGTAATGCAGCAGGGGGTGCTGCACCTGCGCCAGAACCTTGCTGAAGAACTGGAACACCTGCTGCCGCATGCCTGGGGGGTACTGAGGCCAGGGACAGAGCGCCTGTCAGAGCCGTGTCCCCTGCCTGCCGCATGCCTGGCGGGTACTGAGGCCAGGGACAGAGCGCCTGTCAGAGCCGTGTCCCCTGCCTGCCGCATGCCTGGGGGGTACTGAGGCCAGGGACAGAGCGCCTGTCAGAGCCGTGTCCCCTGCCTGCCGCATGCCTGGGGGGTACTGAGGCCAGGGACAGAGCGCCTGTCAGAGCTGTGTCCCCCACCTGGAACACTGCACCCCCAGAGAGCCCCAGGCTCAACTCCTCCCTCAGTTCCGGCTCAGAGGGCCCGTTCTCACAGGCCTGCTTCCCTTGCCACGTTGTTCGAAACTAGCCTTCCTGGCACTCACAACCCCTTTTCCTGCATCACTGTGCTCCATGACTGGGTCATTATTGACCCATCACAGGATGGTCCTGCCTCTCCCACTAGGATTCTTGTCGAGTTTTCTTTCCTTTTTTTAAGAGACAGTGTCTTGCTCTGCCTCCTAGGCAGGAGTGCGGTCTCACGATAACAGTTCACTGCAGCCTCCATCTCCTGGGCTCAAGCAATCCACCCACCTCGGCCTCCCACGTAGCTGGGGCTACAGGCACGCATCACCATGCCTGGCTCTTGTCAGTATGAATCCCTGCTGTGTCCCCAGCATCTAGAGCAGAGCCTGGCACATGGCAGGCCCATCTTTGTGGAGTGAACTGGGAACAGGAGCGCTGGGATGGTGGAGTGTTCTAAGTGAGACAGCCACAGTGCCCGTCCTGTTTGCTCCTCTCGCCCGAACTGCCACTTTCAGTGTCAGGACTGGGAAGAGCATAGGCAGAAAGGCCTGGAATCCAGGGAGCCCCAGGCTGCCCACTGCCCACCGCCCACCTCAGCCTGGCCCAGCACTCAGAGGGTCTCCCACCTCGGCCTGGCCCAGCGCACAGAGGCCTCCCACCTCGGCCTGGCCAAGCGCGCAGAGGCCTCCCACCTCGGCCTGGCCCAGCGCGCAGAGGGCCTCCCACCTCGGCCTTGCCCAGCGTGCAGAGAGTCTCCAGGATCTTGTGCTGCAGCAGGTACTCCAGGCAGGGCCCTGCCTCACCCGCGGCCGCCTGCTGCTGCTCTTCATACACCAGGATATCCAGCATCTGCTTCAGCCGCCAGGGAATGTCTGTCTTCTTGGCGGGGGTGCTTTCATCTAATGATGTTTGGGAAACAAGGGTGAGTAGGGTAAAGAGGGGCACCCCGGCTTGAAAACTTCACCCTCTCCTGCCAAAGCCCAGAAAGGGGAGGTCCTGTCTGGGAGAGGTGGGGGAAGACAGCTGCTGGCAACTGGGAAATGGAAGTTTACAGTGAATGCTTCAATATTTAAGAAGACAAAAGTCCTTCCAGGCTCAGGACACAGTCCTCTGAGAACGCATGCATGCCCAGCCCTTTATCAGGGGGCAGCAGCATCGGTTTCCTTCAAACCCTAGGATGGGTACAGAGACAGGGACACATGGTCCTGGGCCCACAGAAGGCTGCTGTCAGCTCTGGGCCTGAGTGGACACTGTGGGCTCAGGGCTCTTGTCACATAACTTAGAAGCTGTAATTCCAGCAGCTGCCTGAGAGAGAACCTCCTGGGGCCTCCCCCACTGACACTCAGAGAAGGCAAGCCTCTGTTTTTCACAAAGCAGAAAAAAACATCTGTGCCACCACCTTCAGGTCTGACCCAGTCCTGCTCCCTGTACCAACGCCCTGACGGGGAAGCTACTTAGTGGGGGCTTTTGCAGTCAGAGTCTCAGTGTGTGTTTTAAAGAAAGTTCTGGTGCTTCAGGGCTAGACTTGGAGCACCCCCTAGCTTTCCTTTAAGGAACAGGAGCTTGAGTAGGGCGGCCTGCCCCACGCACTTCCAACCCTTCTGGTCTAGGGACCATTCTGGAAATGAAAGGGCTGGATGGGGGAAGCCCCAGGTGAATTTCAGCCAGTTCTGATCTGATCTTACTGAGCTGGTGGACTGAGGCTCTCCTTCAAGAGATCTTTAACCTGAAGAGATAGGTTCAGAACCAGGGGTGCGCTTTTCCCCCCCAGGGAACATGAGGCAATGTCTGGAGACCTTCCTGGTTGTCCCAATTCGGGGGTGGGGTGTGCTACTGGCACCTAGTGGGTAGAGGCCAGAATTACTGCTGCACATCCCACACCGCCCAGGACAGCCCCGCGCAGGGAAGGCTCCAGGTCCAATGCCAACTGTGCCAAGATTGAGAAACCTGGTCTAGCAGAACCCTCAGAGGGTCCCACAGATTTCTGAATTTCCTGGGCTGGCCCGGGCTGGAAAGAAAGCCTGTAGGAAAGGTGTGGGCTGGGATCAAGCCCCAGTATGAACTCCAGGAAGGGAAAAGTGAGGGATGCAGGATATGGTTACCTGGCAACCAGTCCGTATCCACCCATGGCAGCCTCATGACTGCAGAGCAGCCACTCAGATGCCATCCCCTCAGTGAGCGGTCCTGATGGGACCAGGTGCCAAGGCTTTGGCTCTTTGGGGTGTCAGCTTGGAGAGAGGGACCCAGGCATGTTACCCACCTTGGTTTTCGTTCTCCTCCTACCCCAGATCTCTACAAGGACATTGCCCCTAAGCTGGCTCAGGGGAAAGGGGAATTTATTAAATTCTTTTCTTTTGATCATTAAATCCTAGGCACAAGCACCTGGGGCCTGAAGGTCTGGAGCTGGAAGCTGGGGGAAGTGCAGCCACCTCTTCCTTGCAGAGTCAGGCCAGTGAGACCCCCAACCAGGCTACTCCTTCCTCACACAGCCTCTTTCCAAAAGGTCAGAGTGGGACCGGCAGCTAAATCATCAGGAGTGGAGTGGCCCAGGGCTCTGGGTCTTCTGTCTGTCTGGTTCTCTGTCTCCGTGAACTCGGCTCCAATTCTGAACGACTGGGCAGGTTACCTTTCCCAGGACACCTGAATGGTGACACTCTGCACACTCCTTCCTCCCCGCTCCCTCCAGGGTCCCTGGGCTGGGGAGGGCCAGGCCGCACCTGTGCTCTCGATGTAGTAGTGCGTGATGCCCTTCCAGTGCTCCACGAAGGCCTGCAGCAGGTCAATGCTGGGCTCGCGCTGCGGAGGGCAGACACACAACCTCAGTGGGGGCCACAAAGGCCAGGGAGCCCCTGCCCGCATGGGAACAGATATTCTGAGTGTCAGGTTCATGCTAGGCCTCCTCATGAGGAGGCACCCTGCTCCCTGGCTTTCAAAGGGAGGAATAACACATTTCCTCCAGGACACACTGTCATCTTGCCAAGGATCTCCTGACAGGCACTTCTCCCTAGATACCCCTCCCTCCTGGAAATGCTGTTTTCTTGCTGTATGTCACAATCCTGTCCTGTCTCTGTCCTGGAGGTGCTAAGAATGTTGCTGGGGGAAACAGACACAGATTATTTCAACACAGCATGGTTACGCTACAGTAGAGGCACATAGAGGAACACGGGAGCGCAGTCCCCCAAAGAAAAGCAAAATGATACAGATCGAAAATGTGGCAAAGGTCAGGTGCAGTGGCTCACGCCTGTAAGCCCAACAGTTTGTGAGGCAAAGGTGGGCAGACGGCTCGAGTCCAGGAGTTTAAACCAGCCTCGGCAACATGATGAAGCTCTGTCTCTATAAACAATTTAAAAACTAGCAGGACGTGGTGGTGTCTGCCTATAGTCCCAGCTACTTGGGAGGCTGGGGTGCGAGGATCACCTGAGCCCAGGGAGGTCAAGGCTTCAGTGAATTGTGATCGCAGCGCTGCACTCCAGCCTAGGTGACAAGGTGAGACCCTATCTCAAAAAAAAAAAAAAAAAAAAAAAAAAGACAAAGCTTTTCCATTCCTCTCAATCTGAGAGTCTATGAAAATCTGTTCAAGACCACCACAGGCTCTGTTCAGCCGGAAGGGTAGGTAACATTAGCATGATATTAACAATGTGCCTTCCTTATAACATGCTTACATGCTTTCATCTTGTGTCCAAAGCCTGAGCCTGCACAACCCCAACTCCTCAGCCAGTGCTGTTCTCGTTTCCTCCTCTACCGGCTCCTTCTATCAAGCCCTGGAAAATTCTGGTTCTGCTCTGGGCAAGCCCCTAACCTCCCCCTTTTCCATGAGTGCTCTCTCCATCTCTACACCATGGCTGATACTGGCCTTGCACTGAGAACAATCACTTTCCCTGAAAACTTCTCAAAAACAACAACAACAACAACAACAACACCATTCCTTCGCTTTTCTTGCAGAGTAAATGTTTTCAGGAAAAAAAGAATTCTAATCATCCCTCCCCACAGCTGTGCATTTCTGCCTCTAGGTCTTTGCTGGGGCCACTCCTCTGCCCAAGGTGCTCTGTATCCCACTAACTGTCTGGATCGTGAAAGTCCCCAGTGAGGTTCAGTCCCCAGCAGCTCCACCAAGCCCTCTCCAGTGTCCCTGCCTGCCCACACCTCTCTGACCTCACACTTTACTGCACCACAGAACTGAGTAGCCACTCATGAAATCATTTGTTCATTCTAAGTGCCCACTATGTACAAGACACTATGCTAGATGCCACAAGCAACATGAGGATGACTAACACCTAGTCCTCAAGAAATGTGTCATGGAGAAGACGATATAAAACCGCATTGAATAACGAAGCTACAAGGAAGTAGTGTGAGGCCGCAGGAGAGGTGGAAAGTAGTGACCTCTCAGAAAAACAGGGGTAACTTCTAACAGGCTGGAACAGGGAAGGCTTTACCAAGATCACATCTCAACTAAAACTTGAAGAACCAGGTCAATATCAACAAGAGAAGGAAGACAGTCCCTGCAGAAGGAACTCTGCAAAGTGTGCCTGGGGAAGGGGTGGGCTGGCGAGACTTCGGAGTCTCTAATGCCAAGCCAAGAAGTCTCAGTCATTTTTTGCAGGCAGCAGGGAGCAGGTCAATGACAACTTTTTTTTTTTCTTCTGAGACAGAGTCTCAAAAAAAAAAAAAAAGAGTCTCACCGTCACTGAGGCTAGAGTGCAGTGGCACCATCTCAGCTCACTGTAACCTCCGCTTCCTGGGTTCAAGTGATTCTCCTGCCTCCCAAGTTGCTGGGATTACAGACATGTGCCACCACGCCTGGCTGATTTTTGTATTTTTAGTAGAGACGGGGTTTCACCATGTTGGCCAGGCTGGTCTCAAACTCCTGACCTCAAGTGGTCCGCCCACCTGGGCCTCCCAAAGTGCTGGGATTACAGGCATGAGCCACCACACCCGGCCATTGGCACCTTCTGAGCAGTGTTTTCGGAAGACTCATCTGGCAGTTGGCCTTGGGAGAGGAGGTAAAGGCAGGAAGAATATGCTTAGAAGGCCACTGCAACATGGGGAGGGAGGGATGACATTCACAGAACTGGAAACTCCCCTCAGTCCGCAGGGCATCTTGTCTTCTTGCAAAGCTAGTTGGTAGGGGCTGCAACCCTTCTCAAAAGTAGCACCACCCACAGTTATTCCAAATATTCCATCCCTGTGCAGTGACCGCATCTCACTACATTCTATGTGACAGTGCCTGCTGTGCTGAGCAATCATCTCTTCTGCTAGATGATGAGCTCCCTGAGAGCCAGGGTTCTGTGTTTTACAGCTAGCCTGCCCTCAATGGGCTCAGCACATAGTGAATACCCATGAATATTTACCAGATATCTCAGGAAACTCCTGGAGAGATTCTTTCCCTAGTTCCTTGTTTTAGAAAGTCCTCTGGCCCTTCACCAGCCCTACAATTATCTCATAATTTCTGTGATGGGGTCTCCTTTAGCCTCAAAATTGGCTTATAGTCTTTGAAAACCTTGAGCTGGGCTTTAACCAAAAAGAATACTCCAGTACGGCAGGAGACACGGGAGAGGCAGGTTAACCAGCACAGGCCATTAGAGAGCTGGTGACACAGGTGTGTGATCTTTACCTAACTCCACCACCAGCTATGATAACTCCAAACCAAAGGCACTAGACCCAACAATTTCTCTTTAACGATATTATTAGTGGCCAGACATGGTGGTGGCTCACACCTGTAATCCTAGCACTTTGGGAGGCCAAGGCAGGTGGATCACTTAAGGTCAGGAGTTCGAGACCAGCCTGGCCAACATGGCGAAACCTCATCTCTACTAAAATTACAAATATTAGCTGGGCGTGGTGGCGCAGCCCTGTAGTCCCAGCTACTCAGGAGGCTGAGGCAGGAGAACCACTTGAGGTGGAGGTTGCAGTCAGCTGAGATCGCCCCACTGCACTCCAGCCTGGGTGACAGTGGAAGACTCCATCTTAAAAAAAAAAAAAAAAAAAAAAAAAAAAAGCTGTAATGATTCCTAATCTGTTAGATCAGAAGAGGGCGGGAAGGAGCAGTCTTCCTACTCAATGAGTAATCAGTTGACTTACTAGGATCACACTTGGTGACCAAGGCTTGGGAAAGACCTAGACTGGCGACCTGAGGGTAGAGCACAAAAGAGGAATTCCCGTCTCCCTGTAGGGCCAACCACACCGCCCGGACATAGCCTATATGGTCAATACTAAAGGGCCCGGAAGATCACCTGCCTAAAAAGATCTCCCTCCACTGCCAAAATCTCCTGCCACTGATGCCTGTACTTCTGTCATTGGAAGCCTTAGAATTTGACTCCTAGCCGGGTGCGGTGGCTCATGCCTGTAATCCCACCACTTTGGGAGGCTAAGGATCGCTTGAGGCCAGGAGCTCAAGACCAGCCTGGGCAACATGTTGAAACCCTGTCTCTACAAAAAATACAAAAATTAGCCTGGCGTGGTGCCGCATGCCTGTAGTCCCAGCTACTCAGGAGGCTGAGGTGGGAGGATTGCTTGAGCCCAGGAGGTGGAGGCTGCAATGAGCGGAGATCGCACCACTGTAGTCTAGCCTGGGCTCAGAAATAAATAAATAAATAATAAAAAGAAAAGAAAAAGAAAGAAATTCACTCCTCAGGACTGAGGAACTGTCTGGCCTGTCTCACCTCCTGTAAATGGAGTGTTCCCCAGAGGTATGAATTGGTTTATCAGATCACTTTTGAAGATCACAGCTGTTTTGACTGGGGATGGGGGAAGGGGAAGAAAAATCATTTTGGAACCCTCTCTACCTGGATGCCCCAAGGCCCTGGCCCTGGGTCAACAGCAGGGCTGGGAAGGTGGAGGAAGTCATAGTTTCTGACTTTCTTCCCAACTTTGCCTAAGGCAAACTTCTTTCAACAGGAGCTCCCATGAGGGTTGGGGAGGAGGTGGTGGGGAGGAAGGAGGGTGAAACCCAAGACTTTCTCTCCTGAGAAAATCTGATACTCAACTCATCAATTGGGGGAAGATTTATACTAGGAGGCAGAAGTATTGCTGACTTTACAGACAGCTTCTTGGCAGAGTTACTTTCAACAGCGGGCACCCCCCCCACCCTACCGGGAATACCCCCACCCTTCCTACACAGCGCTACATCTTGCTGAACGAACCCTAGTAGTAGGCTGCCTGCCAGCCTGCAGCCCCAACAAAAAATGGCAAAAACACAAACTGACGGCACGTGAAACATCAATGGACTCTCCTCCCCGCACAGGGCCACCCAGGCCCCACCACGGGCGGCATGTCCCTAACTCAATTTGGCTTGTGAGGGGTCACAGCCACGCTGGAAACATCTGCACCCAATAGAAGGCGATTTCCCCGGCTGGGGGCCCACCAGCCTGCCCCGGGTCTTTACCCTTCGTGGGGACTTGGACCGGCAGGGCCTGCACTTCCCACGTCCCGGGGTGACGGGAAGGGCGTCCTGCACCCCAACAAGGTCCTGGAGTTGTCTGGGAGATCAGACCGAGGGGAAGGGACGGCGATTTTTTCAAGCCCAGGCGAGGCGGTGGGGTGGAGCGGAGGAAGGAGGCAGGCCCACCGGGACTGGGGGGAGGCGGCCTAGGGCCCCGGGGGGCAGGAAACACCCCAAGCGGTGACAGGGAGCGTCCCGGCGGAGGCGAGTTCGGGAATTGGGAGAGACTCCGGGGCCAGGACGCACAGACAGGAAGCGACGCGGGAGCAGGCCGGGGAGGTGGGGCGGTCGGGAGGAGTCTGGGAGCGGGACTGGGAAGAGCGAGGGGAAGCGGGGCGCGGCCGGGGAGGCAGAGGAAGGGGCGCCGCGGCCCGGGGGTCCCTGCCCGAGGGGGCCCGCGCCCGCCCGCCCTCCTGCGGGCCGCGCCCGGCTCCGCGCCCGCCCAGCCCGGCCTAGGCCCGCGACTCCCGGCGGCCCGGCCCGGCCCTGCCGGCCTCACCGCCCCCACGGCTTCCTGCAGCAGCGCCCCGAGCCGGCTCAGCATGATGGCGCCCGGCCCCCGGCTCCCGGGCGAAAGCGGCGGCGGCAGCGCTCTAGGCGGAGGAGGCAGCCCCGTGGCCCCGGCGGCCCCGGCGCGACGAGGGGGGCGGGGCCCGGCCGCTCCGCCCCTTCCCGGCCCGGCTGCGTGGCGCTGGCTAACCCCGGCTGGGGGCGCCCAGTCGGGCTGGGAACCGCCAGCGGTGGGCCCTGAGAGTTGGCTGGGAGGTGTTTTTTTTTTTTTTTTTTTTCTTTCCTTTCTTCCGAGACAGGGTCTCGCTTGGTCGCCCAGGCTGGAGTGTAGTGGCGCGATCTCTGCTCATTGCAGCCTCCAACTCCTGGACTCATGCGATCCTCCAACCCCGGCCTCCAGAGTAGCTGGGTCCACAGGCGCGCGCCACCACGCCTGGCCAATTGTTTTTTTTTTTTGTTTTTTTACTGGGAGGGGAGGTCTCACTGTGCTGCCTAGGATGATCTCCAGCTCCTGGCCTCAAGCGACCCTCCCGCCAGGGCCTCCTGAGTAGCTGGGATTAAGGCGGGAGCTAAGGGAGGTGTTTTCGAAGAGAAATTACAATTCCTCCTGAATTGAAGTCTCAGTCAGCCCCAGGCACATGGGCTGATGAGCTCCTGAAATGTGCTGGTCCCAACCAAGATGTGCCGTGCCAAGCACACCCCGATTTGGAAGATACAGTAAGAAAGGAAAGTGTGAAACTGCAACAACCATGGCTTATATTGATTACATATTGAAATGACTATTAGGTGTGTTGGGTTAAATAACGTATATTGTTAAAATTAACTTCACGTGTTGCTTTTTACTTTTTTGACAGGGCTATCAGAAAATGTTTATGGGCTGTGGGCGGTGGCTCACACCTGTAATCCCAGCACTTTGGGAGGCCAAGGCGGTTTGATCACTTGAGGCCAGGAGTTTGAGACCAGCCTGGCCAACATGGTGAAAACCCGTCTCTACTAAAAATACAAAAAAATTAGCCAAGCGTGGTGGTATGTGGAGGCTAAGGTGGGAGAATCACTTGAACCCGAGAGGCAGAGGTTGCAGTGAGCCAAGATCGTGCCAGTGCACTCCAGCCCGGGCAACAGAGTGAGACCGTCTCAAAAAAAAAAAAAAAAAAAAAAAAGTCTGCAGCTGAGTGTGGTGGCTCAAGCCTGAAATCCTAGCACTTTAGGAGGCCAAGGCTGTTGACCAGCCTGGGCAACATATGAAGATCCTGTCTTGACAAAAAATAAAAATACAAAATAACCAGGTGTGGTGGTATGTGCCTGTAGTCCAAGCTGCTCGGGAGACTGAGGTGGGAGGAGGATCACTTGAACCCAGGAGTTCGAGGCTGCAATGAGCTATGATCGTGCCCCTGCAGTCCAGACTGGGTGACAGCAAAATAGTGTCTCTCTAAGAAACAAAAACCAGTGTCTCTGCTTATCACTGACATCATATTGTGTCCGGAATTGGTAGGTTCATTGGTCTCACTGACTTCAAGAATGAAGCTGTAGACCCTTGCAGGGAGTGTTACAGCTCTTAAGGTGGCACGTCTGGAGTTTGCTCTGATGTTCGGATGTGTTTGGACTTTCTTCCTTCTAGTGGGTTCGATGGTCTCGCTGGCTTAGGGGTGAAGCTGCAGACCCTCGCGGTGAGTGCTACAGCTCTTAAGGCGGCGCGTCTGGAGTTTTTAGTTCCGCCTGTTGGGTTCGTGGTCTCGCTGACTTCAGGAGTGAAGCTGCACACCTTTGCCGTCAGTGTTACAGCTCACAAAAGCAGTGGGAAACCCAAAGAACGAACAGCAGCAACTTATTGCAAAAAGTGAAAGAAAAAAACTTCCACAGTGTGGAAAGGAACCCAAGCGAGTTGCCACTGCTACCTTGGGCAGCCTGCTTTTATTCTCTTATCTGGCCCCACCCTCATCCTGCTGATTGGTAGAGCCCAGTGGTCTGTTTTGACAGGGCGCTGATTGGTGCGTTTACAATCCCTGAGCTAGACACAAAGGTTCTCCACGTCCCCATCAGATTAACTAGATGCAGAGTGTTGACACAAAGGTTCTCCAAGGCCCCACCAGAGCAGCTAGACACAGAGTGTCGATTGGTGCACTCACAAACCCTGAGCTAGACACACGGTGCTGATTGGTGTGTTTACAAACCTTGAGCTAGATACAGAGTGCCCATTGGTGTATTTACAATCCCTGGGCTAGACATAAAGGTTCTCCACGTCCCCACCAGACTCAGGAGCCCAGCTGGCTTCACCGAGTGGATCCCGCACCGGGGCTGCAGGTGGAGCTGCCTGCCAGTCCCGCGCCGTGCTCCCGCGCCGTGCGCCCGCACTCCTCAGCCCTTGGGTGGTCGATGGGACTGGGCGCCCTGGAGCAGGGGGCGGCGCTCGTCGGGGAGGCTCCGGCCGCACAGGAGCCCACGGAGCGGGTGGGAGGCTCCGGTATGGGCGGGCTTCAGGTCCCGAGCGCTGCCCCGCGGGAAGGCAGCTAAGGCCCGGTGAGAAATCGAGCGCAGCGCCGGTGGGCTGGCACTGCTGGGGGACCCAGTACACCCTCCGCAGCTGCTGGCCCGGGTGCTAAGCCCCTCATTGCCCGGGGCCTGCAGGGCCGGCCGGCTGCTCCGAGTGCGGGGCCCGCCAAGCCCAAGCCCACCCGGAACTCCAGCTGGCCCGCAATCGCCGCGCGCAGCCCCGGTTCCCGTTCGTGCCTTTCCCTCCACACCTCCCTACAAGCTGAGGGAGCCGGCTCCGGCCTTGGCCAGCCCAGAAAGGGGCTCCCAAAGTGCAGCGGTGGGCTGAAGGGCTCCTCAAGTGCCGCCAAAGTGGGAACCCAGGCAGAGGAGGCGCCGAGAGCGCTGTGAGGACTGCCAGCACGCTGTCACCTCTCAATATGACGAGAGGGAAAGGAATCAGTTTCCCTCGGGAAGGAAGAATAGCCCCTGTCAGAATTATAGAACCTAGAGTTTTGGGGTCTCGGGCTTCACAGGACCTGCCTCACCTTTTAGGACCCATTCCCCAGTGGGGCTGAGGCACAGGAAATGCTGACCTGCCCAGAGTGGGCTCTGTGCTGTGGTGTGGAGCCTGCAGTCCAGACTCTGAGCCAGGGTGGCCAGTGTCTGGGCCTCAGGCCCTGAGGAGGGCCAGGGTTCAGCCAAGCCCAGGCTGAGTGAGAATTGATTGGGACCTCAGTTCTCTGACAGGTGGGAGTTCCAATTCAGTCTCTGCAGATTTCTAGGCCCACCTCCTCACAGGTAAAGGACCCAGGCTGGATAGGTCAAATCAGCTTGCTTCCCTTCAGCATGTCTCAGAGGACTCTAGGGGATAATGAAAGTACATCAGGAGTTCATAACCTTTTATTCGACTTAACTTTTTACATGTTATTTTTAAAACTCTAATAAAAGTCAGTGTACACACTACATGTGTTATAGTCCAGAAATATCAAAGACCATGAGGTTTTATTAAATTCTGAGGCCAGGTTAGCCCATTTAGGGGAAGACCTTTGAAAAAAGCCTCTCCTATCAGCTTAAATGAAGAGTTGAAGATGATTTCACGGTAAACTGAGTTTTATGTATTCTTTTTTTTTTTTTTTTTTTGAGGAGTCTCGCTCTGTCGCCCAGGCTGGAGTGCAGTGGTACAATCTTGGTTCACTGCAAGCTCTGCCTCCTGGGTTCACGCCATTCTCCTGCCTCAGCCTCCCAAATAGCTGGGCCTACAGGTGCCCGCCACCACGCCCGGCTAATTTTTTGTATTTTTAGTAGAGACAGGGTTTCACCGTGTTAGCCAAGATGGTCTGGATCTCCTGACCTCGTGATCTGCCCACCTTGACCTCCCAAAATGCTGGGATTACAGACGTGAGCCACCACGCCCAGCCCCTATGTATTCATTTTTTTTTTTTAGATGGGGTCTTGCTATGTTTCCCAGGCTGGTCTCAAACTCTTGACCTCAAGTGATCTTCCTGCCTCAGCCTCCCGAGTAACACGGGTAAGCTGCTTTAAACATGCAAGGCATGAAGGCCAGATTCAAGGAGAAGGCCATATGGCTGGGTGCGGTGGCTCATGCCTGTAATCCCAGCACTTTGGGAGGCCAAAGCAGACAGATCACCTGAGGTAGGAGTTTGAGACCAGCCTGGCCAGCATGGTGAAAACCCCATCTCTACGAAAAATGTAAAAAATTAGCCGGGCGTGGTGGTGGGCACCTGTAGTTCCAGCTATTTGGGAGGCTGAGGCAGGAGAATCGCTTGAACTCAGGAGGTGGAGGTTGCAGTGAGTTGACATTGCACCATTGCACTCCAGCCTGGGTGACAAGAGAGAAACTCTGACTCAAAAAAAAAAAAAAAAAAAAAGCCATATAGTCAATGACTCTCAATGTGAAATAATTTGCTCATGCTTTAATTTTTTCATTTTTTATTTATTTATGTGTGTGTTGTGGGGAGGAGGCACTGAGAGGCTCTTCCTAAGGCTTTGTTTTAGGGACAAAGAGCTCCAGTCTGAGCTGCTCTAATTTTTTTTTTTTTTTAATTTTAGTAGAGATGGGTTTTCACCATGCTGGCCAGGCTGGTCTCAAACTCCTGACCTCAGGTGATCCACCTGCCTTGGCCTCCCAGAGTGCTGGGATTACAGGGGTGAGCCACCGCGCCCAGCCTTCTTTTTTTTTTTTTTTTCCATAGGTTATTGGAGAACAGGTGGTGTTTGGTTACATGAATAAGTTCTTCAGTGATGATTTGTGAGATATTGGTGCACCCATCACCCGAGCGGTATACACTGCACCCAATTTGTAGTCTTTTATCCCTCGCCCCTTTCCCACCCTTTCCCCCTGAGTCCCCAGAGTCCATCGTGGGTTTTTTGTTTGTTTTTTTGTGACAGAGTCTTGCTCTGTAGCCCAGGCTGGAGTGCAGTGGCACGACCTCGGCCTACTGCAACCTCTGCCTCCCAGGTTCAAGCGATTCTCATGCCTCAGCCTCCTGAGTAGCTCGGATTACAGGCGTGTGCCACCATGCCCAGCTAATTTTGTGTATGTTTAGTAGAGACGGGGTTTCGCCATGTTGCCCAGGCTGGTCTCAAACTTCTGAGCTTAGGCAATCCTCCCGCCTCGGCCTCCCAAAGTGCTGGGATTACAGGCTTAAGCCACTGCGCCTGGTCCCTTGTGACGTTCTTATGCCTTTGCGACCTCATAGCTTAGCTCCCACTTATGAGTGAGAACATATGATGTTTGGTTTTCCACTCCTGAGTTACTTCACTTAGAATAATAGTCTCCAGTGCCATCCAGGTTGCTGTGAATACCATTAGTTCATTCCTTTTTATGGCTGAGTAATATCCCATCATGTATATGCTCTAAATTCTCATGAATTGAAAATCCTTTGGGACCTAGGGTCAAACCTGCCCGTACTACATACAGTTCCCAAACCCTGTCTCCAGCACCCCTTAGGGTTCAATGACCTTGACATTTTCCCGAACAGCCTGGGAGCTCTTTTTGGACAACGGGCACGTCAACCTGGTCACTGCTGTGTTCCCCATGCTCAGAGCAGGGTTAAGCCCCCCAGCAGTTTCTGAATGCCTTGTATTGGGTATGTGTGCAGAGCCCATTTCTTTCTGCCCCTCCTAGTCTGCCCTCCTCTGCTTCTCCTTCACAGACAACAGTACCTATTGGGAAAGTCCTAGAAACCTGAATCCTGTCACCACTCTCCACTCATTGGTTTCCTGTAGCTCTGGGCTTCAGAGGAATTGTCTCTGTCCCACCATTTTCTCATTTGCTAAGAAGATGACAGTGATCTGTTCTGTTGACCTCATAGGTTTGCTGAAGGGATAAAATGATGTTGTGGATGCAACAGAACTCCTACAATGTAAAATAATCGTTCACATTTGAGGGGTTCTTATCCACTTTGCTTATTTCAGCCACAGGGGCTAGGAACTCAACCAGGGTACTCAGGCTAGGCCCCAGCTCCAGTCGCAGGTTCACAAGTTGCGCACCCTCCAACTCACCTGGTCCCTCTGACTGCACGCCTCTTCATGTGCCCACACATGGTTCTGCTCCAGCCAGGTGGGGCTGGCCCCTCCCCACGTAAGCACCCACACCTGCAGGCAGTCCTCCTTCTGGTCTTCCCGTCAGATCCGCAGCCCCTCTCCCACCTCCCACCCGCAACACGCAATTCCCTGTCTTTTCCCCTTGGGAGGCCTTACCAAGTCAACCAAGACCAAATTCCCATCTTCCTCCCTTGGCCTCCACTTGACTCGTCCTCCAACTGCCATTTCTCCATTCCTTAGTTTCCCCTGCCTGATTCTTGGCAATCAGCTCACCACACACTCACATCCTGCTGACCTTTTCTGTGTTCGGCCTCCCCATTGAACCATGAGCACCCTGCCCCTTGGGAGGGACAACCATGTCTGATGTTGAGCTTGGCTACCAAGGCGAGCACGTTGGGATTTGGTGGAGGGCTGGGGCAGTCTTTCCTCCCAGCCAGTTCTCTACCAGCCTCCTCCCTGAGGTGTGAGTTCCCTCTGGCCCCAAACACAAGGGTTCCTGCCCCCATCACAGAGTCCCTGAAGGAGAGGCAGACAGGCCCCTGTCTAGACAGCCCCTGCTTCTGTGGCCCAGGCTTGGGGGAAAGAGTACTGCGGGGCTGTGTCTCCAGCCCTCCAGCCCTAGGCGGCCCCTGCATTGGAACCCTTGCTCCCAGGGCTTCCCTCTGCCTGATATGGCTTGTCTCGTTCACCCAGGTCTGGTGGCTCATAAGGAAAAGACAGATGTAGGGACCCAATGCAACCTTTTAATTCCAAGCAGAGTCCCCCTCCCCCAGCATGGTCACACACACAGTGGAAAGGGATGTCAGGGTCTGGGCAGGAGCAATACCCAGACCTGGGCAAAAATATAGATATCATTATATACACACGTGGACTGGAAAGAAGTCAAGCTGGGGGTGTAAGGTAGGGCAGGGGCAGGTGAGGAAAGCAGCTGGGGGGGCCCCAATAAATTACATTCTTGAGAGAGCATAGTGTGTGGGGGGGTGCGTGGGTGTAGGTGAGAGCTGGTAGCCAGGACACTCCAAAATGTGCCAGGCCTGGCCTCTTGACCCCATCCAAGGGAGGCGGAAGGCCCAGCTTCTGCCCGGTGCCTGGCTTAGTGCTGGAATTCCCATTTCGTGGCCTGGAGGCAGGTGGAGGGCCAGGATCGTGTGTAGGCGGCATCTCCACCCTAAGCCCAGGCTTCTGGGGAAGCCGCAGGGCTGGAGCAAAAGGCTTGGAAGCTCGGGGTTTGCGAGCGGAGGTCAGGGCAAGCTGAAGTGGAGGGGTGACCTCCCTGCCGGAGGCTGAGCTGGGGCCTGTTCCCACTAGAGTCAGAGGAGCAGGAGGCTGCAGTGCAGGAAAGCTGTCAGGAGTGAGTATGGGAGGGCTGGGTGGGCGACACAAGAGCCTGGAGCTCTTTCTGCCTGGCCGCTTCCCACCCCTGCATCTTCCCTCCAGCTGTTCAAGACAGCCAACCGGCCTAACCACCAATGCCCCTCATTCCTCCTCACCCTCTGGGGTGAGGGGCAGGGAGAGGGCGCAAACATGAACTCTGTGTGCCAGAGCCCAGACTGGCTTTGCCCTGTGCAGGGAGGGCCAGGGACGAGAGCAGGAGGCCCCCAGCCTTGTGAGGGGGAAGAAAGTCCATAGCTCACTGCCGGGGACTGCAGAGGTTTTGGCCCCCCACTCTACCTGAGGAAAGGAGCCCACCCTATTTCCACCCCACCTCCTGCCCCTCCCAACCCGCCGGGGAAAAACCCTGAAGCAGCAGGGGTAAGGGGGCCGTCCCGGAGCAGGTGGGGGCCATCAGAAGAGAGAGGCCTTCTTCTTGAGCTCATTCCGCTTCCACAGAGCCAGCTTGCCAAACTCTTCAGGGGACATGGCAAATACCCTTGAGAAGTCCTCGGCAGACAGATGCCTCTACATGGGGGAATCGGGGCAGCTCAGCATGGAGGGGGAGGGGGCTGTGCCCAGTGACCTAGGGGACACTCACTCATAGAGGCCCCAGATCTTCCCCCAGGCAGGAGAGTGCCCGTGGACAGCCCCGCACCCATCCAGGGCATCTTCCTTGCCTACCTCAAGCCGCATCCGATCCACCCCCGGTGGCAGCTTGGTTCGCCCCTTGTTGGTCACCACTAGCATTTCATAGGGATAGATCTGGGGGTGGGGGGAGGGGCAATCTTAGGCTCACAGAATATCCTGTCCTTCGACTCCCTAGGCCTCCCACATCAACCTGCAGAGGCCACTGGGGTTCATGCCATCTTGCCCTCTGTCTCCCCCAACTTCCCTGCCATCCCTCCCATCTTCAACACCAGGAAGACCCCGCAGCACATTCCACTTGCCTGGCATCTCCCCAGCCTCCCGCCCCGCTACAGGCGCTTGTGTCCCCTGCCCCTCACCTTCTGCTCCAGCACACAGGGCAGGGAGTTCCCCCGGTCCATCCTCCCCCTCTGGCCCTCTCCGTTCTGGGGAGACCAAAGCCGCAGTGAGCCAGAGCGGGGCAGGGAGACCTTCCCAGCCTTACCCCGGCTTCTTCTTCTTCACCAGGCAACTCTGTGGCCCCACACCCCCCTTCCCCTGACACTTTCGGGTGCCAGGACCCAGCTTCTGCTGCTCTGCCTGTTCCCCTCCAGGAGGCACTCACCTGCAGGCCTGCGGGAGAGAAGGGGCATGGGTCAGATGCAGCTCTGAGGTCAGCAGGCCAACACGCCTGACCTCACCAGACCCCTGCCCACAGCCCAGACCCCGGCTGCCCAGGGACCTGTGTAAGCCCCTTCTCCAGACCCCGGCACCAGGCCCCACTTCTCACCTGGGCTTCCAGTCTCACTCCCTGATGGGCTGAACTCTGTGGACTGTAGCTAGAAAGGACACAAAGGAATCAGAGGCAGTCGGGGATATTCACCTTTGGTCCCCTTCACTTTGGGGGTCTCCCCGCTCCCTGAGGGTGCCCAAGTGGCTCAGTCCCTCAGCACCCCACATGCACGTTCCTCCCACGTAGTCTATATCTCTGGTCCTGAGACCTTACCCGGCTCAGGGTGGTCCTGCCATAGGCGGGGAGAGAGGAAGATTTAGACGTTCCCTGGTGCAAGGCTGGAAGACAGCAAAAGGTCCTGAGTTCAGTCCCTTTGGCCCTGACAGCCCTTCCTGAGACAGCAACCTCACTGGCCTTCCACAGCTGGGGCAGGGCAGGAAGGGATCACGCTGGGGGGAACCTGGTGGGCTTCTGCTAGCTCCCAGCTCCTACTGGTCACCTTCAGCAAGCAATACAGTGCTGGTGGTTCTCAGCTGTCTCTACCACCATCCCTCTTCTCTCCAGCTAGAAGTGGCCCAAATATACAACTGGGCCCAATGCCTGATGTGAAAATTGAGTCAGCCAGAGCCAAGGCTCACATCATAAAATGAACCTCTGGGATACACAAAGAAAACTAAAATCGAATCACAATAATTACATTATTATAATTTTATTAACAATGTTAGTAATCAAATCTAAAAAAAAAAAATTTTTTTTTTGGCCAGGAGTGGTGGCTCATGCCTGTAATCCCAGCACTTTGGGAGGCCAAGGTGGACAGATCACCTGAGGTTGGGAGTTCAAGACCAGCCTAACCAACATGGAGAAACCCTGTCTCTATTAAAAAATACACCGTGCCCGGCCAAAAATTTTTAATAGAGATAGGGTCTCACTATGTTGCCCAGGCTGAACCTGAACTCCTGGACTTAAGTGATCCTCCTGCCTTTGCCTCCCAAGTACTGGAGCTACAGGCATGGGCCACCTGCTCAGCTAGTATTCATATTTGTTTGTTTGTTTATTTATTTATTTTTGAGATGGGGTCTCCGTGTGTCATCCAGGCTGAAGTGCAGTGGTGTGATTATAGCTTTCTGTAGCCTCAACCTCCCAGGCTCAAGTGATTCTCCCCATCTCAGCCTCCTCAGTAGCTGGGACTAGGGGCATGCGCCATCAAACCCAGCTAATATATATATATATATATATATATTTATTTATTTATTTATTTATTTTTATTTTTTGTAGAAACCAGGCCTCACTATGGTACCCAGGCTGGTCTTGAACTCCTGGGCTCAAGCAATCCTCCCACCTTGGCTTCCCAAAGTGCTGAGATTATAGGTGTGAGCCACTATGCTTGGCCTAGTAATCAAATTTTAAAAGTCTGACATTAGGCTGGGCACAGTGGCTCACACCTGTGATCCCAGCATTCTGGGAGGCCGAGGTGGGTGGATCACGAGGTCAAGAAATCAAGACCATCCTGGCTAACATGGTGAAACCCCGTCTCGACTAAAAATACAAAACAAATTAGCCGGGCGTGGTAGCAGGCACCTGTAGTCCCAGCTACTTGGGAGGCTGAGGCAGGAGAATGGCGTGAACCTGGGAGGCGGACCTTGCAGTGAGCGGAGATCACGCCACTGCACTCCAGCCTGGGTGATAGAGCGAGACTCCATCTCAAAAAAAAAAAAAAAACAGTCTGACATTATACTACAGAAAGAGTCATGTTCTAAGCACTGTCACTGGGGATTGTACCAGCAGTCAACAACTTCACATCAGCATTACTGGACCTCAGTCTCAACTTGCACATTTAATAGGATCTCTAAATTCTGAAGTACTACAGATTATAATTCAGGAAAATTTGTTTCCAGTAATATGTTTTCCTGGAAATAACTTTGTACCTAAGATCCTTAGCTTGAGGTGATCTCAAAATGCCTTCACCTCCAATTGCTGGAAATGGCTGGCATTTATACCAACTGTTTCCACAAGCATTTTTGTATAAATAGTTAACCTCCATAGATTCAAAACTATGAGGAACTATCTTAATATATACATATATATGTATATATTCACATATATACATATATATGAATATATGTATATATGTATATATATATTTTTTGTTTTTTGATACAGAGTCTCACTCTGTTGCCTAGGCTGGAGTGCAGTGGTACAGTCTTGGCTCACCACAACCTCTGCCTCCCAGGCTCAGGTGATTCTCCTGCCTCAGCCTCCTGAGTAGCTGGGATTACAGGCACGCGCCACCATGCCCAGCTAATTTTTGTATTTTTGTTAGAGACAGGGTTTCACCATGTTGGCCATGCTGGTCTTGAGCTCCTGACTTCAGGTGATCCACCTGCCTCAGCCTCCCAAATTGCTGGGATTACGGGTGTGAGCCACTGCACCCAGCCTCTTCTTAAAATACTCTTATGAAATCTGTTGCTTGGAAGCATTCGATTATTGAGAACAAAACCTCATTTTTACCCCTAACACTTATTTTTATTTAGAAAATAGCTTTCACAATCACCATTCACTATTGAAGCATTTCACTCTTAGAATAATAAGTACACATTTATTCAACCAACTGATAGAATTTCAACCTTCAAACCCTGCACGAAGATTTTCCCCTCCAAATTACTTCTATTATAAAATGCTTACGTGTGTTCCAGAGCGACTATTCCAGTGTCACCATTTAATCAGAATGACATGCCTGTTCATGATTCTAGAATTCAGGTTGTTTAAATATGACAGTAACCTATGCAGTCATGTGATCATTAATCACCCACAAGTTCAGGGACGCCAAAGATGATCCAGAGGTAGGCATCTGGCTATTTCAACTTCACGAGGCCAAAATGGAAGTTAAAGAGCTAATCTGGGCTGAACAGAAGATTCTGGCAGAACACTGACACTGAATCCAACCTTCACGCATCCTCTCTCCACATCATTCTTTAGGCCTTAACTCTTTATTCCACATTCTCTAATAAACCTCTGTAGCTCTTCCCACCCACAGAGACAGCATCCTGAGAGCTCTGGGGAACACTCAGATGTCCTAACCACATGTTAACCTTGAATTCCCCAGTTCCAGTGGTTTTCACCTCTGCTCCACATGAGATAACCCTTTCAAAGAGCCATGCCCAGGATCTTGTCATCAGCTGCACCACGCTGCCTAGAAACTGTGAGCTTGGACCATTCACTTTGTGGCTTTGGCTCAGCTCCATCCCCACCACCCAGCCCAGCAACCTCATGGAGAACTCCAGTTTCTTCATTCCCCTCCTACCTCCCCCACCTCCCACCTTCTGTCACTACCTTCTCAGTTTCGGCTCTGTGGCTGGGCACAGCAACTACTTTTATCAGCTCCTCCATGGTGCAGCCTGGCCCCTCAGCACCTATCCTTAAAAACGCTAACCCAGGGTCAACCCAACAGCTCCCATCCTGCCCCCAGCTGTGGACATACAGCCCACACAATGTAGATGAGCATCACTACAAAGGCCAAGCCTCGCACGTTTCTCCTCCCCTCCACGGCAGTTCCAAACCCTCGCCATTCTCACCAAGTCTCACCCTCTAACGCTCAGCAGACAACCTCGGCTTCTCATCTGGCCTGCCCCTGGATCCAAGTTCCCATCCCACAGGGGAGGCCTTTGAAGGCCAGCCTCCCACACATTCTGGGGCTCGATCTCAACCAGTCCTCAAACCAGCCCTCTAATATATATATATGTATATGTGTGTGTGTGTGTATATATATGTCACCCAAAAAAGAAAAAATAGGACACCCAGGTGTCACCCAAAATAGTGTGTATATATATGTCACTATATATATATGTCACTGTATATATGTGTATATATGTCACTATATATATCGTGTATATATATATATAGTGACATATATATATACACACACACATATATACATATATATATACAATTAGAGACAGGATCCCACTCTGTCACCCAGGTTAGACTGCAGTGGCGCAATCATAGCTCCCATCTTAGCCACCCAACTAGCTGAGACTACAGGCACATGCCACCACTCCCAACTAATTTTTCTATTTTTTATAGAGACAGTGTCTCACTACGTTGCCCAGACTGATCTTGAACTCCTGACTTGAAGCAGTCCTCTCACCTCAGCCTTCCAAAGTGCTGGGATTACAGGCATGAGCCCCGACTGGACCTTTAATGGAAGCCCTAGGCACCCTTCCCTCCTCTCTCTGTACAATCTTACTTTCTCCTCACCATTTTCCTGCCACATATGAGCAAGCTGAAGACCCTCAAGCTCCCAACTCTGCCAGATGCACCTTCCACCCACAGTGCTGTACATGGGGCACTTCAAACCCCACATGTCCAAAACCAGTCTCTCATCTTTCCCTGAAAATCCGCCTCTCTTATTATCTCAGTTCCAAGTTGGTCATCACCCAGCACCCAAGACAAAAACCTCAGCTTCTCTCTCTTGCACCTCCCACGTCCAATCAGCCACTGGATTCGATCCAGCGGATTCAATTGTCTATATGTTCTCAAATCCATTCCCTCTTCTCTGGACCCACATCGTTTTTTAGCCCTTATCCAGTCTATTGGAGAGTGTGGTAGATTATTTCCAAAGATGGCCTGCACTGTTGCCTCCCATCTTTCATGCTTTCTGCAATGAGACCTTGTGGTACCTGTCATCAAGAAGTGGAGTCTTGGCTGGGCGCAGCGGCTCACGCCTGCAATCCCAGCACTTTGGGAGGCCAAGGCAGGTGGATCACCTGAGGTCAGGAATTTGAGAGCAGCCTGGCCAACATGGCGAAACCCCGTCTCTAATAAAAATACAAAAATTAGCTGGGCATGGTGGTGTGTGCCTGTAGTCCCAGGTACTCGGGAGGCTGAGGCAGGAGAATTGCTTGAACCTGGGAGGCAGTGGTTGCAGTGAGCCAAGATCACACCATTGCACTCCAGCCTGGGTGACAGTGAGACTCTGTCTAAAAAAAAAAAAAAAAAAAAAAATTTAGCTGGGCATGGTGGCATGCACCTGTAATCCCAGCTACTCAGGAGGCCGAGGCAGGAGGATCATTCAAGCCCAGAAGATAGAGGTTGCAGTCAGCCAAAATGGTGCCACTGCACTCCAGCCTGGGCAACAGAGCAAGACCCTGCCAGAAGAAGAAGAAGAAAGAAGAAAGAAAAAAGAAGAAAGAAGAAGAAGAAGGGGGAGGGGGAGGAGGAGGGTCTAGCTCCCCTCCCCTTGAGTCTAGGTGGCCAGTGACTGGCTCTGGCAGCTACAATGAAGAAGTGACACTATGTGGTTTCCTCTTAGGCTTTTTTCTTTTTTTTTTTTTTGAGACAGAGTCTCACGCTGTTCCCTAGGCTGGAGTGCAGTGGCTCCATCTCGACTCACTGCAACCTCCACCTCCTGGGTTCAAGCAATTCTCCTGCCTCGGCCTCCTGAGTAGCTGGGATTACAGACATGCGCCACCATGCCTGGCTAATTTTTGTATTTTTAGGAGAGACGGGGTTTTACCATATTGGTCAGGCTGGTCTTGAACTCCTGACCTTGTGATCCGCCCGCCTCGGCCTCCCAAAGTGCTAGGACAACAGGTGTGAGCCACCATGCCGGGACCCCTCTTAGGCTTTAAGAGGCTTTGCAGCTTTCATTGCTGGGTTTTCAGGTCTTCCTCTCCTCTCCAGCCGCCAAGCTCTGAGGAAGCCCAGGGTAGTGCGCTGGATAGTGGGCCACGCCATTCAAAGCCTGCCCCGCTCCCCATCTCTTGGTCTCACTGCCCACTGCCCCACAGTGTACCCTGTACTCTGTAATTCCAGACTCCTGGAGGCTCAGCCAGCCAGATGTTTCATGTTCCCAATTTCGCTCCCACACCATTCCCAATGTCTGCAATGCGCTCTCCCACTCACTTTTTCTGGCTTGCTTGGTCTCAGCCTTCAAGACTCAGTTTAAGCTGGACGCGGTGATTCACACCTATAATCCCAACAGTTTGGGAGGCCAAGGCGGGATGATTGCTTGAGTCCAGGAGTTCGAGCCCAGTCTGGGCAACATTGTGAGACCTTGTCACTACAGAAAATTTTAAAAATTGGCCAGGCATGGTGACGCACACCTTTAATCCCAGCTACTCAGAAGGCTGAGGTAGGAGGATTGCTTGAGCCTGAGAGGTGGAGTTTGCAGTGAGCTGAGAGTGCACCACTGTATTCCAGCCTGGGCAACAGAGCAAGGCCCTGTCTCAATAAAACAAACAAACAAACAACAAACAACCACAACAAAACCCCTCAGTTTGGCCTCCCAGGCCCTGTTGCTGTGCTCCCAAAGCACCCCGCGCACCTTGATCACAATACCGGCCACACTGCATCGAAATCCCACGTTCCATGACAGTTTCCCCGCCAACAGCAAGCTACCAGAGGACAAGACTAGATTTTTTCCCTGCTTATATGCCCAGTGCCTAGCACATGGTAAACGCTCAATAAATGGTTGTTAAATTAAACCAAACTTGCTGAATTCTATTTTAGCCGATTCTCTCATTTATCATCTGACATTGTTCCATGACTGGGATTCTTGCTCCCAAGAGAGCAGCCGTGCTTTGGGTCAGGGATTGCATCCTGTATGTGTCACAAGTCAACAGATGCACAGAGTCAGGCCTCCATCTCTGGCCAGGTGACTCTGAGCCCCCTCCACAGCACTCACAGGTATGGAAGGGTGTCCGGTCAGGCAGAGAGCGGGTTTTCCTTCGGATCGGCAATGACTTTTCCATCTCTTCTTTCAAGATCATCTTTCCCAAGTTGGAAGTAACCTGAGGAGGGAGAAAGGAAGATGGAGCCAAGACTTAGACACTTGAATGTTTCTTTTTTCTCTTTTTTTTTTTCTTTCTTTTTTTTTTTTTTTTTTTTTTGAGACAGGGTCTCACTCTGTCACCCAGGCTGGAGTTCAGTGGCACAAACATGGCTCACTGCAACCTTGACCTCCTGGGCTCAAGCAATCCAACCTCCTCAGCCTCCTGAGGAGCTGGGACCACAGGCATGCACCACCACACCCAGCTAGCTAATTGTTTTTTTTTTATATACAGATGGGGTTTCACCATGTTGCCTAGCCTTGTCTCAAAATCCTGGGCTCAAGTGATCCTCCTGCCTCGGCCTCCCTAAGTGTTGGGATTACAGGTGTGAGCCACTGTGCTGGGCCAATACTCATTTCTTATCTCTAAAAGGTCTAGAGTTGGGCCATGCTGCAGGCAGGACTGCGGACATTTCCCAAGTGGCTGGTTTGTGCCCTGGAGCTCACAGAGCCTCTTGTTCGTGGCTGACACATGGCCACAATGGGTTTGGCCACCCTTGAAAGCCAGGAGTCAGCGCTGCTTGGTAGAACTCTACCACGGCGGCCTCCCTGTCCTTGTCCCAGGTCACCCTGCTCAGAGCCTAGGCCCATGTCACTGTCAATGGTCTTTCCATGGTTCTCCCTCCTCCCCTGGAGGCCTGTAGCCCATGCTCTCCTTTTCTCTCCTCCCATGGATCACTCAGGCTGCTAGCTCCCAGCTCTGATGGGACCACCCTTTTCTGTGCTTTTGACCCTTATATCAAGTAGTGTCCCCCAGAAAGCAGCATAAAGTCCAGGTGTCCCTTCAAAAGCAAAATCCTGGGGTCTTGGCAAGAAGCGGCTCCCCAACATGTTCCAAAAAGCATGCTTTTCGGGTAGGAACCCCTTCGACTAGCTACAGAGCCAGAACTTCTGTCCCCAGAAAGACACACAGGGTGGGCTGGGCATAGTGGCTCACGCCTGTAATTCAAGCACTTTGGGAGGCCGAGGTGGGCGGATCGCTTGAGGTCAGGAGTTCGAGACCAGCCTGGCCAACACGGCAAAACCTTATCTCTATTAAAAATACAAAAAAAAAAAAAAATTAGCTGGGCGAGGTGGTGGCGTGCCTGTAATCCCAGCTATGCAAGAGGTTGAGGCAGGAGAATCACTTGAACCTGGGAGCGGAGGTTGCAGTGATCTGAGATCATGCCACTGCATGCCAGCCTGGGCAACAGAGCGAGACTCCTGCACAGGGGTGGAGGGTGGGGGTGGTGAGATGCTACCTTACTGAGTTCCTCTCTCTGACGCTCCCTGAGAGCCTTCATCTCCTCTCCAGAGTCGTCATCTTCCTCCTCCTCCTCTTCCTCTGCTCCCCTCCGAGACGCCTTCCGCTTCCTCCATTCTGTCTCTAGGAGACACAAGCAAAGGTGGGGAGGGAGTCACTCGCCATGGGGTCAGTGTGTGTTTACATGGCACAGCCTCTGTGCACTGCTCTGGGCTGGACCTTGATAAGGCCACTACAAAATTTTTTTAAAAAATAAAGTAGGGTCGGTAGATGACTCATGCCTGTAATCTCAACACATTGGGAGGCTGAGGTGGGAGGATCGCTTGAGCCCAGGAATTTGAGAACAGCCTGGGGTAATATAGTCTCTATAGAAAATTATTTTAAAAAATTAGCCCGGGGTGGTAGGGCATGCCTGTAGTCCCAGCTGCTGGGGACACTGAACTAGGTGGATTGCTTGAGCCCAGTAATTCGAGGCTACAGTGAACTGTGATGGAGTCACTGCACTCCATCCTGGGCAACAGAGTGAGATCCTGTCTTAATAAACAAATAAATATTTAAAAATAAAAATAGGCCGGGCGCGGGGACTCACGCCTGTAATCCCAGCACTTTGGGAGGCCAAGGCAGGCGGATCACGAGGTCAGGAGATCGAGACAATCCTGGCGAACATGGTGAAACCCCATCTCTATTAAAAATACAAAAAAATTAGCTGGGCGTGGTGGCGGGCGCCTGTAGTCCCAGCTACTCAGGAGGCTGAGGCAGGAGAATAGCGTGAGCCCGGGAGGCGGAGCTTGCAGTGAACCAAGATTAGGCCTCTGCACTCCAGCCTGGGTGACAGAGCGAGACTCTGTCTCCAAATAAATAAATAAATATAAATATAAATATAAAAATTAGCCAGGTGTGGTGGTGGGCACCTGTAATCCTAGCTACTTGCGAGGCTGAAACAGGAAAATCGCTTGAACTCAGGTGGTAGAAGTTGCAGTGAGCCGAGATCTCGCCACTGCACTCCAGCCTGGGCAATAGAGCAAGACTTCCTGTCTCAACATTTAAAAAGAGAGTCAGGCATGGTGGCTCACGCCTGTAATCCCAGCAGTTTGGGAGACAGGCGGGTGGATCACTGGAGGTCAGGAGTTTGAGATCAGCCTGGCCAACATAATGAAAACCCATATCTACTAAAAATACAAAAAATTAGCCAGGTGTGGTGGTGCATGCCTGTAATCCCAGCTACTCAGGAGGCTGAGGCAGGAGAAATGCTTGAACTCGGGATGTGGCGGTTGTGGTGAGCTAAGATTGTGCCACTGCACTACAGCCTGGGGCAACAGAGTGAGACTCCATCTCAAATAAATAAATAAATAAATAAATAAATAAAATAAAAATACAATAAAATAAGAGTAACATTTTCTCACCTTGCCATGAAGCTGGGTAGGCAACACACACATACACACACTCATGACTGAAATTCAGTGGGTGCAGCAACATGAATGGAACTGGAGGCCATTGTCTTAAGTCAAACAAGACACAGAAAGACAAAGACTGCATGTTCTCACTCATGAGTGGGAGCTTAATAGTGTGTACGCATGGATGTAGAGAGTGGGATGATGGACCATGGCAACTCAGAAGGGTGTGGGGGGTGGTGATGGGAAATTGCTTAATGGATACAACGTGCAGTATTCAGATAACAATATCATAAAAACCCTGACTTCACCACTGTGCAATCTATGCAGGTAACCAATTACACCTGTACCCCATAAATGGATAAAAATAAAAATTAAAATAAAATTCGCTGGGGACCAAACCATCTATCATTTATCTTTCTCTTTCCCAGTGCTCCCCTCACAGAGCCTGGGATGCAGAAGTTTGATACATGTCTGTTGAGTCAGGAAATAAATGAATGGAAAGCAAATGAATGACCAATAAAAGGGCCACTTACACCAAGCGCTATGGGAACACAGAGAGTGAGTGAGCAAGGAGCCTGGGGGCTCCTGAAGGTAGGAAAAAGCCCACGAGGACACCATAGGGCAGGGGTGGGAGTGGGTTCACGGACTGCAGCAAGAGCCAAGGGGAGGGAGTGCAGGAGTTTCCCAGACCACCCATTCCACTCTCCCCATCTCTCCTACCCACAACAGCCAGAGACGGGGGGCATGGCCAGTAGTCGGTTTCGATTTTGGCTGGCTGGTTGGGGTCTGGGGGCTGGGCTGCAGGAAACTTGGATGACTCGATGATGAGATCCTCGATGAGGTGCTTGGTCTGAGGGCTGCCTCCCACGGACTCTGCAGACAAAGGCCAGGGTCAGCCAGGTGTGCCCTGCCCGAGGCCAACTTGGCTACCTTCACCCCTCCCCCCTCACACCTGTGAGGTCCTGCAGGTAAAAGCAGTGTACACGCTGAGCACGGGGCACACGTGCTGCTGTGACATGCTATCCTCCCGACCCCCTCCAGCCAGCCCGCAGCCCCAGGGCACGGCCTCCCAGCATGCAGCCGGAAGCAGGCTCTGGTGAGCCAGGGGCGCCCTCACCTCTCTGCTTATAGATGGGAGGCTTCTTGTAGATGTTGGAATCTGGGCGGGAGGTCTCTGTGGGAGGAAGAACAGATGAGGAGGAGGACATGCTGATGGCAGGGAGGCTGGGGCCAGGAGAATGGAGATGATGGAACGGGACAAGGTGGGGAACTCACTGGCCCCTGTCAAGAGCCAAGACAGGGCTGGCATTCCTGGCACTGCCCCTCAGGGGTTTGGGACATTTTACACTTTTCCGGCTGGGGGAGAGAGAAAAAGTGACAGGTCTCCCATCTCTGGGAGGGGTCCTGGCCTCCTGGGGCCTACTTAGCCCTGAGGCGAGCATATACCCCAGAGAGTGGGGGACTGAGCGTAAGGGGATTGGGGTTCCTGATGGAGAAAGTCTTAGGAAACAATGAGGTCGTGCCGAGAAGACCTACCAGGGTGGTGGAAATGGGGCAGGCTGGTCCGGGGGGTTCCAGTGGTTCTGGGGGCCGAGGCCTGAGAGATGATTCCAGGCGACCGGCTGTCCGCCCACACCTGCAGAGCAGAAGCGTGTGGCTCCAGGGCCCCTAACCCCCTCCAACCCACACATGCACCCCATCAGCTCACACCACCCTCTCTGTCCTCCCATCCTGGCCGGCTGCATCCCTCCAAACCCAGGGCAATGTTGTGGCACAGTTCCAAGGACCTACTGATGGTGCCTGGCCCAGGGAGAAAGGGTTGAGGTCCTGGGTCCGACAGAATGATGGACACAGAGCTGGCCAGTGACAGCCAGGGGGCCGCTGATTCGGGCACTCCCTGGGCTCTGCAGAGCTTGGTCTGATGTGTGAGGGGAGGGAGTTAGGATCCCCTTCAGGGCAGGGCAGGGCAAGTTGCAGGTGTGGGGCAGACTCACCTCTGGGGATGGTGGGGGGGATGTGGATTTGGGTGACAGCGAGCGCTGTGAATGGAGAGGGGGCTGGTCAGAGCTACAGGGGCAGATTCAGCCTCTTCCCTAGAATTCCAGAGAGGCCACCTCATCCCCCACCCAAAGCCGCACACTTTCCTGGCCAGCTTCTGGGCCACCTCTGCTTTCTTGGATCCTTCCCACAGTTCCCTGCACAAAGTCCTCAGCCTTCCCACAGGAGGCACAGAGAAGCACGCGAGCCTTGCTCAGTACTCCTGGGGCTCCAAGGGCACTCTTTTCTTCCTTCCTTCCTTCCTTCCTCTCTCCTCCCCTTTTCTCCTCTCTCCCGCTCTCATCTTTCTTTTAATTTTTTCCTACTTCCTTTGTCCTTTTTCTTTCTTTCCCTGCCTTCCTCCCTTCCTTCCCTCTTTCCTTCCTCTCTCTCTCCACTTTCTTCTCTCTTGTCTCTTATTCTTTCTCCTCTATCCCTCTCTCATCTTTCTTTCTTATAGTCTCACTCTGTTGCCCAGCCTAAATGCAGTAGCTCTATCACAGCTCACTGCAGCCTCCCCTTCCCAGCCTCAAGGGATTCTCCCACCTCAGCCTCCTGAGCAGCTGAAACTACAGGTGCACAGCACCACATCTTGCTAATTTTTGTAGAGATGGGGGTCTCCCTGTGTTGCCTGGACTGGTCTCAAACTCCTGGCCTCAAGTGACCCTCCCACCTTGGCCTCCAAAAGTGCTGGGATTATAGGTGTGAGCCACCGTGCCTAGCCTGGGAACCAGTTGGGGAATAGTTTGTCCTGTCCTCAGAGCCTCAAAACAAATAGAAGAGACAAGACCAAGAAGCATCCAAGGATGAGGTCGGGGTTTATCACGCAGGTACTGAAGTCACCCCATGATCTAGCCCCCTGTCACTGGTCAGCCACGACGCTACCCTGTCTTGGAGGCAGTTGATGAGTACCTGCCTTGCACTGTCTCCTGCACCTTCACTACCTTGCGCGTGGATGGGCAGAAAGGTCACCTCTATTTTACACGAGGGTAAGCTGAGGCCACAACATCACATGGGTCCCTCCGCTAGACTTTCAGCCCCCGCTCTCAATGCTTCTGAACTGTTTCCACAAATCTTGCTCTTTGTGCCTCTTGTGTGTTGCTGCCATCCAAAGGTGTCCACCCCTCTACATCTGAGCCACATGCCAGCCCAGAGACCGTTCTGCCTGCTCTCTTGAACACCGGATGGACTGACTGGTTGGTTCCTGCGCACAGTTCCCTCTCTTGTTTTGCCGAGGCAGACCTCCAGGAAAGGAAGCACGGGAGGGATCGGTCCCCACCCAGTGTGGCTGGGGGGGGCCTCCCCCGGAGTCCTGCCCAAGAGGAGCCCCCTCACCTCGCGGCTGCGAGGCAGCTCCACGTGTTCCAGGAGGGAATAAGTGAAGTGAGGCTCGTAGATCATGAGGTCGGGCCGCTCGATGTCCAGGATGGCCTTGTCCTTGGGGATGGCAGCCAGGTCCTTGTAGCCCAGCACCTGATTGTCCATCTTGGCCTGAAGGGAAAGGTGCGCGTGAAACTGCTGTGCCGAAAGCCCCGCCTAGGACACTGGCCCTGCTAGCTAGACTTACGTCAATTACCAAGAAAATGGACCGCCATTGCAGACGTTAACAATTCTATTATTTTAAGAAATTAGTCACCTTAAAACATGATAGTCCTTTGCCTAGCACTTCGGATTAACGAGGCCAGACCAGTGGAAGGGGGATATGGGAGCTTCTCTGGGTTTCTGGGTTCTCTCTGCCCGCCAGCACCGGAGGGACCACCACTGGGGAGGCTCTGCGGGAAGGCACGCTAGCAGCCAGGGGTCCCCCACCCTCCCCCCTCCCAGCCAGGGGTTGCTGGTGGCCGAGAGGGGTACTCACCACGATGCTGGAGGGAGAGCCAGGCACACTGGAATCTCGGGAGGGGCTCACGCTCCCGGGGGAGGTAAGTGGTTGCTGGGGAGAGCGAGAAGGCGGGCGGGTGGGCACGTGCGTGTGTGCGGGAGCGGGGCGGGGGCGGCCCTAGGCCTGGGGGACCCGGGGCGCTGCGCGGCGCTGCGCGGCGGGTGGCCACCAGGTGGCGCCCTGGACTCCCAAGCGGCCCCCACCCGCCCTCGGCGGCCCCGGCCCGGGGCGGCGCCGCGCACCTTCTGCAGCCGTTCCATGCAGCACGGAGCTCGCCCGCCGGGTCACTCGCAGAGCCCTGTGCGCGAGGGGAGAGGACAGCGTGTCAGGCTCGGCGCGGCTGCTGGGCGCTGCGCGCTTGGGGCCGCGAAAGCAGCTGGCGCGTTCCCCCGGGCTGGCGCGTCCTCATCCCTCGGCGGTGACTCTCCAGGCTGCGGGGAGAAGGGAGGGAGGCCGCGCCGGGGCGGCGTTAGGCTGCGGGGCCTCCGCGGGCGGCCGCTCTCCAGGCAGCCGGGCCCCTTGCGGCTGAGGCTTCCCATCCGCTCAGCCCCGGAGAACGCGCGCGTGGACGGGAGGCGACCGAAGGACGGGCTGCGCTTGTTTTTGAGCCATTGTTCTCTGGCTTCAAAGGAAATGACGGCAGGGGTCAGCCGGCTGCCCGGGCGGAGGCCTCCACGGCCTGGCCCCGCCGCACCTGCCCTCCCCGCCCCGGCCCGGCCTGCGGCCCTGGCTGAGGCCCTCCCCTCCCGGCCGCTGGTCCCACTCCCGCTCGGGGCACTGTCCCCGCCGCCACCTCCCCGCGCTCGCCCAGGAAGGGTTAACACAGAGGGTTCCCTGAGCAGCCCGGCTTCTGCATCCCTCATCCAAAACCTGACATCCGCACTCCGAAACTTTGTGAGTGCCTACCATGACGCACAGGTGGAAATTCCACACGTCAGAACTTCACACAAACTTTGTTTCATGGAAAAAATTATTTTTAAAACACTGCATAGGTCGGGCATAAGTGGCTCACGCCAGCAATCCCAGCACTTTGCGAGGCTGAGGCAGGAGGATTGCTTGAACCCAGGCGTTCGAGACTAGGATGGACAACATAGCGAAACCTTGTCTTTACAGAAAAAATTTTAAAAATTAGCCAGGCGTGGTGCTGGATGCCTGTAGTCCCAGCTACTCGGGAGGCTGAGGTGAGAGGATCACTTGAGCCCAGGAGATCGAGGCTGCAGTGAGCCGAGATCGCACCACTGCACTCCAGCCTGGGTGACAGAGTAAGACCCTGCCTCGTTAAAAAAAAAAAAAAAAAAAAAAAAAAAAGGTCTTGCTCTGTCGCCCAGGCCGGAGCGCAGGGGTGCCATCTCGGTTCACTGCAACCTCCGCCTCCCAGGTTCAAGCGATTCTCCTGTCTCAGCCTCCCGAGTAGCTGGAATTACAGGCGTGTGCCTGGCTAATTTTTGTATTTTCAGTAGCGATGGGGTTTCACCATATCGGCCAGGCTGGTCCTGAACTCCTGACCTCAAGTGATCCGCCTGCCTCGGCCTCCCAAAGTGCTGGGATTACAGACGTGAGCCACCGCGCCCAGCCCTACCTTCCTGCTTTTGACACCTTCCACTGCTCTGTCCACCTCTCTGCCTCTCAGGTGCCTCCAGCCTTCCAGGGCTATCCCAAAGCCGCTCCTCTGGGAGGCCTCCTGTACTAGTCTAGTCCTCATGGATCAACCCTTCTCTGAATTCCAGTGGTACTTAAAAACAGACCAATGTAGCTAAGCACTTGATTACAGGGAACATGTTTTCTCCCTAACTAGACAGACTGCTAATCGCAGGAGGGTGAAAACAACAATAAGAGCTATGTGGGAGGCCAAGGAGAGAGGATGGCTTGAGGTCAGGAGTTCGAGGCCAGCCCGGGCAACATAGGGAGACCTCGTCTCTAGCAAAAATGTAAAAATTAGCCAGATGTAGTGATATGCAGCTGTAGTCATCTCAGCTACTCTGGAGACTGAGGTGGGAGCATTACTTGAGCCCATGATATCGAGGCTGCAGTGAGCTGTGATCACACCACTGTATTCCAGCGTGGGTGGCAAAGAGCTATCATTTTTTGAATGCTCATTATGTGCTAGGTACTTTGAGAAGCCCTTTAAAAGGATTATTTTGTTTCATTGCCCCAACAACCCTATAAGGTAGACCCATTTACAGATAAGGAAACGGGCTCAGAGAGGTTAAAAATTTGTCCAGAGTCGTGGAGCTGAAAATGACTGTGTCTTCAGCACGATTCACAGTGCCTACCTAGTACTCAGTATCAGGTGAGAGTGAGGAAAGCTAGAACCTGCCAGATTCTCAAGTCTGTTTGGAATTCTAGAACCATGGCATCTCCAAAAGAAGACTCTGGCAGGCCGGGCGCGGTGGCTCACACCTGTAATCCCAGCACTTTGGGAGGCCAAGGCGGGCAGATCACAAGGTCAGGAGACTGAGACCATCCTGGCTAACACAGTGAAACCCTGTCTCTACTAAAAATACAAAAAATTAGCTAGGCGTGGTGGCGGGCGCCTGTAGTCCCAGCTACTCAGGAGGCTGAGGTAGGAGAATGGCATGAACCCAGGAGGCGGAGCTTGCAGTGAGCCGAGATTGTCCCACTGCACTCCAGCCTGGGCGACAGAGCGAGACTCCGTCTCAAAAAAAAAAAACCTCTGGCCATCAGAGTCACACAAGGTGTTGGTGCCCATGGAAAGACTCCATTCTGGAACTTTATACTCCTCTCGCCTTCTCAGTACTTGCTTTGTAATGCTTTTAATTAAGCGAAAAGAAGAATAAATTCTGGTACATACTTGAAGAGCTATTAGCTCCCTCTCCTCTCTTATCTTTACTTTGTTTATAGCTAATACCAAACTAGCTATACACTTGGCTTAGGCCTAGGGGCAAATGCTTATCCATGCATGCATGTATCTGTTCATCCATCTATCCATCCCTGCATTCATCTATCCATCCATCCATCCATCCTTCTATCCATCCATCCATTCCTGCATCTATCCATCCATCCATCTCTCCATCCATCCATCCGTCCCTGCATCCCTGCATCCATCCATCTCTCCATCCATCCATCCATCCCTGAATCCATACATCCATCTACTTAGTCATGTATTGTTTTATTCATCCATTCAACAAATACTTTCTGAGCACCTATTCTGCAATGAACACAGAGCAGGACTCTGTGGTAAGTCTTATGGAGAACAGAAAGATGAGTCAGAGGAGCTAAGCTGCTCCTCCAGAAATAAGGCATGCATCTAGATAACTCCCATGCAAAGCAGAAAATTACCTGTACCATATAAGAAAGTATAAAGCACTATGAAAAGTCACAGGAGAGATTCCTCCTGCTGGGGTGTCAAGAGAGGGGAAAGGGTTTATTGGAGGAAGAGGTATCTGAGGTCGGCCTTGAAAGATGCCCAGTTTGAGATCATGCAAAAATGGAAAAAGGGGCTCCTGATAGAGAAAGCAGCATAAGGTGGGGACATGGGGATGCACTGGGCCTGCCTGGGGAACAGCAAATATGGCTGGATTGGAGAGGTCATGAGGTTGAGATGCATTTGGGACAGGAGGTTGAGGCCAAATCATGGAGGCCAGATCATGGAGGCCCTGAACCCAGCCTAGGGTTAGGTCGTAATCTGTTGGCAACAGTGGGGCACAGAAGGCTCAAAAACTTTTTATAAGCAAAGAAGTTACATGATTCAAGCAGTGTTTTGGGAAAATGAATCTGGTGGCAGCCTGAGAGCCAGACTGGACAGGCAGAGGCGATCCAGGTCTGCCGGGAGACCAGCCCGGAAGCTGCAGCAGTAGTTCAGCAGGGCACTGTAAAGATCTAGACTTGGGCAGGAAGGAGAGAGGGCAAATGGGAGAAACCCTAGAGGCAGAATGTGCAAAGCAGGACTGGATCTGGGGTGCCCATGAAGGAGGCTGCAAGTCTGAGAGACTGGGAGAAGGGGAAAGGAGGAAGTCACTTTGACAGGTGGAGGTTGTAGTGGGTGCATCAGGGGAACAGGTAGGAATGTCCAGGAGGAAAGGAACCTACGGAAGAGGCCAGGCTGGAACCAGAGATGTGGGTGCCATTTGCCTAGAGGTGGTAGTTCAAACATGAGATTGCCAAGGGAGAAAGAAGGTTAAAAACAGCATCCTGGGAACCTGGGGAACTGAAAAGAAATAGCCAGAGATGGCACAGTCAGAGAGAGGAAAACTAGATGGCAGCTCGCAGGGGCCAGGAAGTCTCTAGTGAGTCTTTGTGTTTTCAGCAAAGGGTCTGATACACAGTAAATGTGCAAAACATATTGAGAGAAAGAATGGGAGGGAGGGAGGGATAGAGGGAGGGGCTGAGAGAGTAGAACATCATGGAAGCCAAGTGTCACCATGGAGAAGGTGAGGAGAAGTGCTTTTCCTCCAGCTCGAATGTCAGGCCATAGTGGCCTCGTGGTTAGGGATTGGGGGGGTGATGGGGGTGCTGGCCAGGTGGTACAGCCAGGGGGAATGGCCCTTCCAAGAAGTGTGATAGAAAGGCAGGGTCGTTTTGGAGGAGATAAGATTGGCCTAAGGCCTTTAATGTGTTTGCAGACAGCAGAGAGAGAACGGTAGACAGGAAAGACTGAGGCTGCAGGGGGCAGTGGGCACTAGGTGGGTGGAGCAAGACGGCAGCAGGAGGGAAGGGATCAAGTTCACAGCCAAGTACAAGACTGGCTTTGGGAAGAAAGGCTCCCCGGAAACAAAGATGAGCTGGGCAGTGGCTTATGCCTATAACCCCAACACTTTGGGACGCAGAGGTGGGAGAATCACTTGAGCCCAGGAATTCGACACCAGCCTGGGCAACATAGAGAGACCCTATCTCTACAAAGGAATTTTTTTTTTTTTAATTAGCTGGGTGTCGTGAAGTACGCCTATAGTCCCAGCTACTTGGAGGCTGAGGCAGGAGGATGGGTTGATCCTAGGAGGTCAAGGCTGCAGTGAGCTATGATCATGTCACTGCTGCACTCCCTGGAAAGGAGAGGACAGGGAAAGAAGTTGGGTAACAACCATACAGGGCTTCCATTTTCCCAGCAAAAGTGAGAGATGGTGGCCAGGTACAGAGGCTTATGCCTGTAATCCCAACACTTCGGGGGCCAAGGCAGGAGGATCACTTGAGGCCAGGAGTTTGAGGTCTGCCTGGGAAATATAGTGAGCCCTGTCTTTACTTTTTAAAAAATGAAGAATTATCCGGGCATGGTGGTGCACATCTGTGGTCCCAGCTACTTGGGAGGCTGAGGCAGGAGGATCACTTGAGCCCAGGGATTTGAGGCTGTAGTGGGCTATGATTACACCACTGCACTCCAGCCTGGGCAACAGAGTGAGATTCTGTCTCCAAAAAAAAAAAAAAAAAAAAATGAGAATTAAGGTTCTCTGCAGATCTTACAGGTGAGTCAGAGGTTTGGAGGGGTCACTCTGAGGAGCATGTGCAGCTGCACACAGAGAGGGGCAGGAGGGAGACTGGATAACTTCAGTGTGTTCTGGAGCCTCGGGGAGGCCCTGGAATCTTCCTGAAACACCACCGGGGGGAGGGGCACAGAGTGTGAAAGTGGCTATCTGTCAGAGTGGTGGCTACTCAGAGAGGTGAAAGGTGAGTGGCCCAGGGTAAGCCATGTCTCAGGAGTATGTGGTCATATATCCCCATACTCACACGTGCACAAATACCGTGCCAGAGGCACAGGCACTCAGAAACATGATTCAAAATCCTGATGGTCACAGTCATATGAACAGCTGCCATTTATAGAACGTCTGTGTTACAGCTGGCACTGTGCTGGGCAGTTCACATTTTTTCTTTCTTTCTTTCTTTCTTTTTTTTTTTTTTTTTGAGACAGGGTCTCACTCTGTTACCAAGGCTGGAGCACTGTGGCATGATCATAGCTCACTGCAGCCTTGACCTCCCAGGCCCAACCCATTCTCCTGCCTCAGTCTCCCGAGTAGCTGGGACTACAGGAGTACTCCACAACACCCGGCTAATTCAAAACAAATTTTTTTTTTTTTTGTAAAGATGGGGTCTCCCTATGTTGCCCAACCTGGTGTCGAATTCCTGGGCTCAAGTGATCCTCCCACCTCTGCCTCCCAAAATGTTGGGATCATAGGTGTGAGCCCCTGCCCAGCCCATCTTTGTTTCAATTTAACCCTTACATTCCAATCTTGTGGGTTGGCTTGGATTGGCGAGTACCTCGTTTGCACATGAAGAAGTTGAGACTTGAACAAGTTAAGTAGTTGGTCAAGGACACAGTATTGTGTGGAATCTAAGCTCAGGTCTGTCTGATTTCTAAAACCATTCACCAGGATACTACCCAGGCAAAGCTGGTGTGAGTCACTAAGCCTCTGGCCTCTCACCTCTGCTCTGTCTCCAGTCCCTTCCTGCCCACAACCCCACTGCTGGGTCTTGCGCTTTAGCATCTGGGTCTGCTTCCTGGGGTCAGCCAGGGCCCTGCACCCTGGTGCCACCCCCTGCCATTTGTTAGAGAGCATGTTGGTTGATAAATTATTTCCACAGAGGCAGAAATTTTGTCTTACCCCTTGTGGGGCATTTGCACGTAAACGTGGGCCTAGCCTTAAGGCATAATGTTTGTACTGGTTAAATTTTAAGCTGTCAGAAGGCCAGCCGGGAAAATGGGGGTGGAGAAGAGTGTGTGTATATGTGTGTGTGCGTGCGCATGTGTGAGGGGGAGAGAGAGAGAGAGAGAGCGAGACAGAAAGAGAGAAAGAGAGAGAGAGTTTCCTTGGCTTCTCTCAAATCACACCCTGCCTACTCCACCCACAAGTAGCCCTTTCCATCAAAGCTCATTTCTCGCAGGTCAAGTGCCAGCTCACTCCACCTCCTCCCATCCAGACCCCTCTCCCATCCATGCACCCCGCCTGTCTGTGCCTGCATCCCCAAGGTCCCAGCGACCTCCGTGCACAAAGAGATAGAAAGGGCGAGCTGCAGCAGGAAGAGGGGAGGGAGGGAGGAAGAGAGAGCACCACAGAGGAAGGCAGGTCCAGGTGACGGAAGGGACAGCTCAGCTGCCCCTGGCCCTGGTCGGACGCCAGCCAGCCGCTCGCCCTCCATCTCAGCCCCACCCTCCCCCAGCTGTGTGTCCCTGCCTTATCTGAGCCACCAGCCCAGCCCCACCTCACCCACCACCCTCTCCTCTCCACAGCTCCCCAGGATGTGGGTGATAAGACCCGCCCACTGGGCCCTCCGAGTTTGTGCCCACTCATCCTGGCGCGCTCTTCTTCCAGGCAGAAACTGATCCAGACTGTGGCTCCCCTGGACTTTTAGAAATGAAGCCTCCGCAGGCAGAATGGCAACTTCGGGGTGGAGGGCCCCTGGTCTAGCTGTGCTCCTGTTTCCAGCCAACCACTACCTGCTTGGTGGCAGCCCCTGTATACTTGGGACTTTCATACATCGTCTCTAAACCTCACACAAAACGACATTCTCCTCATTTAGAGATGAGCAAAAATGAAGCTGAGAGGTGAACTTGCCGAAGGCCCCCCAAATAGAAGCCAAGCCAGAATCCCTACCCCGGCCTGCCTGAGGCCAAAGCCAAGTGCTCTTTTCAATGAGTACCAAAGATCCCAGTTCAATCAAAATGTGGGACTTGGGGGTCCCACGTGCTAACCTTAGACAGTGGAGCCACCCAGAGTCCTGCTCGTTGATGGCATCTGTAGAAGAGCAGCTGGGAGTGTGGGGGCCTCTGGCTCCGGGCCACACAGGCAGCAGGGTCCAGCCAGGCTGGAGGCCGGCTGGTGCAGACAGTAAGTGAATTATGAAACGAGGCAAGTCATCCAAGCAGGCTGGCGTCGGTGGGCAGGGAACTTTGCCCCGCTTCGCCTTCTCCTGTTCTGTTCACAGTGCGACTGCCTGGCCCTCTCTCCCTTTCTTCCTCCTGTCTTTCTGCTTTCTCTTCTGGTCCCTTTTCTTGGCTTTCTTCATCTTTTCTCCCTCCCTCCCTCTTTCCCTTTCACCCTCTCCCCTACCCAGCCCCACCCCCGCAGTTACTGTGGCAACAATTCAATGCCAGAAATAAAGGCAGAATCCAGCTAGGTCACCAGTTCCCAAAACAGCATCCTGGGTGGGGAGGGGCAGGGAGGGTGGAGCAGTGCGGCGCTGCAGGGCAGGGGCCAGGCGCTCCCATGGGTGCTGTGCATGCGTGTGATGTGGGTGGGGTAGGGCACCTTGCTCCCCGCACCCCCCCGCCACTGGAAAAGGACACCAGGAGGCTGAGGCCTGCTCTGGGCCAGTGGCTCATCAGAGGTGTCCCTTACTTAGGCGAAGCCTGAACTCCAAGTCTGTCCTAAGGCTGGCAGAGCCTGGGGACTCCCTCCTCTTCTCCCACTTTCTCCCTCTCCCCTACTCCAATGTTTTTTACCGTTGTGTCTGCTGGGATGAGGGTTCCCCTAACCCAGCACTACAGGGCACCCTCTCATACTCGGATAAAGGACCAGGCCTGGGTGGGTGGGGAGCCCAGAGTCCCCCTGCTCAAGGCCTGCCCTCCCTTGTTCTCTCAATAACAACAAAACCGGGCCCAGGTGCCCCCTCCTGCCTCTCTAGCCCACCCAGAGACGCATCTGTGCAGCCATCTTCTCCTAGGTCTCTCTCTGGTTTGGTTTCTATGTGCCCTCTCCACCCACCCTCTGAAGAGACCCCGCTTTCTGCTTTCTGCATCCTGCAGCCCCCTCAGGCGGACTGCTTCCCCTCCATTTATAGCTGGTCCTGTTGTACAAGTGGGACTGGCAGAGCTGGGGGAGATGCAGCCTCAATTCAGCTTTCTGGATCCCAGGGCCTCCCTGTTCCAGTCCCACAACACCCAGGAGCTCTAGGAGAGGGATTCTGCAGACATCCACCCACGGGTGGACAACCTCACCCAGGAGTCTAACGCCTGACCACAGAGAGGCCGGCAGCACGGACACAAGATGGACAGGTGGGCACAGGCAGAAGCGCCCGCGCTGAAACCGTTGCAGGACGCATGCACGCGGGGAGACTCCGAAGCCCTGTGTGCCAGCTCATGCCCCCACTCTCCCATCGAGGCCCCCTCACTGTGACACATGGTGCTGCCAACACCCGCTCACACCCACCCACCGGTCCTCTCCCTGGCATCCATCCCAGAGTAGTGCACGTGTACAGCAACATACACAGAGCCCTCCACTTACCCAGCTCTGGAGGCCTTCCCTGGGCTCCCCATTCCCACAGCCCAACTGCCTTCCTTGTCTTGGACCTGTCCCTGCTCCCCTGACTCTCACAACCAGGCAACTGGTCCCTGGAAGGGACACACTGGGTGTGTCTGCCCAAGAAAGGGGGCTGGACCTGCTAGGCCCTGAGGGACAGAGCTAGGGAGGGGGAGCCCCAGAACCCTGTGGGGGCTGCATGTCTGCTCAGCCCTGGCCCCTTCAAGCACCCCAGCGGCGGGCACAGGGGGAGTACTGGGCTTGGGCTTGCAGCTGCGCCCTGCCACAGCCTCACTCTTCACTCAGCCCCACCCCAGCCTGGCCAGCCACTGGCTGGGGGCAGGCTCTCCTCCCACTCCCCCTAAAAAGCAGGCTCCAAACAAACAGCCTCAGGCCCCTAAATGTACTGCTCCAACCCCCAGAGCATGTGGAGTGGTTTTGGGGAGGCCAGCGGGCCAGTATTCAGCAGAGAGGGAATGCTCCCCTGCCCACCCCGTGCCCCCACAGTCCATCCCTTCCATTGCTGGCCTGCTCAGCTAGGTAGGCCAGGCAGAGATGCTGGCAAAGAGGGGATTGGGCTGGGAGCAGTTCTCATCCTTGGGATGAGAACACCCCAGGCCCTCTTCCCCAGATCAGAAGGTTCCATTAGATCAGGCCCAGCTGGTCCCAGGGGCCGGCCCATCCTCCCACTGAACAGGGCCCACAGTGGGCTCCCCCCAGATACCCTGCTGCCACCCAAAGCCTGGCTCGCCAGCAAGCGCTGTGGCCCAGAGTGCCCACAGAGGGGAGGAGAGGCGGAGACCCTGCCACCTACCTCTTCCCAGACAGTGTGGCCCAGACGCTCTGAGGCCACAGAGGCCCGAGAGGCGTAGGCCAGATCCACGGGCTGTCACTTCCCCCAGGAGCCTAGGTAATAGGTGTCTCTTCCAGGAACCCCGCGGCGCTTCCCCGGAGCACAAATAACAGGAAAAATGCCGGCTTAGGGTGGGTGGGCGGGGTGGGAGCTGGCGAAGGAGGGGAGCTGGTCTCGGCTGAGCGGTCTGATCTCCCCTCTGGGCCCCCACCCTCCTTGCCCCCACCCTGCTTCTCTGCAACGCACGGCCGCCTGGATCCCCCGGTGCTGGGGAGTCCTCGTCTGGGGGCGGGAGGGCGGGCGGGCTGCTGGCTCCCCCACGCCCTCCCCGCGCCCTCCCCACTTCCAGCTGATAGCGTGTGGCTGGCAAGGGTGTGTGTGTGGATGTGCGCGCTCTTCCACCAGCGCTGCAGCTCAATCCATTTCAAACAAGAGGAGCATTAACCCAGCGTCATGACAAAGCAGAATCAGCCAGCACTGTCCTCTCCCTTTCCCACACCGCAGTCTGCAGCACTCACACGCACACACACACCCACACGCACCCAGAGCCCCTCAGCCTCCTCCTAAACAGCCAGAGTTCAAGTTGCTGTGGGCGGTGGGTCGAGGGAGGGGGCTACTGATGACCCAGGCGGACAATGCCTGCTTTCTCCAGGCACCTGCACCTCCTACCCTATTCATGACCACCCCACCATCTGACAGCAGCAACTGAGGCCTCTGGGGCCCAGCCTCTTGAGGTGGGGGTGCAGGCACAGGCCAGAATTGGTTACCCAAGGATGAGCTCTCTCCTGGGAGGGTAGAATGGAGGGATGCAACCAGGTCCTCAGTACTGAGACTTGAGCTGGCCCCTCAGTAACCTGAATCCCCTGGGAACTCCAATGGGATGCAGCAGAGAGAGAGAAGGACCCCATCTCTCCCTAGGGTGGCTTCATGAAAAAGGAGCTTCCTGCCTGGTAACCCCTGGGTCCCAGCACAGAATTTACAGGCATGTGCCTTCCCTGTCTCTAGCAAAGCCTCAACCACCCCAGGAGCCTCTCATTGGCCTTTCGGGCCCCCTGGGCAGGATGGGGAAGGACAACAAGCCTTGCCCTCGACCCTCGCCCTGGCCCCAATGTCCTCTCCACCTCCACACCGCAGACTTGCCTACCTAGGCAGCCCTCACCGTTGCCCTGGCAACCCTGCCCCCAGCCGGTCAGCTGATGGTATCAGCTGTTGTTGGGGAAATCTAGAATCTGGGGAGGGGGCTCTGGGGTGTCTGAATGGAGAAGCACAGGGGGAGGGGCTTGAGGGAAGAGGCCAGGAGGGGACAGAAAGTATCTGGCTGGTGGGGACAGAGAGGACAGTAACCTGAGGGATGGGCTCCAGAGAGAAGGGAGGAAGGAAGGAGGCAGGTGGCTGAGAAGGGAGACAGAACACAGGCTGAGCTGCTGCAGCCAGGCGGGGGTGGCTGTGAAGGTAGAGAAAACCTGGGGGTGGGGGATGAAGCATCAGATCCATGGAACTGCAGAGAAAAAGGCCAGGAGAGTGATGTGGGAGGGGGCATACCTTCAATGTGGCAGAAAGGGGCACAGCCTTGGAGGAGGAGCCACTCCAGCCATCGCTCCACAACCAGCCCGGCCTCAGCCCAGCCTCTCGGCTTTCTGTACCTTCAACCCCACCCTTACTTCCCTCTAATCAGAGTCTGAGAGACAGAGGGGAAGCCCCAGCCCCACTCCAGCCCTAGATGATCTCTCTCGGTCCCTCCAGCGGACCAGGTACTTGGGGCTTTGACACCTCAGCCCTTTAGAATTCCTGATCCCCGCCGCACCCCGACCTGGGTTCCTCCCCTGTATTGCCCCTCCCCCACCAGGCCCCACCCCAGGAGAGCTGTCTTCTGGTGCAAGGGTCCCCAGAGGTAGAGTTGGAATGAGCTGATGCCAGGAAGGACAGCTGTGGCCAGGGGCCTGGAACGAGGTGGGTGATGAGGAATGGGTAGAATCGCTGGGCCTGGGAGGAGGGGTGCCTCCTCCTATTGAAGCCAGTGCATGTAGGGCAGAGTAGGGGGAGTCAAGGGGAAAGGGCGGAGGGGAGAAGGAGGGGAGGGTGCTCGGTACCTTCAAGGGCCCAGGGCGTGGGGCAGGAGCGCAGCAGCCTCCTCGGTGACATACACCTCCATCCCTCGGCGCATCTCCTCTCCACCTCCTGTTGCCAAGACAACCTGCCGGCAGCTCAGGCCCGGCTCAGCCGCGGCAGCAGGGAGGGGGGGAGGAGGAAGCTGTGCCTCCCGCTGCCTCTTCCTCAGAGATGGAGGGAGGGGGCCTGAGGGTGGGTCCTCAGTGCTGGGGCTGGGGGTTAGGGGACAGCTTCAGGAGCTAGGGTGCCCAGTGAACCCCACCAAGTACCCCATCCCCCCACTTCCTTTCATAAGGCTCTAGAATTGGCTTTAGGGGTGACCCCAGGAGAACCCTAATTCAGGGCTGGAGAGCAGGCCAGTCTTGAAGAGTATGCAGCACTGGGGAGAGTCCCCACTCCAGGAAGCCCAGTGTGGAGCTCGGGACAATGACAGGCAGCAAGGCAGGGACAGTCCTTGTGCTGAAGGGCCAGAGGGGTTGCTCCGGCAGGGTTCAGAGGCCCCTGGGCGCTGGCTGCACTGGGCACGCGGCTGCGGGCCCCACACCTCTGCCGTCTCTGTGAGCACCTTCACCTGGTCCCAAACCCTCTCTCATTCCACCTGAGAAAACTCAGAGCAAGGGACAGCTCTCTTCCAATTCCTCAAGGCCCCATTCCCACTGTCCCCCACCATGCCTGAGTCTCACATTCTATCGGAATGTCCCTCCATGGGTGGGGCGGGCGGGCCACCTTGGGCAGGAAGAGTGCTCAGCCCAGCCAGGCCTGGACCCAAGGGGACTGCAGAGTGAGGGCTCCCTCTGTCGACCTGAGGAGTGGTAGCTGCCAAGGTCATTTTGCTGCCAGGGATCTGGGCTGTGTGTGTGTGTCTGTGTGTGTGTGTGTGTGTGTATTGGTGGTGGGCGTTCAGAGGGGAGGCAAGGGGACCCTTCTCACCCATGCCATCCTCTGACCCTACCTCGTCACTGTCCTTGTCCCATGGGAAGACTCACTCTGCCTCCGGCCTCCTCCCCCTGGGAAGGCCTCTGACCTCTCAAGGCCAGCTGAACTGAACTCCCCCATGGCTTGTCTGAGAGGGGAGATTCTCCCCCTTGAAAGCTGGCAACACTGAACAACAGGTGCCTGTTGGCTCAGGCCCCAGGCGGGTGGGCTTCCTCAGCTCTGCTCCATACTGAGCAGGCAGGAGGCGGCTGCCAGGGCTCTCATACCTTTGGAAGTTCAGGAGTTCTCAGGACCTTGAGGATGGGCGCTTGTGTCCACAACACGGGGCCAGGATTCCTGTATCTCTCAGGCAGGGGGGTCCCAGGCCCCCCGACGCCCCGTTCTTGGCTCCTTTCCCCACAAGGTCACTGGTGCCAGATGTCCTGGGTGGACTCCGGCCCTGCTGCCTCCTCCCTCCCCCAGGCCCTGTCGATAGGCTTCTCTGTCCACGTCTGGTCTGTCTCACTCCAGTGCCCCCCGGCCCCACCCTACACACCAACCTGCTGGGCGGGGGAGCTATCTAAACATTAACTTCGGGAGAGGTGGAGCCAGGGCACCTGGACACTCAGGGAGGAAGGAAAGGGTGACAGAGACCTGAAGAAAAGGAAGGATGAGGGCCCCAAAGCCACCATTCTCACCAGAGATTGGGAGCCATGTGCCCCTGCCTCCGGGCATTGGACTCTGCTGCCCAGACCCTAGAGCCTCCACTCCTTCAGCATGCTGCCACCAGACCACTGCATCTGGCCCCCGCAAAGCCCCTCACCATCTCCTCCCTGCCACAGCATAAGGACCAAACTCTTCATCATTTGATCCAATCACTTCCTGCCACTTCTCTACACAAATTTCAGCTCCAGCCAAGTAGACGGACTATTCCCCTTCCCTGGAGCACACCTCCCATTTTGCCGCCTTGATTCTCGTGCCCGTTTTTCCTCTCGTCATTTTCCGCTCTGTGCATATTTTCTCCACTGAAATCATCTGAAATCATGCAAACCCCAGACCTTCCACAAAGCCCCCGCAAGCACCCTGGCCTGTGCTCTCTCCTGCCCCAGAACTCACGATGCCTGGGCACACTTTGCAGGCAAAGTGTGGAAGCCGGGCAGAATCTAGAGTGCAGTGCTCACTAGCTGTGAGACCGTGAATGGCCTGGCATTTCTGAGTGTGAACTCATCCACATGTGCTACATGGGAACATCTCACTGCCCTAAAGAAGGATTGCAAGCAAGTATGCCCTGAGTGTGGCCTAGCACATCTCCTGAGCTCGGTACATATTAGTTTCCTTATTCCCAATAATTCTTATCTCCCCTTTCCCTCTTTGGGGACGTACGAAAAAAAAAAGGTTGCTTTGTTATGTCATGTGTAAGAGAGGGTTTTCCAAAAGTCCCACCAAAGAACAAATAATTGCCTTTTTATGGGTTTATCCCTCCAATTAAATTTCAAGTGCCTTGAGAGCTCTATCTTGTCCATGTTTTTTATTAACAGAAGGATTAGCACAGGACTTGAATGTTGTGGGGGGAAAATAAACACTGGGACTAACTGCTTAAGCCCCCGCCCCACCCACGTCTGCCTAAAGAAGGAAGGAGAAGGCAGGATTCTGGCCTCTCTCCTGCCTCTGCCTAGAGGGATGGTGGGGTGTTGGGCCAATGACTTCTTTCTAGGGCTTCAAGTGGTTTATTTCCTCAATAAACATTTACCCTGTGCAACATACTGTGCTGGGCACTGTCGGGGAGGAAAAGATGGACTATTTCTACATCTGGGGCACTTGCTATTTAGCGGAATCATGACAAGCACATACATCATGACAGTTCTGGACAAGCTGTGACATGTACCACAAGGCAAGGGCAAGTGAATGGCTGGCAAGACCAGTGGCAGTGGAGACAGTCGCTCATCCCGGGGTAGTGCCAAGAGCCTATGGAGCAGAGGAGGAGCCTGCGGTCTGGGTGTGTGTGTGTGTGCTAGAGCAGGACACGCCAGGTGGCGGGGACCCTTCAAATGAGAATGGGGACATGCTTGCTTGATAGAGTTCCAGTTTTCCAGTATTCTTAAAGGGGAGTTGTGGGGCTAGGGCCGAATAGGGAGACTGGACAGGGCTGGACAGGAGTCTTAAAGATGACGCTAAGGAGTTTGGCCGGGATAGTGTGGCGTGGGTAGAGCTGTGGTTGATGGTAGGGAAGGTAAGTGGAGCAAACTCGGATGTACTGGACTGGAGGGCAGTGTTGAGAGGCACAGAGATGATGTAGGGAGCGAGTGGATATTTAGATAGATCCCAGTGAGGTCTGGCCACGGTGCAGAGCCCCAGGGTTTGGCAGAGAGCAGTCACGCGCAAGGAGGCGGTGGCTGAGATGCTGAGGTTGCTCAGAGGGGCAGCTGGCAGACAGAGAGCAGAGCGGGAGGGAATCTTGGGTGAGGGTCCTCTGTGAGGAGCTGGGAAAGAGAAGCCAGGCAGGACAGCTGAGGGCAGGCCGAGGGGGGTGGGGTGTGGCTTAAGGAGAAACGGTTCTTTGCCATAGCAAGCGCTTGGGGCTGAAGACACTGAGGACTGAGGCAAGGCTTTCGGCTTGGTCCCTGGAAAGTCACTGTCTCAGCGTCAGAGGGACAGGATTGAATAGAATGATGTAAGTGGAACCAGTTTGTGTGGCCTAAAGAGTGAGTGAATGTCCCCCTCTGATGACCTGCTTGGCTCCCCTCTGCCTCGTCTGGCTGTTTGGAGGACAGGGTGGAGAAAGGGGAGGTAAATTTGTGAGCCATTCTTAGTGAGAGTTCTTGGTAATCCCAAACTGGCGTGAGACTTGAGGCACTGGTGGCCGCTGCCGCCACCTCCCTCCACCTGGTCACATCCTCCCCTAAATGGGTTCGTGTTTCCCCAACGGCAAGGGGCTATTAGCAATTAGCCCCCTGTGGCTACTCCATGCTCACACCTGCATAGACCCAGGCGCTCAGAGGCAAGCAGGGTTGCTGAAGCCAGGTGTGGTCTGAGGACCTGGGGGAAGTCTCCTTCCTTCCAACCGCCTAGATGTGCATGTTAAATCTCCTCTGAAGTGCCATCATTAGGGATCTATTCTTGTGGCTTCTTCCTTTTAGCATCTTCGAAGTCACCACCAGTTCAGGGGGAATGAGCTGAACAGACTTCCAGAGCCTGAAGACCCACCTGGGGAATGGCAGTGCCTGGACACTGGGCAGAGGCGCCGAGAGGTGTGGTGAGGAGAAGGCTCAGTCAGAGACCAGCCAGGGACCCAGGGACCCAGGGACCCAGAGACCCAGAGACCCAGGGCGGGAGCAGGCGCTGGATACCTCGGGGATGGGGTGGGATGAGGGCACTCCCTGGGACAGCACAGGCCTCTGGAGCGGCCCTCCCTCTCCCTCTCCCTTCTCTGTCCCTCCCTGCCAGGTCTCACCTCAAAAAGCAAGAAAGAAAACAGTGAGGGCTTTCTGGAGCCAGCCCCCAGAGGCCTGTCGGTACCGGGGAGGTCAAAGAGAGGGAGGGAGGGAGGGGCCGGAGAAAGGCCGAGAAGAAAGCGGAGGCAAGACAAAGGGCCCCGTCCACCTTTGAAGCCGTCTCTAACCCGAGCGAGGGAGGGGCAGGGGTGGGCCGGAGAGCCGGGCTAGCGGGGAGGCAGTCTAGAGTTTTAAAGAATGTCTCAAATTCCTGCGGAAATCAGAGGGATTTTAAGAGCCCCCTCCCCAACACACCTCCTTCCCAGCCTCCTCCCCAGCCACCCCCCAAAGTCCAGTCTTCTACACCTGGGGGGCCCCCAACCCTTTGTCCTCAAGTAATTGCTGGGTGTTGCCCCCGTTAAGTCCCATTGAACTCGCCAGTTATCAGCTGTGGCTCCAGACCACCCTCCCGACACACATCCCAGAAAACTACCCCCAACACGGCGCGGTCTTCACTGGGATTAAGGCTCTTTGTGATGGGGGAGAGAAAAAAGTAACCTGGTGAAAAGCAATTATGACGAGCAGTAGGGAGAATGTCTGTCCCAGGGCCGGGGACCTCCCTCTTGGCTGCCGCTGTCCCCACCTTCTAAATTGCCCCGTGGTGGGGGTGTCAGACTCTGCGCCGGCGCTCGCCATCAACTGAGACTGTAGCTGCACCCACCTCCCATTTTCACTGGACGAGGGCCCTTCCCCACTTCCTCTCTCATTTTTAGGCCATTCTAGGGAGCAGAGAGGAGAAGGGATGTGTTTCATCCTTCTCTCTCCATAATCCCCCTCCTCAAGGTAGTCTCAGAAAGAAGAGGGAGAGGAGGAGAAACAGGCTGGAAGGGGTACATCCTCAGAAGAGAGGACTCAGTGAGGGAAGGGGAAACTGAGGCTGGGGGACATCCTCAGAAGAGAGGGCTCCGTGAGGGTAGGGGAAACTGAGGCTGGGGCCCCACCCCCAGAAGAGAGCGCTCACTGAGGGTGTTCCCCCTGAAGAGCTGACCTGGTGGGGTGGCGGGGGGGGGGGGTTGTCCCTGCGAGGAAGACCTCCCCCTCGACAAGATTAAAAGCCAGCGCACTGAAGAGGCGGGTTTTATGGCCCCCGAGTTCCACTCCCCACACGCACACCTGGAGGACCCTGGGAAAGCCCACCGGAGAAGCTGGGGTGGGGGCAAGGCCGCCCCTTCCTCCCCGCCCCTCTCGCCCCCTACCCCCCGGGCCATCCGGGCCGGGCCGCTGCCTCTAATTGAGATTTGCCCTCAGGTGTGGCCCCCGCCCCGGCCCCGCGGGGACCCGGGAGGACAGGGGACGCCTTCTCGCCCCCTCCCCCCTTCCGGCCGCCCAACCCCGCTTCCCGCCCCCGCCCTCCTCACCGGAAAAAAAGCAATCTCGCTGCCCGAGGAGGCTCCTGGCGTCCGCGGGCCGCCCGGGCTCCGCCGGGCTCCGCAGGGCCCTCGCCTGCGCCTCGGGCCTGGGGCCTGGGGCCCGGGGCCCGGCTGGATGCACGTCCCGGCCCCGGCCCCGGCCCCTCCGGGGGCTCGGGTTTTCTTCCCCAACAGGTAGCACGGGCCGCGCCGCGCGAGCCCAGGAAACCCGAGCCCGCGCCAGGGAGGGGCCGCCCGGCCTGGACGCGCCCGCCTCCCGCGGGGCCGAGCCCGCGGCCTCCTGGGGGCCCCAGCGCTGCGGGCCGCGCCTGCACCTGCCGTGGCCACGCCCGGCCGGGGACGGGCAGGCTCGTTTCCAGGGGTGTTCGGTGGTCGGATCCCCCGCCCCGCTTCAGATAACCCATTTGCAGGAAAATGGTTTTATTCCGGGGCTGGGAGTTGGGGGTGGGGTGCAGGCCTGGGTCGTGGAATGTGAGGAGTGGACAACCCTCTATTTTCCTCTCTCTCCCTTTCTTTTTTCCTGAAACAAACAAACAAACAAAAGTCCCTTCCTACAGTCTAGCCAGGAGGAGTTTGGGGGCTGGGGGCAGACTGAGGGAGATCCGAGAAGCAGATTTTGAGGACAGCCACCTCCAGACGGTTGTCTGCAAGGCCTTCAGTCGCTGACCTTTCAGCGGGCTTCAGGAGCCCGGCTGGGAGGCCGGCAGAGGCTGGTGGCCTGAGATCAGGGTGACACTCAGTTCCTCTCCAGGGCCTGCCACCCGTCCGGGAAGGGGGCACTGTGCCAGCCGCCCCTGGGGCACCGGCCTGCCCCTTCCCAGCTGGGGGCTCGGATGCTTCGCGGCCCTCAGGGTCCTCCCTCGGGGATCTGGCTCCCCTCCCGCCACCCCAGCCCAGTCCTTGGATTAAGAAGGGAAAGGGGTGGGGAGGCGGCCCAGGGGCTGCTGCCCCCTGCCTCCCAGACTACGTGAGGGGCTGGGGCCGCCGTGTGCGCTTGGTCCGGCGGGTGGGGGCGGAGCCCACAAACTCGAACTGCTTCTGCTTCTCGGCGTGGTTGGGGAAGGGCAGCTGGCCTTGGTAGAGGCGCTTGATGAAGTGGGCCTCGCGCTGGTTCTGGCGGCTGCGGGAAGCCTGGCGGGGCCGCCCCTGCCGCGTGAAGGCCATGAACCAGCCCTCGTGCCGGGCGTTCTGGAAGGCCGTATAGTTGTTCTCCAGCACGATCTCCGTGAACACGCAGTCTTTGCTCTTCCCGCTGGGCTGCGGGAGAAGCAAGGACAGGAAGGGCATTTGTCCACCTACCCTGGTCTGGGGTGTCGCCCTTACGGCCTATTTTGGACGACTGAGGAGGGACAACGGGAACAACGGGGCCGTGAGCCCAGGGAACTCTGCCTGGTGAGATGGCATCCTATTTAGAGAGGCAACAGTGGCCAACAAGAACACGCTTTGTGGATCTGAGTTGCAGGCTTGTCGTTTAGCGGTCCTGAACCAGGCTGGGCCTCAGCTTCCTGAGATGTAGGTGAAGATCAAGGACCTGCGGCATTTCCCAGCATGCACGGGCCCTTAGCACTGAAATGCTCATGCAGCCTAGGTGAGGGGTGCTGCTGGGCATGGGAGAGGAGGCAGCAGCCTCCAATGAGAAGAAAGAAGGGTGCCAGTGCAGCCACCCATCCCACTCTGTCTGCAATCAGGGGTCTGTGCCCATTTCTACAGACAAGAAGCCTGAGGCTTGACAAAGATAAGCAAACCAAAGGTTATTTGGTCAGCGACAGCCGAATGGGAAGCTGGGATTGCCTGGTTTCAAACGAAGTGGAATTCTCCCACCCAGCAGGGCCCGGCCTACCGTGTGCTTTGGTCACAGGGGCAGCTGCTTAGTGTCTATCTTGCTAGCTGGAGCCCACTGGCCCCACTGAACTTGGGGGAGTTCCTGTCTTACATCTGTGCCCCACTTTCCACCCTCAACAGCTCTTAGTCCTCCACCCAGAGGCTGCAGTGTCAGGTAGATGCTAAGCTCTTACTGATGCCTGCTGGAGAAATACTCCTGACATCAGCCCCACAGATCCCAGTGGCTTGCCAGTCCCCTCAGAGGGCTAATAGAGTCCCGGGGACTCATTTAAATAGAGAAACCAGGCCGGGCTCCGTGGCTCACGCCTGTAATCCCAGCACTTTGGGAGGCTGAGGTGGGAGGATCGCTTTAGCCCGTGAGTTTGAGACCAGCCAGGGCAACATAGTGAGGCCCTATCTCTACAAAAAAAAAAAAAAAAATTAGCTGGGCATGGTGGCATGCACCTATAGTGCCAGCTACTACTTCAGAGGCTGAGGCGAGAGGATTGCTTGAGCCCAGGAGTACAAAGCTGCAGTGGGCTATGATTGTGCCACTGCACTCCAGCCTAGGTAGCAGAGCAAGACCCGGACTCTAAAATAAAAACCAGAGAGTGGCCCAGTGGGTGGGCTGAGAGTAGGATGGGAAGTCTTTACACAGGAGGGTGTGTGGCTCAGAGGAGAGAGGGGAGCATGATGCCCTATATGTCCCCACCCCAGTAGGGCTGATTCTCTGTTACTTCCCAGTCTCCCAGCCTCACCTTCCCGATGAGCTTGCCCCTCTTGTTCATACAGATGTACTTCTCACTCTCAGCCCCTTTGATGCGAACCCGGCTGCCAAACGTGTCCGTCTCCACTATGAGCTTGGCTGTGGTGGGGGAGGGGAGAAAGACCTCCGTCCATCGGGGCTGCCGGCCTATGGCTACAGCAGGGGACCACCCAGCCACACTGACCTCCAGACTCAGGCGAAGGGGTTGGGGACACTCAGGCCCTTGGGGCCCTCAGCCCTGACACAGGATCTGGGGATGGACCAGGAGGTGAGGCAGGGTGGAAGTGAGGCAGAGTGGAGGTGTGGGTGCCCTGGGGGGAGGGCCAACTCTCACCAAACTTGTTGCCGTCCTCGGCGGTGGCGGAGATGCGACGCCCGGTGACCTGCACGTGCTTGCCACTGGTCCTGCTGTAGAGTTGGTACTCGCGGATCTGCCGCCTGCTCAGCTGGTCGGTCATGGCGCCCTGGTCCCTCACGTACTGGTTAAAATTAGGAGACGGGTGATTCTCCCCCTTTGCGGTTACCAAGGGAAAAATAGTGTCAATTTGCTTTGGGTGACACCACCACTGGTCCATCCAAGGGAGAGGGGTGAGGAGGTGAATATAGTGGGGACAGGCCACTTGTCCTGCAGAGTGAAGTGGGCATATGGCCATAGCCTTCCCAGGCCCCTGGGTGAGCCGGTCATAACCTCTTTGCTTTGCGTCTACCTTACAGAAGGGACTGGGGTCTGCCCAGGCTGGGGGACACTTATTGACAGAGCACAGCCCTGGAATCAGGACTCTGGGAGCTGGAAGGAGCCCTCAGGGTTCTATCCCGTCCTCGTATTCTATGAAGGAGGTGCACGGGGCACACAGCTCATTAGGGACAGAACCCCTGTCCCTACCTCTTAGACCAGAGCCTGTCATCTCCCCCAGAACTCCAAGGACATGCTCCATTAGCCAGGACAACCAGATTCCTTCCTCATCCTCCCCACTGGCCTTGAAAGACCCCTTGCCCAGCACACGGGCACAGAGCAGATGGTGCTGCGAGTTAGGGTCACCAGAGAGCATGTGGGGGACTCTGAAAGCTCCTGCAGGGTCCCATGAGCATTTCTTTGAAGCACTAACTGTGGAATCCTGAGCTCATACCCATCTTCTTCCCGGCCTTGCCCCCTGGTGCTCAGGGCCCTTCCAGTGTTCCTCCCTCCTCTATGGGCTGGAGCTGGGGCTGGGGCTGGGGCTGGGCACTATGGGACAGCAGGCAGGCAAGGTGCCTCCTTAGCGGAGGGAGGCAGAGGCAGTACCAAGAGGACAGGCACTATCAGCGGTGGCCCAATGGCTGCCCCTGGCAGGCAGCTCCTTAGCCACAATGTAACAGAGGCTCCTGGCCAGTTGGTGGGATGCGCCCGCCCACCTGCTTCCCCTTTGGGTTGGGGGAGAGGAACCATTTCCCCCCACGCACTGTGCAAAGCCAGGAGGAGTACCGCCTCCCAGCTAGGTCTCTCGTTACCCATCTGTAAGGCTGAGTGGGAGAGACTGAGTACTTCTTCCCCTCCATCCTGCAAGGTGCGACCCGGGCTAGGTTTCCTGGCTCCTGGCAACAGCCTCAGCTCTAGCATGAGAATGTACCTTTTTTGCTGGTTTTGTCTCCACCTGGATGCCGCTGCCTGTGCTGGGACAGCTTTTCTCAGCCCCTGCCCCAAATCCCTAATTCCACCTTTATCCCAGGCCCAACCTCAGCCATCTGGACAGAGCTAGACCCAGATTAGCATCTGTTAGGGGCTACTCTCTCCTAGGGAGGGGGTGGGAAATATCACCTTTGAGGCAGGGGGAGTGAGGGAGCAGCTCTCAGAGCTGGACATTTAACCTGCGCGGGGTTAACACTTACTGTGCACCGTTGCTCATTTCCAATTGCACCTCCCCATAGAGCAGCCTCTGCCTAGCCTCTGCAAGACCTGCCCCTCGCCCCACCCTGGAGCATTTGGGGTGGGGGACCTGCCCAGCCTGCCCCACGCTGGCCTCCCTTCCAGGGGGTGGGGTCCTGCCTATCCCAGCCCCGCCTCCTGGCCCAGGTTCAGGCCCTCCGCCCCTCTTGGCCGACGGCCTCCTCTGGCAGTCTGTTCCAGGTCAGGAGCAGAAAGCGCCCCCCCGAAGCCCCCTCCTTTCCTCGTCCCCCTTCAAGCTTTTCACAAAAGCAGCCCCACGCCCCCCCACAGCCCACAACCCACAAGTCCCTCTCCCCGCGGGACCTAGCCTGTCCCTTTCATGTTCCCGCTGCGGGAGGACCTCCCCTTCCACCACTGCAGACAGCTGCTTGTCAGACAGCCCCTCAAGCATGGCTGTGGTCCGGCCTGCTGGCCCCCCCTCCCAGGGGGGTGAGGGGGCACTTCAAGGGGGAAAGGACCGCTTTGCCACCTTCCCTGAGTCCTGAATGGGGCCTCAGCCAGGCCATAAACGCCCGGCCAGCCGCACCATTGTGCTAGTTCCCCTCCAGAACAGGTTGGGCCCACCCCCAGCCCCCTCCCAGCCAGGCTGGGGGCTTTCTTCTGGCTCCCCCTGGATGTGTGAAGCAAAAGGCCTGGAACGGGGCTGGAGCAAAAGGGGGAAGGAAGGGGGGGGGAATTGTCTCTCCCTCTCCCACCCCCCCACTGCTTCAAAGGCTGCCCCTTTCCCTCTCCCAGAGAAAAGGCATTTACCTTCAAAAAAAGTCCCCACTGGATATGAAGAGAAGCGGGCCTCTGGCCTGGGAAAGCCAAGCGATCTCTCCCCAGAGCGGTTCTGGACCAGTGCATTTTAATAGCTGCACTTTTATGGAGGATCACAAAAAAGGGAGCAAGCCTCGCACTGGGGGCTGAGACTTGGGGGTGGGAGGTGTGCATGGAGGGAGGTGGGGGGCCGACTTGGGGTGGGGGGAGTGTGGAGAAGCGAACCCTGCATCCCGTCCCAAACAAACCTCTTTGGGCTTGACCTCTGTGCCCTCTAGGTGAGGAGTCACCTCACCCTGGCCAGGCATTCTGGACATGCTCACGAGACCCCCACCCCAGGCATCCATATTGATGGGAGTGGGGTGGCGAGAAGGACATACAAGTGGTCTTGCATCAAAACCTGTCCTTTCAGGTACTGGCAAACCCAAGCCTCACCTGAGCCATCACCTCCACCTGCTTCCAACCGCTCCAGGCTCCATCCCTCAAGTCTGGGGGAACCCGATGGAGAGGGAGGAAGAGGAGCAGAGACCCAGGGGAAGTGGGGAGGGTCCTCAGAGGGAGGACAGAGACAAAACCTCAGTCAGCCCCCTTCCCTGCCCACCCGGTCAAAGGCTCACTCCCCTCCAAACCTCAGTGCCTCCTGGACCCAGGGAGAGGCCAGACTCTGCCTCTGTCCACCTGAAAGGAGCCGGTCCCTTGCACCCGCCCTGGTCAGGTAGGGTGGAAAAATTGGGGGAAAGCCGGTGGGAATGCCCGCCTACCTGAGTTTGACAGCAGAGAATCAGCAGCTGTAAGCACCTGTGTGGGGAGAGGAGGTAAGCCCAGGTGTGGGTGCCAGCTGCAAGCCTAGGGTGCACCCAGGCCCCCGCCCCCGCCCTGCCAGCCCCGTGCACGCACGCGTGGGAGTCCCGGGAAGAGGAGGGCTGCCCTGAGGCTGGAAATGGCAACGAAACTCCAGTGGGAGAGGTAGCACACTTACAGAGTGAGGTTGGGCAGCAGGCGGGCGGCTCCCATCGCTGGAGAGGTTCCTCAGGCGGTTGCCCCCCTGCCCCCAAGCTCAGGAGCAGATGTGGGAAGTCCCCAGGGGTAGAGTCCCAGAGAAGCCAAGGTCTCTCCGAGCCACAGGTTTTCAGGGGGGCGAGGAGGAGAGAAAGGGGAGGAGGAGGAGAGAAAAGAGGGAGGAGGAGGGGGAGGAGGAGGGCGTAATTGGGAGACTGAGGTATGAGGTGTCCACCTTCCTGGCCAGTGAGGCTGCAAAGCAGATGCGGGTGGGGGCGTGCGCGCTGTGCCCTCTGGGCTGCCAGTCTCTCCTGGGCCACCCAGTGCAGGGATGGAGCGGTGGGGGCCTTCTGAAGGAGGTGGCCCTGCTGTCTCCTGCTCTATTCCTGACCCTCACAGACTGGCCAAACTCGACGCAGACAAACTCGATGTGTGGCAGGTCAGGGAGGGGGAGCCCTTCCAGGTCTGCGTCTCCTGCACTCAGGTCTGGCGCCCCACCTCCCCAAGGGTGAGCCGCAGGTGTCAAGTGGGGCTGGGGTCTCTGGTTCTGGCTCTGGAGTGGAAATTCCCAGAAGCAGCCTTAAAAGGAGCCGCCTCCCTCCAGGGGGCAGGGGTGGGCTTGGCTTGGAGCAGCTGATTGCCCGGGAAGGAGGGGTTAAGGCTGTCCTGATCGGCAGCAAATACTGGGCGCAACAGGTTGGGGGTCAGAGGTGGGTTGGCAGGTACAGATGGAGATCTAGGAAGAATCCCAATGGAGAGTTGCAAAAGCTAGCCTGAGACAGACACTTGGAGAAGAGCTGGGTGTCCTGGCCTAAGCCCCTTTTCCTTGGGCCTCTGTAGTTCCATCTGAGAAATGAGGACAGTAATGCCTCAGGGTGTTGGGGGGTCAAGTGTGAAATCAGCACATAGCAGACTTCAAGATGTCTGTGTTCTGAGACCCAGCTCCACTCACCATTCTGCATCCCCTTCCTTCCAGTGCCTGTCCCTAGAGCCTCTCTGAGCTAGGAGCAGCTCGGAGTCCCCTCCCTGTGTCCCATGTCCCTGAGCAGCTGCCTGGGATGAAGTGCCTACCAGCCTCTTCCCATGACCTCCGGTCTCATACTGCTCGGTACAATGCCAGCGACTAGCCCATTTTGCAGATGAGGAAACTGAGGCACATTGGGAGGTAGTTTGCTCAGAATGGCCCAGCTAGTGAATGGAATAGCCAGAATGGAAAAGTCCATGCTTCTTCTGTTCTGCATGGATTGAGTTGCCACCCTGCAGATCCAGCCCCAAACCTGCTTCATTGTAGGGATACAGAAGCCTTCCTGGGTTTTCAGGATTAAAGGTGGAATCCGAGGTCCTGGAGACCGGTGAACAGAGAGCTCCATGCTGTTCCCTCCCTACAGAAAAGTGGATGACGGTGACTGCAGAAGATAGGAGGGCTTGGGGGTCTCTGAGGGAAGACCCAGTGTGAGCAAGCAGAGCTCAGGCCTCAGCTCTGGGCTCCCTGGAGTTCTCAGCGCCCCCAGGGTGGGAAGGGAAGGGGAAGTGGCGGATGTGGATTTATTTACCTAAAGAGATGACCAGGGGAGCGAAACTCTCACCTGTGGGTCCCTTCTCACCTTCCTGAGCTCCATCAATCCACAAAGTGGTCTGCCACCCCTGCCCCCATGCACTGACCAGTGCAGGCAGCTCCGGGGTCTCCTCTCCGCAGGCTCTTCCTCGGGAACCCAGCCCAGGAGTGGGTGCTGCCTGAGCTTGTGTGGGGAGGATGGGGCAAGCCCTGGCCTTGCTTACCTGGGGGAGTCCAGGGTTTTGGAATGCAACTCAAAGAATGTCAAACCTAGAAGGGGTCTTAGGGATTCATCATTTGTTCCAACTTCCTCATTCCTTGGATGAGAGCCAGAGAGGGCAAGGGACTCGCCCAAAGCCTCACAGCTAGCTGGTGGCATGGCTGGGACAAGGTACCAGGTGCCCGCGTGCCCACCTCTCTGCTTTCCCCCTGCGGATCCTTCAGGTCACTTCTGTTCCGCGTTCTTCCCATCATCTGCAGTCTGGGTTACACTCTGCCTCTTCTGGCAGCTCTGGCTCATTCCCTGAGAAACCTTCAACCTCACATCCACATCCTCACCACTCCCAGCCCCCAGGCAGGGCATTAAAGAGAGCACAGACACGTGGAGGGGACAGCTCAGGCCTTGGGTTGGTGGAGGTGTCAGCTGGGGGGCGAAAGGTGGGTAACGGTTCCAATTTATGCTGTCGGGACTCACTGGCCATGGGGACAGTGGGAGCCACTCAAGGCCTCTGAGCCCAAGCACCTGTTTCTATCCATGGGGACAGGGCCTGCCATCACTGGCCCAGCCCTCAGGCCAGCCTGGGTCTCCATGGTAACAGATGCCAGCAGTCAAGCTGGGCCTCGGGGCTTAGCCAGGGGGTTAGCTCTGGGCATGGCTGGATGGCCTGTGTCACAGGCAAGACAGCTGTGGCTCCTTGTCCCTTCCTGTTGGGCACCTGCAGGCCTGGCCTTCTAACTTGGTTTGCTCCTTTACGCCCATGGGGAAGCCAGTGGTGGGCCCCAAGTGGGGAGGCAGCATGGAGCCCTTGATTTTATCCCCGCCCCTTTGCCCTGGTCCTTATACGCTGTGTGACCTGTGGCAAGTCCCTTCACTTCTCTGGTTTCAGGGTCCCAGTTTATAAAAAGGAAATGGCTACCAGCAGGGATACTGTCAAAACCACCGCCATCCACGTCAGCTGAGATAAAGGACTCACAGAAACGCATCAAGTGCCACAAGAATGGGGGCAGGGGCCCTTTTTGTGGCTTAGCCTCAGTTGACCTAAACTGTCAGACTCTCTCCCTTGACTGGAGTGAGCTCGGGGAAAGGGGGAGGGAAGAAGGGTGGGGTTTATTAACATTCATTGCTGGGGGGGTGGGGTTCAGGAGGTGATAAGGGAACTGAGAAGTAGCCTGGGCTGCTGTGGTTAATCCTCACCCCATAGTGCCAAGTTCAACACCCCCCAGCTGGGGTCGTCTCACGCCTGCCTCTCCTAACAGCCCAGCTGGTGCAAACACAGAGCCCACCTGCAGGTCAGCCACTTGCCACCACCTGCTTGAGCCCAGCCCACCCTCTTCCTGCTGAAAAACAGAAGAGTTGGGGCAGGGGAAGGGCAAAGGGCAGAGGGCAAAGGGCACCCTAGCAATGAGGATGGACCCTCACCTTTGCAAATTTTTCTTTTTTGAGACGGAGTTTCATTCTTGTTGTTCAGGCTGGAGTGCAATGGCGCGATCTCAGCTCACTGCAACCTCTGCTTCCTGGGTTCAAATGATTCTCATGCCTTAGCCTCCCAAGTAGCTGGGATTACAGGTGCCCGCCACCACACCCAGCTAATTTTGTATTTTTAGTAGAGACGGGGTTTCTCCGTGTTGGTCAGGCTGGTCTCAAACTCCCGACCTCAAGTGATCTGCCCACCTTGGCCTCCCAAAGTGCTGGGATTATAGGCATGAGCCACTGCATCCGGCCTCCACCTTTGCAATTTATTTCCTACTGCCTGCTTGCAAATCAAAATCAAGTGATCACTGGTTTATCTGTTGCGCGCCTTCTTGTGCTTGGGGCCAAATATGCGCTTGGCTGTAGAAACGCCTAGCTGTCCCTTGAGGACTCCCATTACATGGTTGACTGACTTCTAACTCCTGCTCTCAGTTTACACGACTTCATAAACTGTGCACCGGCTCATGCCTCCCTCCCATCAGCAGAGTGGTCAAAATCCAGGGCTCTGGGGTGGGACTCCCTGGCTCCTCTGCCAGCCGTGTCACCTTGGGGCAACTTGTCTAACCTCTCTGTGCCACACTTTCCTCATCTGGGAAATGGGGCTGGGCCAGGTGTGGTGGCTCACACCTGTAATCCCAGCACTTTGGGAGGCCGATAGAAGGATAGTGTGAGGTCAGGAGTTTGAGACTAGCCTGGGCCACATAGTGAGATCCCCATCTCTACAAAAATGTTAAAAAAAAATGAGCTGGGTATAGTGGTGCATGCCTGTAGTCCCAGCTACTTGAGGGGGCTGAAGCAGGAGGATAGGCGGAGCCCAGAGTTCGAGGCTGCAGTAAGCCATGATCGTGCCACTACACTCCAACCTGGCTGACAGAGTGTGACCCAGTATCTAAAAAAAAAATTAAAAAGAGAAAGAAATGGAGCCAGTCACAATCCCCTTAAGGCACGGTTATGAGGGTTGAAGGAGTGGGTCGTGGGTATTAGAAGCTGTCACTGCAGCCGATCCCCCTTCAAGTGGGGCTCTGCCTCGGACCCTTTGCATGCTCTGTTCCTGTTCCCAGGAACGTCCTCTGCCAGCTCCTAATGAAGCCCATTGAGCCCTTCTTGTCCGTTGCCTCCTCCAGGAGACCTTCTCACCAAACTGCTTCCTCCTGCCCCTCAAGTTCACCTGTTCCACTCCCTTCAAAGCACCAGACAGTAACTGAAATTGTGTTGGGTTTTGTTTCCACTAGACTGTAAGTGACTTGAAGGTGAGGAATTGGGTTACCCCGGGTCACTGTAGATGAAACCAAGTTCAAAAAGCACCAGCTGCTCACATGGAGCAGTCCCCCTTGTCACTCTCTGGGTGACCTGAAGTTAGTGGTTTGTCCCTTTGTTGGAGGGTGGGACTCTGGGTGACCTAAAGTTAGTGGCTTGTCTGTTGGAGGGCAGGACAGCACCCACATCTGTCTCATGGGTGTAGGAAACATGCAGGGAGAATGCCACCCTGGGTGGGTGCAGTGGCTGACGTCTGTAATCCCAGCATTTTGGGAGGCTGAGGCAGGAGGATCTCTTGAGCCCAGGAGTTGGAGACTGGCCTGGGCAACTTAACAAGACCCCCCATCTCTACAAAAAATTTTAAAATTTGTTTTGGTGTGGTGGCTCGTGCCTGTAGTTCCAGCACTTTGGGAGGTTGAGGTGGGAGGATTGCTTGAGTCCAGGAGGTCGAGGCTGCCGTGAGCTAAGACTGTGCCACTGCCCTCCAGCCTCGGTGACAGAGTGAGACCCGGTCTCTAAAAAAAATAAAAATTAAAAAAAAAATGAATACAACCCTGCCCTCTGCTACCTCTGTCTCTGGTCTCAAAAGAAGCTATAGCTGGACAGGAGGCCCCAGCCTGGTTGTTGACTTTCCTAGGCAGGTGTTCAAAGAGCTCCGACCTCCTGGGCCCCATACCTGGGGGTACTAAGCAGGACAGCAGGACCAGCTCCCCACTGGTTCACTTCGGGCCTGACCCCAGAGGGTGCTGGGGAGGGGCAGGGAGAAGCCAGCAGAGGCGCTGCATGGATAACCCAGAGTGTAGGGCTCATCTGTGTGTCCGCCTGTTCTAGGAACTGCGCCAGGGTCACCCACAGGTGAACAGCCCTCCAGAGTCCCCTCTGCACACCAGGGAGAGGGTGGGGGTCCCCCACCCCATTTTCCAGTCCTCTCTTGGCCTCGCCCCTATGCTTGACTGAGGCCTACTCGATAGCATGTGGGGCTTGGCGCCTCTGTAAAGCTCACCCTGTCTACTCCACCTCAAAGGTTTTTTTGAAGGTGCGGGCCTCTGGCTCCTGCCTGACACAGATCTTCACATGTGGGAGGTCCCTATAAGATGAGCTGGCCCCTAACGGAAGCAAGCAGGGAGAGCGGATGTCCCTGAGTTCCCTATAGATGCTCTGCACACAGTAGCTGCCTGACAGGAATAAGGTCAGGAGAAGACCCTGGGGGCTGGCCCCCTAGGGCGAGGCCCCTTCTGGTAGCTTGAGCAGCCGTAGCCCTTGGGTGCCTATAAACCTAGCTCTGCCCAGAGGGAGGGTGCAGGCTGGAAATCCACCTGACACACAGCTCAGCAGAAGGCAGACTCTAGGCTCTTCCCTCGCCACTGGGGGAGAATTGGGGGTGCCGAGGACGAGGGACACAGCAGGCTCAGGCCGCGGGGGCTGGGTGCAGGGAGGCAGGTATGACCTCAGGGCCCGGGTGCACCGGTTCAAGGCTGCCCTCTGCCGGGCACTGGGGCTGGTGCAGCGGACAAGGAGGCTGGCTCCAGGGAAGAGAAGGAAAGTCCTGACCAGGCAACTTTATTGTGACCCCGAGGTGGGGCTCTTCACTGGGGGCCTCCTGAAAGTGGAGAGTTGGGGGTGAGGGGCTCTCATGTTGCCCCCGCAACACCCCTGTTGCATTCAGACACAGGTGGAGGGGCTGGACAGGGGCACCCTGTGCCTGCAGCACAGCCCAGGGAAGGCCCACTTTGCACCGTGCCCCCCAAGGCGTGGCTCCTCATTTCTTGAATCCTGGCTTCTTGGCTCTGGCTGTGGCTTTGGCCTGTGGAGGGAAGGCAGGGCTCCAGGGTCCCGTTCCCTTCTCCATACCAGGCAGCCCCCTCCAGAGAATACTCGCCTGTCCCAAGGGCCAAAGCCCTCTGGTCCTACTCACCTTTTTCACAGGGCTCTTGTCTCTAACGCTGGCTCTGCAACAGGGTGGAGCGGAGCAGGAGTGGGATTGGGGTCAGGGAGAGAGCTCAGCTCCAGACCAGCGGCGTGGCCCTCCCAGTGCCCACCCTGGAAAGCAAGCCTGGCTGCTCCTCCTGGGGACCACTCGGACTCTTTAAACAAAGGGATGTGTGTGCGTGTGCATGCATACGCATATGTGTTTTCCTTAGGCTTCCATCTTCATTTAGTTATCACAAATGTCTTTTGTTTTGTTTTGTTTTTGAGATGGAGTCTGGTTCTGTTGCCCAGGCTGGAGTGCAGTGACACTATCACAGCTCACTGCAGCCTCGACCTCCTGGGCTCGAGTGATCCTCCTGCCTCAGCCTCCTGAGAAGCTGGGACTGCAGGTGTGCACCACCACACCTGGCCCACAAATGTCTTTTTCATTATAAAATATTAACCATTTTGTACAAAATATAGCAAATAGACAAGAAAATACATTACTTATAGTTTTCTTTACTGCCCACACTAAACATTTTGGTGTATTTTCTTTCAGGGTTATTATTTTTTTCTTGGTCAAACTTTTTTTTTTTTTTTTGAGATGGAGTCTTGCTCTGTTGCCCAGGCTGGTGTGCAGTGGTGTGATCTTGGTTCACTGCATCCTTCGCATTCCGGGTCTAAGTGATTCTCCTGCCTCAGCCTCCCGAGTAGCTGGGATTACAGGCACATGCCACCACGCCCAGCTGAATTTTGTATTTTAGTAGAGACAGGGTTTTGCTATGTTGGCAAGGCTGGTCTTGAACTCCTGACCTCAAGTGATCCTCCCACCTTGGCTTCCCAAAGTGCTGGGATTACAGGCGTGAGCCACCGTACCCGGCCTGGTCAAACTCTTTTTAAAAATATGTGAAATAAAATAAAAATGACTTTATGTCCTGCTGTATGAACTATCAATATTCTTATCAGGTGCAGAGGCTCACACTTGTAATTCCAGTGCTTTGGGAGGCTGAGGCAGGAGGATTGCTTGAGGTCAGGAGTTTGAGATCAGCCTGGGCAACATAGAAAGACCCTGTCTCTACACAAAACTTAAAAGTTAGCCATGCATAGTGGCACGTGCCTATAGTCCTAGCTACTTGGAAAGCTGAGGTGGGAGGATTGCTTGAGCCCAGGAAGCTAAGGCTGCAGTGAGCCATGATTGTGCCATCACACTCCAGCCTGGGTGGCAGAGCAAAACCCTGTCTCATTAAACAAACAAACCAAAACTATACACATACTTTCCAGGTTGCTATATTCTTCATAAGCATTATGTAATATTCCATTGAGAAGAGGGATGTAGCTTAGTGAATTGTTATATTGGTAGACATTTAGAATGCTTCCATTTTTTCACTATTCAAATAATGCCATAAGCGTCTTTTTAAAATTTTGTTTTTTCAGACTGAGTCTCGCTCTGTCATCCAGGCTGGAGCGCAGTGGCACGATCTCGGCTCACTGCAACTTTTCCCCGGGCTCAAGCAATTCTCATGCCTCAGCCTCCTGAGTAGCTGGGATTACAAGAATGCCACCAGGCTCGGTTAATTTTTGTGTTTTTAGTAGAGACAGGGTTTCATCATGTTGACCAGGCTAGTCTCGAGCTCCTGACCTCAAGTGATCTGCCTGCCTTAGCCTCCCAAAGTGCTGGGATTACAGGCGTGGGCCACCAAGCCTGGCCGTGAGAAGCATCTTAGTGCAGGTAATTTCCCCTGAAATTTGGATGGAATTCTGTGGAAGGAATTGCCTTCACTGGAATTAGATCCCAAGATAAGAACGTTGTAATGCTCTTCCAGAAAGGTGATGCCACCCTTCAGCACTTCCATACCCATGTGCCTGCGAGTGCAGGTAGACACACCGTGTGTACATTTGTACACGTACATCCCAACAGCACAGTATTCTTTCTAACACTGTATATCTCAGCTGGAGACTTTGGCTAATTTAATAGGTAGAAAGAGTTACCTTATTTCCTCTTCTTCTTTTTCCAGCTTTTTTTTCTGGGAACCAAAAAACAGTGTATTATGAGAGTTCAGACAAAGTCCAGAGCCAGAACAGATTCCCAAAGTCCACAAGGTCCCCGCTGAGCTCCTGGCCAGAACTAGCTGAGGTGGCCTTGGCCCATCCTGTACACTCATTCTGGGAGGCTGGCCCAGGCTCCCGGTGGCCCACCCCTCTTAAGTGCTTCTGTAGGGGTACCACTTCCTTCCAAACAGCCACGCTCCTTCCCCCACCTTAGCCACGCTCGCCTGCTTCTGGGGCACCAGCCTTTTGACTTGTTTGACAGGGCTTTGCTCCTCCAGAGATATATCTGCATCCTCATCCTCATCATCTTCCTCTTCCTCTTCCTCCTCCTCCCCTTCTTCTTCCTCCTCCTCCTCCCAGGTTAGGTCTGATGCTTCTGTAATAGCATGGGAAAGGATGCAGGGGCACAGCTTCAGAGCTACAGAATCAATGCCCACCTCCCATTCTGTGATCCGTGTTGCTCCAAGCACTGCCCTGGAGGAATCCTAGCCTGGAGTTGACAGTGGTTACCTGCCTGCCACCTGTACAGGGCGGCACCCTTTCTGGCCCTCCCAACAGTGGAGGCCAGGGTAGGGTAGGGGGTCTAGGAAAGCCCTGCAGAGGGCTGGGGTGGTAGAAAGAGGGCAGGGGAAGTGGCTCTGGCTGGGTAGGAGGGGGATTCATATTGGCAAGGGCTGGGGCCAAGGCTAAAGGTAGGCAGAGTAGGGGAGGAAGAGGAGGAGAGGGGGAAAGAATCTAAAACAAATAGCTAAAGAATTGAAACCTTATCCTAAGAGAAGTGGGACCTGCCAAGGCTTTTTAGCAGGAGAGTACCCTGATGAATGAGGCATAATCATACAGAAAAGAGGGCCAGTTGAAGGGACCTTGAAGGAGTCAGCATCATGCCGCGTTGCTATGGTCTGCGTTGCTATGGTCTGCGTTGCTATGGTCTGCATCACTGCAGCAGCCACATCCTGAACAGTGGTTCCCTAGTGCTGGGTATTACGCTGAGTGCTTTTCCTGAATATCCCATTTATTCTTCACAACTGCTCTTTGAAGTTTACAAGTGAGGGGCTGCAGCCTACAGAGGTCATGGCAGGTAAAGAAGAAGAACAGGGACCAGCGCCCTTGCCTTCCAGTCCAGGCTGCTGGCTGTCATGTTGCCTTTGGGGATTTTCTTCCAACATTCAAGAATCCCTCCAGTGTTTGAGTAGCTAGTATGTCCCGAGCCCCTGCCTAGCACGGTACTCACGGACCTTCCTGATCGCAGGCTCTGACTTACCATAACGTTCCTGGCCACTGAGGAACACGGGTCCTGAGCCAGCCCGGAGCTGGAAAGTAACTGGGGGAGAAAGCTGCACTCCTACCATGGAGACCTGCAGGGGGAGGAAGCAGAGAAGACAGGGCCACTTAGGCCTGGCACCTCTCGGGGACTAGCCTCAGGCAGAAATACTGAGTTGATTTCCCTCCCCAAACCCTACACACTACTCAGCCCCTGCTGAGGTGGATTCTGTCCAAGAATTTGAACCTGGTAATCCCATTCTTGCTAAGCTCACAGATGGGCTTCCAAGCTGAAGGGCAGCCGTCAGATAGAGGAATCTGATTAGTATGGGCTAAATTATGGCCATTCCCCCCATCCTCCAAATTCCTATGTTGAAGCCCTATCCTCCAGTGTGATAGTATTTAGAAATGCAGGCCTTGGGAGGTCATTAGGTTTGGGGTCATGAGGGCAGGACCCTCATGATAGAACTAGTACCTTTACAAAAAGAGACACTAGAGAACTCACTCTCTTTCTCTCCACTCTCCTGCCCCACACGTGAACACATAGCAAGAAGGCTGCCGTCTGCAACTCAGGGAGAGGACCCTTACCAGAACCCAACCATGCCGGCCCCCTGATCTCAGACCTCAAAGCCTCCAGAAGTGTGAGAAAACGTCTGTTGCTAAAGCCCTCCAGTCTGTGGTATTTTGTTATAGCAACTTGGGCAGACTGAGACACCGATCAAACGAGAAAGCAGATGCATGATTTTATGTACAGTGCTGCTTGCTTTCTTCACATCAGACAGGTGATGTGCCAACTCGTAACCAGGTTTGTGGGAGGCACACCTTACACACGAGCGTGAAACCCCAATCATCACACTTATAAATGACAAGAGCCTCTACAGTACTACTTTTGTCTTATGTATAATGTATGGATATACATAAGAATAAAGGTTTAAAATATATTAAAGTGCTAACCATAATTGTCAGTCGATAGTAAGGTATTTATTGTATTTATACTTTTCCAAACTTCCCAAATTTTCTCGAATGACAATGATAGCTTATTGTTTTGAGCTTCTGCCACGTGTCAGGCACCCTGCTAAGCATTTTATCTGCTTTATCTCATTAAATCCTCACAAGAAACCCATGATGTAAGTACTGATACTTTACAGAGGAGGAAACTGAGACTTAGAGTGAATAACTTACAGCTTCTAAACTCTAAGTTCAAACAGGAGGTAATAAGTGAAAACAAACTCTGCAGCCAGAGACACTTAGAAATGCCAGAGAGGATGTAATTCAGTGTTTCTACTGCATGGCTGAACAGTAAGACAGAAGAATCCTCGTACATAAAAAATGAAGAGAGGATGCCTTCTGATTAGTGATGAATGAAAAAAAGAAAAAAGAAATGAAGACAGGCAGGTGCAGGAGCTGGTGTGCTGCAACCGAGGGGAAATGGACCTGAAAACAGCCAGGACTTTTTGCTTCAAAACTCACACACAGGCCGAGCACGCACGGTGGCTCATGCCTGTAATCCAAGCACTTTGGGAGGCCAAGGCAGGCGGATAACTTGAGGTCAGGAGTTTGAGACCAGCCTGGGCAACATGGTGAAACCCTGTTTCTACTAAAAATACAAAAATTAGCCAGGTGTGATGGTGCACACCTGTAATCCCAGCTACTCAGGGGGCTGAGGCAGGAGAACTGCTTGAACCCAGGAAGCGGAGGCTGCAGTGAGCCGAGATTGCGCCACTGCGTGCCAGCCTGGGCGACAGAACAAGACTGTCTTTAAAAAACACAACAGAACAACAACAAAATCTTCACAGTCAGGAGACAAGGCCTTGGGCTCAGGCAAGGAGGAGAGTTGTAGCTGAGACCACCATGGGGAGGGTAGGACCCTCAAGGGCTATACCCTTAGTGAGAGGCCCAAGGTAAGTGTTGAGGATTAGAGACTCAAAAGCCCAAACCAGCCCTCTTCTCCTCAAAAATGAAAAACAAAAATCAAAACCCTAGCCACCATTAAAGGAAGCTAACAACAAAGCATGAATGGAAATAAAAGAAGTCTCCAGTGAGAGCCCATACCCCATAGCTGTACCTCTCACTTATGGGGTCTGAATTTACTCAGTGAGTACTGCCAAGCCAAGAAATGTACAGAAAATCCCAAGCTTATGATATTCCTGAGGTAAATGGCAGAAGCAAACACGAAACCACTCTGTTGGAACACTCCCCAAACTCAGGCCACATCGAATTCTTTTGGAAAAAAACAAAATAAACTAAAGATGAGCTCACCGTATAAAATTACAAAACATACAAGAAACAATCCAGCTAGAGTCAACAGAAAGAAATCAAGTGACTGCAGACTAGCCCGACCAAGAACTTAGAACACTGATCTAAAAAAATATCAGATAAAGCTGGGTGTGTTGGTGCACGCCTGTAGCCCAGGCTACTCGGGGGGGCTGAGGCCGGAAGATCGCTTGAACTCAGGAGTTCAAGGCTGCAGTGAGCTATGATTGCAACAATGCACTCCAGACTGGGCGACAGAGCAAGATCTTGTCTCTAAAATATGTATATACAGAAATATGTACATATATATATATATGTATATGTTTAAAACCAAGTAAATATAAAAGTAGGAATCATAATCATAAGAACAAGACATTATGAAAAGAAAAAGAACCAAATGCAGCTTTCTAGATATAAAACACCCAAAGCTGAGGATGGGCATGGTGGCTCACACCTATAATCCCAGCACTTTGAGAGGCTGAGGTGGGAGGAGTGCTTGAAGTCAGAAATTAGAAACCAGCCTGGATAACATAGTGAGACTCCAGCTCTACAAAAAAATAATAAACATTAGCTGGGCATGGTGGCTCATGCCTGTAGTCCCAGCTACTTAGGAGGCTGAGTGGGAGGATCACTTGAGCCCAGGAGTTTGAGGCTGCAGTGAGCCATGATCAGGCCACTGCACTCCAACCTAGGCAACAGAGCAAGACCTTGTCTTTAAAACAAAAATAAAAGAAAACCTGATCAAATGATTAAAAAGCAGAAAAAACCAGCAGAAGCAGAATTAGTATGATCAATAATGCTGTGAAGGAATTACCCAGTATAAGGCAGAGAGGGAGAGATTTAAAGAAACATTGGGGGAGCTAACACGGGGGACAGAGTGAGAAGGCCCAACATATATCTAATTGGAAAAGGGACTAGGGAGACTGGAAGACAGTCAATATTCAAAGGAAAAACAACCAATAATTTTCCAGAATTGATCAAAGACATAGATCCTCATGTCTGAAAACCTAAGTCCTGAACAGACAAAAAAAATAAATCTACACCTGAACACATCATGGTAAAACTATAGAAAATAAAAACAAAAGACATTATCTTAAAATAAGCCAGAGAGGAAAGACATCTCCAAAAAGGGAATAATCAGACAGATTGAGGACTTCAACAGCAACATTGGGAACCAGAATAGAACAGCTTCAAAGCTGAAGGAAACTCTCTATCTAGAATTATATACACAGCCAAACCATCATGAAGGAATGAGGGCAAAATCATGATATTTCCAGACAAAGCCTGAATAAGTTTACTATTCTCAGGCTTACTAAAGTATGTTGCTAAAAAGGATAAGAAATTAGATCAAGAAGGAAGAAGTGGGTGCTAGAAGCAGTGGTAACCAAACTAATTGGTAAACAAAGTAAACCTACATAAGAATTAACTGGAAAATACAATAGTACTAGTAATGAGTAGTGTTGAGTAGGCTGACAAGTTGGAGCTAGAACACTTGATAATAATATTGAAGTTAAAAAGATGAGAATCAGGCCAGGTGCGGTAGCTCACACCTATAATTCCAGCACTTTGGGAGGCCAAGGCAGGAGGATCACCTGAGCTCAGGAGTTCAAGACCAGCCTGGCCAACGTGGTGAATCCCTGTCTCTACTAAAAATACAAAAATTAGCTGGGCATGATGGTGCATACCTGTAATCCCAGCTACTTGGGAGGCTGAGGCAGGAGAATCACTTGAATCACCTGGGAAGCAGAGGTTGCAGTGAGTCAAGATTGCACCACTGCACTCTAGCCTGGGAAACAAAGTGAGACTCCATTTCGAAAATAAAAAAATAAAAAAAGGAGAATCAGAAAAGCTCCTTGGATTGTCTGGGAGGACATAAAACATTAATTCTAAACTTTGAGTAATGTATGATTGTTAAAAAAATTAAAGATAAACAGTAAAAAAATTAGAATGAGATTCTATAACTTCCAAACCAGTAGAGAAGGGGAAAAGGAACTTTAATTAATCTAATAAAATATAGGAAAAGGAGAAGAAAATAAAAAAGCAAGGAAAGTAGGGGTACAAAGTACATGCCACAAATCCAATTACATCAGCAATCACAATGAATACAGACTATACTGGCCAGATAGAACAAAATCTAGCTACATACTGTGTAAAAGATACATACCTGGAACATAAGACATAAAACACACCTGAAACAGAGAGGTTGCTGAGGCCAGAACACAAAGGCTTCGAAGCAGGCCATAATACACTCTCGGCTCTTATTCCAAATGAGAGAGAGCCATGACCTAACTATTCTAGCAGAGAAGCCACATGATCTAACCTGTGTTTAAAAGGATCTTTTTGGCTGGGCATAGTGGCTCACGCCTATAATCTCAGCACTTTGGGAGGCTGAGGCAGGTGGATCACTTGAAGTCAGAAGTTCAAGACCAGCCTGGCCAACATGGTGAAACCCCGTCTCTACTAAAAATTACAAAAAAAAAAAAAAATCAGCTGGGCATGGTGGGGAGCGCCTGTTGTCCCGGCTACTAAGGAGGTGGAGGTTGCAGTGAGCCGAGATTAAGCCACTGCATTCCAGCCCTGGTATCAAAGCAAGATTCTGTCTCAAAAAAAAAAAAAAAAAAAAAAAAAAATCTTTTTGGCAGCTGTGTGGAGCACAGACCAGGAAACTTTCTGTTAAGAGCCAGAAGGTAATATTTTAGGTTTGCAAACCATATGGTCTCCATGGAGACTACTCAAATCTGCTGTTAGGGAGGAAAAGCAGCCATGGACAGGGTACAAACGAATGAGTGTGGCTGTGTTCCCAGTAAAACTACTTACAAAACCAGGCAGCAGCCTAGATTCAAGCCCTCTAGTTTGCCTACCCTGGAATAGACTACAGGGGACCATGTGATGGTAGGTAGACCAGGTGGAAGGCTGTGCAATTAAAATGGAGCCACAGGCAACTGTCACCTGTACCAGGGGTAGCAGGGAAGATGATGAGATGTGGTCCATTGGGGTATAAGATGGGGGCAGAGACAACAGGACTGCTGGTAGATCAGATATGGGTGTGGGAAAAAAGAGGATTTGGCTGGGTGTGGTGGCTCATGCCTGTAAATCCAGCACTTTGGGAGGCCAAGGCGGGTATATCACCTGAGGTCAGGAGTTCGAGACCAGCCTGACCAACATGGCAAAAACCCATCTCTACTAAAATTACAAAAATTAGCCTGGCGTAGTGGAACATGCCTGTAATCCCAGCTACTTGGGAGGCTGAGATGGGAGAATCACTCGAACATGGGATGCGGAGGTTGCAGTGAGCCGAGAGCGCACCATTGCACTCCAGCCTGGGTGATAAGAGTGAAACTCCATCTCAGGGGAAAAAAAAAAAAAAAGAGCTTTGTCTTGGCTAACTGGAAAAACAGCTGTTTTCTGAGAGAAAATCAGGTTGAAGGGGAGGCGGGTGGATTAGAGATAAAAATTGAATATGTGGATTTAGACATGTTAAATTTGGGATATTTATTAGATATCTATCAAAGCCATTTAGTTGGATATAGGACTTGGAGCTCAAGAGAGGTTGAGTTTACAGAAATAAGTTCCTGAGTCTTCATTTGTTTAGATGGTCTTGAAAACCACAGGAAAGGATGAGATCGCCTGCAAAGTATGTGTAAATAGAACAGGAAAGTCTGAGGGCAGTTTGACAGAGGGGTCTCCCAAACCTCCAAGGACAGCTGATCCTAGTCTTCCATTCACTGTTCCAGGGAATAGGAGAGAACCCTCCACCCTCAGTGCATGAGGCTAGCATGTCCTGAACACCTAAATACTATCACTTATAGGCCAACCTCACATGTATACAGGTAAAAAAAAGGGCTCAATATATGAGTAAAACAAATCTAGAATTTGTAACATGACCAGTAGTATTTATCCCAGGATGGCAAAGGAACTCAGATATTATTATCTTCATATAATTTACCACGTGGACTAAAGAACCTAGAATCATATGAATAGAAAAGCATTTGGTAAAATTTAACCCCCTCTAGTGATTTCAAAGCAAAGCAATTTTTTAAAAGCAGAGGGTTTTAGATGGGGACTTCCTTAACCTGACAAAATGTACTTACCAAATGCTTCTTTTTTAAAAAACAAGAAGGAAATAAGGATGTCAGACCTGATCTCATGTTCACCCAATATTCCACTGCAGGGCCTAGCCAGTGCAGTAGGATTAAAAGAAAGAAAGAAAGAAAAAAGACCTGGCGTGGTGACTCACGCCTGTAATCCCAGCACTTCGGGAGGCCAAGGCGGGCGAATCACCTGAGGTCAGGAGTTCGAGACTAGCCTGGGCAACATTGTGAAACCCTGTCTCTACTAAAAATACAAAAATTAGCCAGGCATGGTGGTGCACACCTGTAATCCCAGCTACTCCGAAGGCTGAGGCACTAGAATTGCTTGAACCTGGGAGGCAGAAATTGCAGTGAGCTGAGATTGCACCACTGCACTCCAGCCTGGGTGACAGAGTGAAACTCCATCTCAAAAAAAAAAAAAAAAAAGGCAAGAACTGCCATTATTCACAATTATTATATGCATAGAAAACTTAAGTTATTAGAAACTAGAGAATTTCTGGATGCACAACCAATATGTAGATCGACCATGTTCCTGTCACTAGCAGTGAATGGTTTAAAGCAGCAGTCTCCAATCATTGTGGAACCAGGGAATGGTTTCCTGGAAGACAATTTTTGCATGGATGGGGTGGGAGTGGGGGGTGGTTTTGGGATGAAACTGCTCCACCTCAGATCAGGCATTCGATTCTCATAAGAAGCATGCAACCTAGACCCCTCGCACGCACAGCTTACCATAGGGTTCATGCTCCTCTGAGAATCTAATGCCGCTCTGATCTGACGGGAGGCAGGGCTCAGGGGTAATGCTGGCTAGCTGGCTGCTCACCTCCTGCTGTGCTGCCTGGTTCCTAACAGGACGAGTTCTGGTCCTTGACCCGGCAGTTGGGGACCCCTGGTTTAAAGTGTAATTTTTGCAGACAGCTTAACTGGCCCAAGGTCACACAGCTCTAGGAAGGGGTGAGCTGGGCTGGACCCCGGCTTTCTGCATGGGCTGTGCTACCTCCCTAGCATGGCTCATTTCTGTAGGGTGAATGCACCCTCGTGTGTGTCCATCCCCACCCAAGGGTGAGGGTGAGGCTGACAGCAGTCTTCCAGCCAGCAGGGAAATGCGCACCATGGGGAGGACTGAGGCCTGGAGTGAGGCAATGGTGACCGGCTGCATCTTCTTGTCCTCCTGGTTTGCTGGGGGCAGGATCTCCACGCGATGCATCTCCTCTTTGGCTTTCTCCCCCAAGCAAATCTGAGCGGGGTTGAAAATAGAGGCCCCTCATCACCCTGAGGGCCGACGGGAGAAATCCATAGCCCTCCGTTGGGACCAGAAAGTTCCCGGACACCATCTTCCTCCCCTCTTTTGGGAACACCTACCGTATGAAGCAACAGCCTGCAGCTCTGCTTCCCCTCCAGCTGGGGTCTGAAGGTCCAAGTCCGCCTCTCCTGACTGAGCTCGCAGCCTGCGGAGGAGAAAGGGAGGGAAGTGGGGCCCTCCATTCGTTCCCAAAGGAGGGGCTCACCTGCGCCCCAAGCTGCCGCGCACCGGAGGTGGGGCGTGTCTCTGGGAAGGAGCCTGAGTCCCCACTCACCCCAGAGCACGGTCGTCACTGCCTTTTCCTCCGTGCTACTGGCGCTACTGAGATTCATGGCTCCGGGCAGAGAAGCGGGCTGGCCGGGCAGCTGCAAGGAGGGCGCCCGCGTGAGGCCTTGCTCCCTGACCCTGACCCTCGACTGGAGGATGCCAGAGACCAGCAGGCATCGGCAGGTACTGAGGGGTCGCTCGCGGCTGGAGGGGACCTGCCACGGTCAAGGGCTCACCGGCAACTCCTGGAGGACGAGTACCCACCTCCTAGCGGGGTGCGCAGCCCGGGGCTCGACCGGGCGCGTACAGGACAGCGGGACTCACGGGAGAGGGAGCTGTCCACCGAGCTCAGGCTTGAAAGGCCGCGGGGAGGTCACCTGGCTGCGCTTGGGCCTGACTCAAAAGCCTCTGTGCACCTCCACCAGACGCAGAGAAAGGGGTGTGCGCGCGGCTTAGGTCCCAGCTCCCCCCACACAGCCTTACTGTCGCTGCTCCGCGCGGGGCCAGTCACGCCATCGGCGCTCCCGGAGCGCAGCGCAACCTCATCCCCTCTGGCCGGAAGGCGGCTGTCCAAGCCCGGGCTAAGAAGCCTGGGAAGGGGAAGGGCAGGTGTCCAATTAGTCGCAAAGAAGCCGCCTCCCTCTCCCCTTCCCTTCTCCCATTCTTTCCTCCTCTGCGCGGCAGAATCACCTGGAGGGCTGTTAAGGGGCGCATTGCCGCGCCCCACTCCACAGCTGCCCTTGGCGTCGGTCTGGGTGGGGCCGAGGGAATTTGTAGTTCTAACCAGTTCCCAGGTGAGGCTGATGATGCCGGCCCAGGACCTTTCGTGAGAAGCTGTCCCGGCCAATTGCGGACCCGCCGAGGCCTCCTGGCGCCCCCTCCCCAGCCCATGGAGAGGAAGCCTCAGCTCAGCTTAGGAAGGGAGGCCTGCAGCCGGCAGGAAGCTGCAGTTGGAAGCCCTCCTTCTTGTTCGTTGCCTTTCTTCCTTTCCTTTCCCCATGCCTTATACAGCATGGGCCTTTCCTAAGGCCCAGACAGCCCGTTCTTCCAGCCTACCGTGAGAGCGAGCGAGCCCTGTCTCCAGAACGGTGAGATCTCCCGCGGAGAGCCGCAGCGGGCAGGTGGGGTGGGGAGGTGAGCCGGGAGGCGAGGCGCCGCGGCAGGGGGCGGGGAGCACACTGAGGAGCACGGCTAGCGACGCTACAGGGCCAAGCACGTGACCAGCAGCTGGTCCCAGGCTCAGTGGGCAGTGAAGAGGAAGTGGGGTTTCAGCGGATATACCCTGGAGACACCTCAGATAACCAGGGATCTCCCGCACACCCCTGGGACAGGGGCTCATTGCCACGGAGAGGTCAGAATCTTTTATTCCTGGAAGCTGGGGTCAGCCTCCCTGTGAATTGGCCAGGACAACCCAGGAGAGGCTTGGGGGCCTGCCAGGGCCCCCTAGGCTCCCTATCCCCAGCTGAGCAGTTCCAGTCTCCTTGGCTGTCCCTGAGCTCTCTGTCCCTGGCAAGGCGCCTATTGAAGGTGACAGCCATTGCAGCCAAGTGTGTGGTAAAGATGAGCAAATGGCAGGCACATGCATGCCATGCACAGACGTTCAAGAATTCACTCAACAAACGGTGATTCCGCCAATTGGGCGGGACCTGGGCATCCCGCGGTGAATACGACAGCCCCTCAAAGGGCTTCCAGCCTCATTGGAGAGCAGTGCTCAAAGCAAACCGGCCTTCAGTGGCCCCAGGCTACCCACCCCGTGAATAATCACACTGATGTCAGGCTGCAGCTGGGGGTCACAGTGAAGGCTAAATGGAGGCAGGGGAGGGGGATGACCCTGAGGTCATGACCTAGAGCTGGGACACTGGAACTGGACAGTCTGGGTTCAAGTCTGGACTGTGCTCTGTGATTTCAGGTGTGTTAATTCATAGCTCAGTGCCTCAGTTTCCTCATCTGCTAAATGAGGCTATAATATTGGTACCATCGTCATTAACTTTTTAAACTGATACATATTAATTGTACATATTTATGGGGTACATATGATATTTTTATACTTGCACACAATGTGTAATGAGCAAATCAGGGTAACTGGGGTACCTTCAACATTATTTCTTTTCTTTTTTTTTTTTTTTTGGAGATGGCGTTTCACTCTCATCACCCAGGCTGGAGTGCGGTGGTGCCATCTCAGCTCACTATAACCTCTGCCTCCCATGTTCAAGCGATTCTCCTGCCTCAGCCTCCCAAGTAGCTGGGTTTATAGGTGCTTACCACCATGCCCAGCTAATTTTCATATTTTTACTAGAGATGGGGTTTCACCATGTTGGCCAGGTTGGTCTCGAACTCCTGACCTCAGTGATCCTCCTGCCTAGGCCTCCCAAAGTGCTGGGATTACAGGCATGAGCCACTGGGCCCGGCTAAACATTTATCATTTCTTTGTGTTGGAAACATTTCAAATCTTCTCTTCTAGCTATTTTGAAATATACAATAAATTATTGTTAACTATAGTCACCCTACTGTACTATCAACTTATTTCTTATTTCAACTTATCTTATTTCCATCAAACAGTATGTTTGTACCCATTAATCAACCTCTGTTCATCCTCCCCCCACCCCCACTTCCCAGCCTCTAGTAACCATCATTCTACTCTCTACTCCCATTAATTCTACTTTTTTTTTTTTTTTTTTTTTTTTTTTTTTTTTTTTTTTAGCTCTCACATGAGTGAGAACATGTGAAATTTGTCTTTTTGTGTCTGGCTTGTTTCACATAACATAATGACCTCCAGTTCCACCCATATTGCTGCAAATGACAGGGCTTCCATATTTTTTTTATGGCTGGATATATTCCATTGTGTATAGGTACCACATTTTCTTTTTCCATTCACCTGTTGATGGACACTTAGGTTGATTCCATATCTTGGCTCTTGGAATAGTGCTGCAGTAAACAAGGGCGTGCAGATATCCCTCCTTTCATTTGGATACTGATTTCCATTACGGAGAGAAGTAAGGAGATTTCTCAAAAAACTAAAAATAGGACTACCATATGATCCAGCAATCCCACTCCTGGATTATTTATCCAAAGGAAAGGAAATCAGGTACCGATTCCCTAGGAATCAGGATTTCTAGGGTTATTTATCCCAGTAGTGGAACTGTTTGAATCATGTGATAGTTCAATTTTTAGTTTTTTGAGAAACCTCCATACTACTTTCCATAATGGCTGTATTAACTTAATTCCCAACAACAGTGTATGAGTTCCCTTTTCTGCACATCCTCGCCAGCATTTGTCTTTTTGATAACAGCCATTCTAACTGAGGTGAGATGATATCTCATTGTGGTTTTGATTTGCATTTCTCTGATGATTAGTGATGTTGAGCTTTTTTTTTTTTTTTTTTTTTTTTTTTTTTTTTTTTTTTTGAGACGGAGTCCCGCTCTGTCACCAGGCTGGAGAGCAGTGGTATGATCTTGACTCACTGCAACCTCTGCTTCATGGGTTCAAGCAATTCTGCCTCAGCCTCCCGAGTAGCTGTGACTACAGGTGCTTGCCACCATGCCCAGCTAATTTTTGTATTTTTAGTAGGGACTGGGTTTCACCCTGTTGGCCAGGATGGTCTCGATCTCTTGACCTTGTGATCCGCCCACCTCAGCCTCCCAAAGTGTTGGGACTACAGGTGTGAGCCACTGCACCCAGCTGAGCATTTTTTCGTATGCCTGTTGGCCATTTGTTTTCTTTTGAGAAATGTCTATTCATGTCCTTTGCCCACTTAATATTATGTTTGTTTTTTGCTGTTGAGTCATTTGTATTCCTTGTATATTCTGGATATTAGTCCCTTGTTAGATGAATAATTTGCAAATATTTTCTCCCATTCTGCAGGTTGTCTCTTAACTCTGTTGACTGTTTCTTTGCGGTGCAGACGTTTTTGGTTTAATATAGTCTTATTTGTCTATTTTTGTTTTTGTTGCCTGTGCTTTTGAAGTCTTAGCCATAAAATCTTTGCCTAGACCCATGTCCTGAAGCATTTCCCCTAGGATTTCTTCTAGTAGTTTTATAGTTTCAGGCCTTATGTTTAAGTCTTTAATCCATTTTGAATTGATTTTTGTATGTGATGACAGATGGGGTCTACTTTTCTTCTTCTTATCAATATCCAGTTTTCCCAGCACCATTTATTAAAGAAGATGTCCTTTTCCCAGTGTATGTTCTTGGTGCCTTTGTCAAAAAATCAGTTTGTGGTAAGTACATAGATTTATTTCTGGGTTCTCCATTTTTTTCCATTGGTCTGTGTCTGTTTTTATACCAATACCATGCTGTTTTGTTACTATAGCTTTGTAGTGTATAATATTTATATTTATATTTGGGGCAGGGTCTTGCTCTATGTCCCAGGTTGGAGTACAGTAGCAATTTCAGCTCACTGCAGCCTCCACCTCCTGGACTCAAGTGATTCTCCCACCTCAGCCTCTGAAGTAGCTGGGACTATAGGTGTGTGCCATAATGCCTGGCTACTATTTTTTTTTTGGTAGAGATGGGGTTTCTCCATGTTGTCCAGGCTGGTCTCAAACTCCTCTGCTCAAGTGATCCACCCACGTTGGCCTCCAAAAGTGTTGGGATTACAGGCATGTGCTTGCCCACCCTGTAGTATATTTCGAACTCAGGTAGGGTGATGCCTCCAGCTCTATTCTTTTTGCTTAGTATTGCTTTGGCTATTTGGAGTCTTTTGTGATTCTATACAAATTTTAGGATTGTTTTTTCTGTTTCTGTGAAGAGTGTCGTTGCTATTTTGATAGGGATTGCGCTGAATCTGTAGATTGCTTTGGGTAGTATGGCCTTTTAAATTTAATTTTATTTTTATTTCTTATTTTAAAAATTTATTTATTTATTTTTCAGGCAGGGTCTCGCTCTGTTGCCCAGGCTGGAGTGCAGAGGCACAATCATAGCTCACTGTAACCTTGAACTCCTGGGCTCAAGCAATCCTCCTGCCTCAGCCTCCTGAGTAGCTGGGACTGCAAGGTGTGTACCACCATGCCTGGCTAATTTTTAAAATTTTTTTGTTGTGTCTCGTTATGTTGCTCAGGCTTGTCTTGAACTCCTAGGCTCAAGTGATCCTCCCTCCTAGGCCTCCCACAGTGCTGGGATTATAGGCACGAATCATCGTGCCTAGCCGTAGTATGGCCATTTTAACAATATTAATTTTTCCAATCCATGAGCATGGGATGTCTTTCCACTTTTTTGTGACCTTTCCAATTTCCTTCATCAGTGTTTTGTAGTTTTTGTTGTAGAGGTCCTTCACTTCCTTGGCTAACTTTTATTCCTTGGGACTTTATTTTTTGTAGCTCTTGTAAATGGGATCACTTTCTTGATTTCTTTTCTATTTTATTATTGGTGTATAGAAATGCTACTGATTTTCATATGTTGATTTTTGTATCTTGCAACTTCACTGAATTTGTTTATCAGTTCTAGGAGTTTTTTCAGTGGATTGTTTAGGCTTTTCTATACATAAGATCATGTCTGCAAAGAGAGACAATTTGACTTCTTCTTTTCCAATTTCTTTTTATTTTATTGTTTTGTTTTATTTGTTTATTTATTTATTTATTTTCTGAGATGGAATTTTGCTCTTGTTGCCCAGGCTGGAGTGCAATGGCACGATCTCGGCTCACCACAATCTCCACCTCCCGGGCTCAAGCAATTCTCCTGCCTCAGCCTCCGGAGTAGCTGGGATTACAGGCATGTGCCACCACACCTGGCTAATTTTGTATTTTTAGGAGAGATGGGGTTTCTCCATGCTGGTCAGGCTGGTCTTGAACTCCTGACCTAAGGTGATCCACCTGCCTCAGCCTCCCAGAGTGCTGGGTTACAGGCGTAAGCCACCGCACCCGGCCTATTTATTTATTTATTTTTGAGGCAGAGTGTCACTCTGTTGCCCAGGTTGGAGTGCAGTGACGCGATCTCTGCTCACTGCAAGCTCCGCCTCCTGGGTTCACGCCATTCTCCTGCCTCAGGCTCCCGGGTAGCTGGGACTGCAGCCGCCTGCCATGGCGCCCAGCCATTTTTTTTTGGATTTTTAGCAGAGACGGGGTTTCACCGTGTTAGCCAGGATGGTCTCGATCTCCTGACCTCGTGATCTGCCCACCTCGGCCTCCCAAAGTGCTGGGATTACAGGTGTGAGCCACCGTGCCCGGCCTATTGTTTTATTTTGTTTTGAGACAGAGTCTTACTCTGATGCCCAGGCTGGAGTGCAGGGGCGTGATCTTGGCTCACTGTAACTTTTGCCTTCTGGGCTCAAGCGAATCTCCTTATTCAACCTCCTGAATGGCTGGGATTACAGGTGCCAGCCACCATGCCTAGCTAATATTTGTATTTTTAATAGAGATGCAGTTTCACCATGTTGGCCAGACCAGTCTTGAACTCCTGACCTCAAGTGATCTGCCCACCTTGGGCTCCCAAAGTGCTGGGATTACAAGCGTGAGCCATTGCACCCGGCCCCTTCTTTTCCAGTTTAGAAGCCTTTTATTTCTCTCTTACCTGGTTGTTCTGGCTAGTACTTACAGAACTGTGTTGAATACGACTGGTGAAGGTGGGCATCCTTGTCTTGCTCCAGTTCTTACAGGAAAGGCTTTCAGCTTTCTCCCATTCAGTATGTTAGCCTTCTGTGGGTTTGTCATATATGGCCTTTATTATGTTAAGGCATATTACGTGTATGCATAACTTGTTGAGAATTTTTATCATGAAGGGATGTAGACTTTTATCAAATGCTTTTTCTGCATTTATTGAGATGATTATATGGTTTTTGTCTCTCCTGGTATTCTTACCCTACAATTCCACCTAGGAAATTTCTCATCCATATATAAAGTTCATTGATTTTTTTTTTTAAAAAACCACCTTAATGAGGTATGATTGATGTGTAAAAGGCTGTACAGATTTAAGGTATACATCTTGTTGAGTTTGGGGATAAATATACGCCTATGAAACCCTCACCACCATCATGGCCATGAACATATCCATCAGCTCCCAAAGTTTTCTCTTGCCCTCTTTATTATTATTATTATTTATTTATTTATTTATTTTTTTGAGATGGAGTTTCGCTCTGTTGCCCAGGCTGGAGTGCAGTGGCATGATCTCAGCTCACTGCAACCTCTGCTTCCCAGGTTCAAGCCATTCTCCTGTCTCAGCCTCCCGAGTAGCTGGGACTACAGGCACCCACCACCAAGCCCAGCTAATTTTTTTATTTTTAGTAGAGACGAGGTTTCACCATGTTGGTCAGGCTGGTCTTGAACTCCTGACCTCGGGTGATCCACCTGCCTCAGCCTCCCAAAGTGCTGGGATTACAGATGTGAGCCACCATGCCTGGCCTGTGTTTTTTCATTAAGAACACTTACTGTAAGATCTATTCTTTTAGCAGATAGTAAGTATTCTACTGTAGTTACTAAGTATTGTTAGTTCTAGACACTGTGTTGCATACTGGACTCCAGATTTATTTTGCATAACTGAAACTTTGTACACTTTGACCATCACCTCCCCGTTTTCCTCTCCTCCCAGTGCCTGGCAACCATTCCTATACTCCTTGCTTTCGTTATTTTGACTATTTTAGATCCCACATGAGTGAGATCATGCACATTTGTCTTTCTGTGTCTGGTTTATTTCATTAAACATAATGCCCTCCAGGTCCAGCCAGGTTGTCCTAGAGGACTGAATTGCCTTCTTTTTCAAGGCTAAATAATATACCATTGTATGTATGTACTATTTTCTATATCCTGCGTCCATCAGTGGGTGTTTAAGCTGTTTTCATATTTTGGCTATTGTGAATAATGCTGTCATGAACACAAAAGTGCAGATATCCCTTTGAGATTCTAATTTCATTTCCTTTGGATATATAGTCAGGAGTGGGATTCCTGGAACACAGGTAATTCGATTTTTATTTTCTTGCTGACAGGTTTCACTCTGTCACTCATGCTGGAGTGCAGTGTGATCATGGCTCACTGCTGTCTTGAACTTCTAGGCTGAAGCGATCCTCCCACCTCAGCCTCCCACGTAGCTGGGACTACAGGTGTGCGCCACCATGTCTGGCTAATTTTTTTTTTTTTGGAGAGACAGGGTCTTGCTATGTTGTCCAAGCTGGTCTTGAATTCCTAGCCTCAAGCAATCCTCCCATCTTGGCATCCCAAAGCACCAGGATTACAGGCATGAGCCACTATGCCTGGCCTCTATTTTTAATTTTTTGAGGAACCTCCATACTCTTTTCCTTAGCAGCTTTTACATTCATTCCCACCAAGCATGTACAAATGTTCCTGTTTCTCCACATCCTCAACAATTGTTTTGTTTTTTTGAGGCAGGGTCTCCCTCTGCAGTCCAGGCTGGAGTGTGGTGGCATGATCACGACTCACTGCCACCTTGACCTCCTGTGCTCAAGCGATCCTTCTGCCTCAACTTTCTGAGTAGCTGGGACTATAGGTGTGTACCACTATGCCCAGTACATTTCTTGATTTTTTTTTTTGTAGAGTTGGGGTCTCACTATGTTGCCCAGGTTGCTCTTGAACTGCTGAGCTCAAGTGATCCTCTTGCCTCGGCCTCAACGTGCTGGGATTAGAGGCGTGGGCGATTTTTTTTTTTTTTTTTTTTTTAAGACGGAGTTTTTCACTGTTGCCCAGGCTGGAGTGCAGTGGTGTGATCTCAGCCCACTGCAACCTCCACCTCCCGGGTTCACACCATTCTCCTGCCTCAGCCTCCCAAGTAGGTGGGACTACAGGCACCCGCCACCACGCCTGACTACTTTTTTTTTGTATTTTTAGTAGAGACGGGGTTTCACCATGTTAGCCAGCATGGTCTCGATCTGCTGACCTCGTGATCCAGCCGCCTTGGCCTCCCAAAGTGCTGGGATTACAGGCATGAGCCACTGCGTCAGGCCCATTTTTTGTTTTTTGTTTTTTTAAATAATAGCTGTCCTAACAGGTGGTAGATGATATCTACTGTGATTTGATTTGCATTTCTCTGATGGTTAGTGATGTTGAAGCATCCTCTCATACACCTGTTGGCTGTTTGTCTTTTTGGAAAAATGTCTAGGTCTTTTCCATCTTTCTTTCTTTTTCTTTCTCCTCCCTCCCTCCCTTCTTTCCTTTTTTTTTTTTTTTTTTTTTTTTTTTTTGATGGAGTCTCACTCTGTCCCCCAGGCTGGAGTGCTGTGGTGTGATCTTGGCTCACTGCAACTTTTGCCTTCCAGGTTCCAGTGATTCTCGTGCCTCAGTCTCCTGAGTAGCTGGGATTACAGGCATGCACCACCACACCCAGCTAAGTTTTTGTATTTTTAGTAGAGCCATGTTGGCCAGGCTGGTCTGAAATTCTTGGCCTCAAGCAATCTGCCTGCCTCGGCCTTCCAAAGTGCTGGGACTGCAGGCATGGGCCACCGCTCTGGCCTGGGTGGTCTTTTCTAAAATGGTGCCAGAGGAACTGGCTCTATCTCTTTGGCATGAGCTGGGCTTCTGCTGTGCAGGAATTAGCTTTTTCTTTTTAAATTAACTTTATTGAAAAATAATTTATATACAAAAAACTGCACTTGAACGGGCACAGTGGCGCACGCCTGTATTCCCAGTAATTTGGGAGGCCAAGACAGGATGATGGCTTGAGGTCAGGAGGTCAAGACCAGCCTGGGTGATAGAGTGAGACTCCGTTAAAAAAAAAAAAAAAATTAGGAAAAAAAGATTAGCCAGGTGGTATGACACGCTCCTGTAGTCCTAGCTACTTGGGAGCTGAGGTGGGAGGAGCACTTGAGCTTGGGAGTTTGAGGCTGCAGTGAGCTGTGGTCACACCACTGCACTCCAGCGACAGAGTGAGACTCTGTCTAAAAAAACCCAAAAAACTGCATTCATTTTAACTGTATAGTTTGATGAGTTGTGACAAATGTATACACCCATGTAGCATCACCCCAGTCAAGATATAATTTCCATTGTCCCTTCCTACTTTCCTTGTTTCCCTTTGCAGTCAATGCCCCCTGCCCCACCCCCTGCTATGCCTAACTGGCATTAGGCAAATGCTAATCTGCTTTCTGACATTACAGATTAGTATTGCCTGTTCTAGAACTTCATATAAGTAGAATCCTACAGGGTCTTTTTGTTGGCCTTTTTTTGCTAAGCAAAATGTGTTTGAGATTTATTTATTTATACTGGTGCTTGTATCAGCAGTTTGTTTCTTGTTTTGGTTGAGGAGTATCCCACAATTGGTCTATCCAGTCATCTGCCCGTTAGTGTTATGTGTCAACATGACTAGGCTATTGACCCAGTTATTCAAGCAAATATTAGTCTATGTGTTGCTATCAAGGTAATCTGTAGATGTGATTAACATCTACAATTCATTGACTTTGAGTTAAAGGAATTACCCTTGATGATGTGAGTATGCCTCACCCAATAAGTTGAAAGACTTCAGGAACAGAAGTGAGGTTTTCCTGAAGTCCTGCCTGGGGACTGCAGCTTCAGCTCCTTGCTCCTCTCCCCCTTCCAAGCTGCTCTTCCTGATGGCCTGCCCTATAGATTTCATACTCTCCTGGTTGGTGCTCATAATCACATGAGCCAATTCCTTGCAGTAAGTCCCTGTCAGATAGACCTGTTGGTGAACATTTGGGAACTTTCCAGTTTTAAACAATTGTGAATAAAACGGCTATGAATATTTGAGAGCAAGCCTTTGGATGTATGTTTTAACTTTTCTTGGGTAAACATCTAGGAGTGGAATTGCTGGATATGTGGTAAGCATATGTTAAGCTTTATATGAAACTGCAAAACTACTTTGACATGCTGTACCCTTTTATTTATTATTTTTATATTTGAGACAGGTTCTCACTCTGTTGTCCAGGCTGGAGTGCAGTGGCATGATCATGGTTCACTGTAGCCTTGACCTCCCCAGGCTCAGGTGATCCTCTCACCTCAGCCTCCCGTGTAGCTGCAACTACAGGCATGTGCCACCATGTCTGGCTATGCTGTACCATTTTACATTTCTACATATAATGTATAAGAATTCTTGCGATTCTCCTGCCTCAACCTCCCGAGTAGCTGGGACTACAGGCGTGTGCCACCACGCCCAGCTAATTTTTGTACTTTTTTTTTTTCAAGACGGAGTCTCACTCTGTCGCCCAGGCTGGAATGCAGTGGCGCAATCTCACCTCACTGCAACTTCCACCTCCCGGGTTCAAGCACTTCTCTGCCTCAGCCTCCTGAGTAGCTGGGATTACAGGCACCCACCACTATGCCCAGCTAATTTTTGCATTTTTAGCACAGACCGGGTTTCACCATCTTGTCCAGGCTGGTCTTGAACTCCTGACCTCGTGATGCACCCGCCTCAGCCTCCCAAAGTGCCGGGATTACAGGTGTGAGCCACTGTGCCCGACCTAATTTTTGTATTTTTAGTACAGACAGGGTTTCACCATGTTGGCCAGGATGGTCTCGATCTCTTGACCTTGTGATCCACCCGCCTCAGCTTCCCAAAGTGCTGGGATTACAGGAGTGAGCCACCGCACCCAGCCAATGTATAAGAATTCTAATTATTCTACATCTTTGCCTACACTTGGCATTCAGTGTTCTTAATTCTAGCCATTCTAGTGGATGTATAGTGGCATTTCATTGTAGTTTTTATTTGCATTTTCTTGATGACAAGTGATTTTGAGTTTCTTTTCAACGTGATTACTGGTCATTTGTAAATCTTATTTTACAAAATGCACGTTCAACTATTTTGTCCATTTTAAAGTTGGGTTATTCTTAGTGAGTTTTGTGTGTGTGTATGTGTTTCTTTTTTCTTTTTTTTTTTTTTTTTTGGACAAGGCCTTGCTCTGTTGCCCAGGCTGCAGTGCTGTGGTAACATCATGGCTCACTGCAGGCTCTGCCTCCCTGGCTCAAGTGATCCTCCCACTTCAGCCTCCCAAGTAGCTGGAATTACAGGAATGCACCACCATGCCTGGCTAATTAACTTTTTTGTTGTTGTTGTGGAAATGAGGTCTCACTATATTGCTCAGGCTGATCTTGAGCTCCTGAGCTCAAGGGATCCTCCTATCCTGGCCTCCCAGAGTGCTAGGATTACAGGTGTGAGCCACTGCACCTGGCCCTTCTTTTTTTTATATTTACTAGATACCTGTTTTGTGTCAAATATATATGTTCGAATATTTTTTTCACTCCGATCTGTGGCTTGCAGTTTCATTTTAAAAATAGTGTGTTTTGAAGTGCAGAAAATTTGAAGTTCTTTTTTTTCTTTTATGGCTCATGCTTTTGGTGTCTTAAGACATCTTGGCTTAACTCAAAGTAATGAAAGTTGTTTTTGTTTTAAGTTCTCTTCTAGAAATATTTTACCTTTTACATCTATCATACATTTTAAGTTAACTTTTATGTGTGGTGTTAGATAAGGATCAGAGTTTATTTTTCCCCTCAACTGCATATCCAGTTCCTCCAGTACTATTTTTGGAAGAGATAATCTTTTCCTACTGAATTACTTTGGGATCTTTGTTGAAAATCAAGCTCATATGTTATTCTGCTTTTGGACTTTATTCTGCTTCACTGATCTGTATGTCTATCCTATCCTAGTGTCAATGCCACACTGTCTTCATTACTATATCTTTATAGTAAACCTTGAAATTAGGTAGCATGAGTTAGGATTCTTCTTCTACTTCAAATATGTTTTGGTTATTCCAGATTCTTTGCATTTTCATATAAATGTAAGATTCAACTTGTTGCTACAAAAAAACCTCTTGGGATTTTTATTGGGACTTGACATCACAAACTGTATTCATCCAATCGACAAACATGTTACACCAATTAAAATCTTTAATTTTCCTCAGCAATGGTTTATAGGTTTTAGTGTACAGATATGGCACATATCTTGTTAAATTTATTCTTATGTATTTCATGTTTTTGGATGCCACAGCAAATGGTATATATTTTGCCAATTAATTTTTTAAAAAAAATATTCTAAGATTCAGGTACATATTTTAAAATTTCACCTTGTAATTGTTTATCATTGGTATAAAGAAATAAAATTGTTTGTATGTTGACCTTCTGTGATTTTGCTAAATTCCCTTGTTACAGTAGCTTTTTTACACCTCAAATCATGACACCTGTGAATAAAGACAGTTTTACTTTTTCCTTTCTCATCTGTGTGCCTTTCATTTCTTTTTTGTGCCTTTTTGCTCTGGTTAGAACCTCTGGCACAACGCTGAATAGAAGTGGTGAGAATAGGCAACCTTGCCTTATTCATGATCTTAGGGGAATCAGTCTTTCACCTTTAAGTATGTTGTTAATGGTTGGTTTTTCATAGATGTCTTTTACTGGATTGTTTTCTTTCTATTCCTAGTTTCCTGAGTTTTTCTTTTCTAATCATGGATGGATATTAAGTTTTGTCACATCTTTATCTATTGAGATGATCCATTACTTATCCTTTATGTGGTTAATTACATTTATTAAAAAAAAGTCAAACCAACCTTGCATTCCTAGGATCAATCCCATTGGTCATTTTATATGCCTTCCCTTCCCCGCCAATGTTTTTTGGTTTTGAGATAGGGTCTTGCTCTGCCACCCAGGCTGGAGTGCAGTGTTGGGATCATAACTCATTGCAGCCTTGGCCTCCTGGGCTTAAGTGACCCTCCCCCCTCAGCCTCCAGAGTAGCTGGACCACAGTCAAGTGCCAACATGCTCATGAGTCTTGTTCATTTTTTGTAGGGATGGGGTCTTACTATGTTGTCTAGGCTGGTCTCCATCTCCTGAACTCAAGTCATCCTTCCACCTAAGTCTCCCAAAGTGCTGGGGTTACAGGTGTGAGCCACTGTACCCAGCCACTTTTTTTAATGTACTGTTGCATTTGACTTGTTTCTATTTTGTTAAGGAGTTTTGCATCTATGTTCATGAAGGATAGTGGTCTAAAAAGGTTTTGTTTTTCTCTTTAATGTCTGTGGTTTTGGTGTTTGGAAACAGCTTATTTCAAAGTGAGCCGGGAAGTGTTCCCTCTACCACTATTTTTATTTTTGAAAAATCGAGACGGGGTCTCCCCATGTTGCCCAGTCTGGTCTTGAACTCCTGGGCTCCAGAGATCCTCCTGCCTCGGCCTCCCAAAGTGCTGGGATTACAGGCATGAGCCACCATTCGTCGCCCCCTTTCTACTATTTTCCGAACTTTTGTGGGACTGGCATTTTCTTCTGTAGCAATCTCCCCAGCGCTCTGCCTGCAAGAGCAGGGAATTCTCTTTGGATGGGAGTCCCAATTAGGCTCACCCAGCGCGGCGCCTTCTCTCCTGCACCCTCATCCCCAAAGTGCTCCACACTCCCTCTTCCTGACTCAGTTGGCGCTCTATCCTGGAACGTGGGAATCATACCAGAATCCTCTTTACTCCAAATGCAACTGATCACAAAGCCCTCCTCTCCTAACATCGCCCAACTATCCCCGCAGTCTTTGTCTTGGTCCAAGTCCGTATTCCCCACTAGCTGGTGGGCTAAACAAAGACTGGTCACCAGGCTGCTTTGCCAAGTGGCCTTTGGAAACGCAGAGCTTTCAGGATCAAATACCAAGCTCCTATGCCCAGCCCTCATCCAGACACACACAAGGCTGCACCTTCCCTCCGGCCACACCATTTGTGCAGCCCCGAGTGCTCTCCCCTGCCTTCTCTGGCAGGCCAACCCCTGCGGGGGCTGCGCCTGCATGCCCTCCCACGAACCCTAGGGCATCCCATGTGCGCCATGGCCGTCCCTTTCAGGGTATCCCCGAGCCACCGCGTTCTTCGGAGCAGGGGCCTTGTCCTTAGCAGCTGCACCCAGCCCGGGAACAGCGCCGCTGATTAGCACTGCGGCTGCCTGCTGCAAGCCACGGTGCGTGTGAACTCGAACCTCTGCCAGGCACACGGCGCCGTGGGGGCCCAAGGGCCGCAGGAACCCAGCTCTGGACTTCCCCAGGAACGCTCCCGCAAAGCAATTAAGACCTCGCTCTTCCAGCGGCAACACTAGAACCCCCGGCCAGGACCGAGTCTGGACTGCGCCTGCGCGCGGCGGCGAAAGCTGGGGGAGAGCCGGAACAGAGGCCGTGGACACCTGAGTGCGCAGGCGCCACCTTCCGGCGGAAGAAACTCGCGAAATTACTTCCGGGGCTGCAGCGCTGTCGGGGAGGTCAGGCCAGGTGGGGTGCAAACTCTCCCTTTCTTTCGCAGGGTGCAGGCGGGATGGTGTCAATAGCTTTTGCTCTTTTCATTGTCGTAGCGAGCTATGGCAGCGATGTGAGGGTTAACCTGCATAAACCAGTCTGGCGTCTCTCTGCAGGGGCTTCACCCAAATTAATTCCACCGCTCCCCTTACTGTACACTCCCCAGAAACTGCACATCCTTGTCGCTGGTCATGACACCATGGTCTGGGCCCAGCTCGTAAGAAGCACACTTTGGCTACTGGGACAGGCAGGGGTTGGGGTTAGGAACACTCCAAACAGAAGAGTAGGTGGGCCCTAAGGCTCTTAGGAATGGGCACAGTAAGGGGAGACTTGAGAAGGATTAGGTCCGATTTGGGGTCTAGAAAAGCGTAGGCGAGCAAAGGGCATGTAAATTTAGACTGAGAAGAGAGGGTTCTGCAGACCAGCAAAGGCCGGGGGTAGGATGTGGAGGCAGAGATGGCAGTTGCATCCACATAGTTGAATGTATGAATTCTGGTGCAGCATTCGTAGCTTGGCTGATAAAGTTTTTAACTTGTGACACATGCCCTGGACTGCAAAGTGTTAAAAGGGTAGATACCTAGTTTCCTAATGAAATAACGGCTTGCATTCTTCTAAACTTAAAAGTCGTTTTGTTTCCATCATCTTAAACTGGCACTCTCAACCATTTTCCAGTTGAATTAATTTGGCCTTGAGAGGATGCTTTACCTTCATTACACAGTATAGTCAGCTGGGGAGAGGTTTGGGTTTTCTGACTGAGACCACGGCTCTTACATTCTCCCACTCTTTCACTAGCTGTAGGGAGTGACTGTTAGACTCTTTATTGGCCCTTCTGAGCTTTACATAAGTTTTTATCCACTGTCCATTAGTTTGTATCCTGTGAGTCTGTCTTCCAGACCTCGAATCCAGAGGCTCTGACTTGCTAACTCTGTGATTCAATAGCAAGGGTAAGGAGATTCCCCACTTGCCATTCTTTTAGGCCATATGCATGCTGCCGTATGCTTAAGTGCGCTGAGTTGTCTTCATGGCTATCAAGTAGAATTAAAATAATTGTGCATGGTGCTTTTGTAAGTACTGTTTACTATGTTTTAGAGTCAGTTTGTATTACTGAGTGATCATGAAACAGAAGAATGGAGGCAAATTTGCCTTGCAAGTGACTTTTTCTGCTTTTGAGTTTCCTTTTCCATTCCTGACCATCAAAAAGATACCTGGCCCATAATAGATGCTGAATAAGTATTTGATGAACAGATGACAAAGGGTAGCAGTCAGGCTGTCCTGAGAACCAGAAGGCTTTTCTGAGGAAGGGGAATGATTTTCCAAACTTGATGTCATCCTCTACCTTGACAGTCTCACGTCCCATTGTCTGGCAGCTGATTCCTTTAGTTGATCTGCTCTTCCTGAAAAGCACCCAAGTGGCAGGCGACCAGTGAGTTCAGGGTGAAGACACCCAAGATAAATGTAATGGACCCAGAGGACAAGCTACAGAGGCAAGAATCTTTTTACACATGACCTAGTATCTAATTATGGCTGATGAACACATTTTCATCCTTTCAAATACTTAAAAAATATTTAAAGAACCACCAGGACTTTTAAGTAGTTATAATCACTTACATTTTTCAAGGCCTAATCAACAAACTTGTGGCTTTTACAGGGTCCCTATAACTATATTTCCTTTGGCATTCGAGAGTTTTGGCAGCATTATATGTCAATTTAGGCTTGTAGGTCTAGCCAGAAATCTTGGGCTAGGGTTGGCCTGGACAGGGTTGGCTGGTGGCAAATATGATATAGGGAGTTTTTCTGGCTTTCTAGATTTAATTCATGTTACCCCACAAGCATGGATATTTTGGAAAGTGGTCTGTTGATGTACTTAGTTGAAATTTCAAAAGGTACTAAAACATTTTTTCCAGTGGGGAGTTGGGGGGAGGGGAAAAAGTCCCTTAATAAAGCCAATGTTTTAGAGAATGAAAAACTTATTTCTTATGTTGTCACTTGTCATTAGAAAATGGACACTTCTGCCCAAAGTCATTACTTCTTAAAATTTAAAAACTTAAAATTGCAATCTTGGGCCAAATCCCTTCTTCCTTTGTCTGATTTACACATTAGTGGGAATAGATAACCCTTACTTGGGCTGAGCCAACAAAACACATACAAACACAATTTAATAATCTGTAGTAAAGAACGTTTTCAATGTAAGGCACAGTTTGTGTCAGGAAACACTATCTAAAGACACTTGACTTGATGAACACAGTGCCTGGGGAATAAGCCTAGAAATTCCCAAATACACTTTTGTTTTGACTGAATAAAATCTCATGATTTCTGGGGAAACCAAAATCTAAAGATAACCAACTATTACATTTACTAGGTTGAATCATATGAAATTGCTAACTGACCATTTTTGACCAAAAGGTGATTTGGTGCCCCCTCTTTGAATTGTCAGCAAAGGAGGGAACAGCTTCACTGTTTAAAAAGTCTGATGAAGTTGTGGAAGATTTTAACCATGGCAGAGGAGGGAACAGCTTCACTGTTTAAGTCTGATGAAGCTGTGGAAGATTTTAATCATGGCTCCTTGTGATTGGACTACACTCAGGGCTGTAATGAGGAGACCACCATCTTTGGTGAGTTTCTTGCCCAGGGAAGGGAGAGGTCTGGGGTTTTGCTGATTAATCAGCATCTCAAAGCAGTTGGGGGAAAGGGGACTTCTCTTTAAGTATCCATGAGAAAGTTATTTTTGTGTCACCTAACTATAGAATCAGAATTCCAGGTCTCTGGGGCATGTGTCAGAAGTATATGCATATTAATGAAAACTCACCATTTAATATGTTAGGCTTAGAGATGGAATTTAGCTAAGATTAATCAACTCCATTTGCCTTGTAGCCATCAGAATTTTTTTTGCCTTTGAAATAAGTTAGGACTGAGGCAGCTATAGCAGTTCCCAGAAGGCTGAAACTGCAAAGGTAGTGGTACATCTACATAATGCAGACAAGAATGGCACCCTGGCACCCAAGAGTCATGGGATGGAAATCTGCATTAAGGTACACATACCTGTCTGTATCTTAATACTTTTCTGTGTTTCTGGCAATCAAATTTCCTCATACTCAGGTACTCTGAATACACAGTGCAGGCCTTAGAAGTAGTCTCTGTTAACAAGTGTTCCTCTTTTGATAAATCTGGCCTGTGAGGTCTGCAACGTATTCCAGGGGGATAACATTTGCCCCTGAACTTGTCATAGTCTAATGAATGAAACTCAGCCCACATCAGAGAAGCTGATGTCAGAACATTAAAACACTGGGCTTTCTTCAATTGCTACTTGTCTGCCAGTAGCCATGTTATTATCTGAAAGCTAACAGAGAGGTAGAATGGCTTGTGCTTTATAGCTATGGACAATAGCATGTGACTGGTTTTGTTGACAGAGATATATCAATCATATTATACTTTTGAAAGAAACTGAGTCAGACTCTGTGCAATGAGAAACAAGTCAATTTGATCAGGTGAAGGGGCCCCTGTCATTCACGGGCTTTTAAAGAATGTTTCACACAGCTTCATGTGTTTTGAGTGAGACATGTCCTTGGACGCACACTGGACATGATTGCTGAAGCCAGGTCAGTAGAAACCATTGAAGTTTATTGGCGGTCACAATGCTTACACTGTATGCAGCAAACACCCTTACAAGTCTATCCGCAACCTGATCACGCAAGAAAGGATTCATCACACAGTCGCCAGAGGAGAAGGAAAAAAAATTAACAGGCTTGTTTCTGGGGGTAGAGGAAAGAAATAAAAATAAAACCTAATTGATGAGTGTCCCGTGGGCAAGAGCTGAACTAGAGATGTGTACAACTAGCAGCAACAATTGTGGAAAAAGTACAAGGCAAATAGCTGTCTCCATTAATTTTCCTCTGTAGGTTATTATTTTTTTTAATATTCAAAACATTTATTATGGTTTTCATTTTATAAAAATGTATATTTTTTAAGGGATGGGAGAATGTTAAATACTTCATGCTAGGTAGACCTTGTTATTAAGAACCCTTCCACTGTAGTAACTTCCTCCAGTTCATACATTCATGAGTGCAGGGTACATATATAAATATCCACACGCATACATCCACACACACTGCCTCGAGGGCTGGGGAAGACTAAAATTTATTGGCCACACACAGCAGGGCCTCTGGTGGACTCACCCACATTGCTCCCAGGAGAGCAGTGGGCTCACTTCCTTCTCTCTGGTCTCTGCCTTCACACAGACCAAGAACCCTACAACACGTCGTTAAATCCAACTTTTAAAAGCAAGAGGCATCTGTCTGAGGATGAGGGTAAGCAAAGTAGGAAAGAGGGTGGAGATAAGAACACCAAACACTTTTAGCTGGAGTTATTTATCACTGCAAGGGGCTAGGGACCCAGGGCAGAATCTACACGGTCCAAGGGGAGGGACGGTGTTCTGGCATGGCTTAGAGTTCCTAATAACAAGGGTTAATACAGTAACAGGAATTGATCATTTCTGGGTGAGGACAGGGCAATACGAAAAAATATACATTTGGAATTTTAGCTTTTTTTTTGCCTCTCTACTGTGTCACTAAATATATCTCTGCACTCTCACACATCCTTGTCCAGTAAAGCTTCAGGCCACCAGAATACACATTTTCTTCACTCGCATACACAACCCCTCACATCAGCATTGGTGCACTAGACTCTGTAAAAATTTTTCAGTCACACTTTTTGTTTTTAAACTTGAGTCAATATAAACCTTGTTCAAAATGTTATGAAAAAATGTACATGTTTATACAAGGCAGGTTGTGGCAGGACACTAGGGGTTCTCCCCACTTGGGTGGCCCCAGGAGGAGAGGCTGGAGTCTCAGTTTGTATCTCTTATCTCCTCCCACCACCCTTCCCACCCAGTCCCCCAGGAACCAGCAGCGCCCTGCCCCCTAGTGAGTGTACTCACACCCCTATTCCCTGGGGAAGCAGCTAGTTGACCTTTGCCATTTTCCCCACACCCCTGGAGAAAAGAGCCAGGATCAGCCAGGCCCTCTCCCTTGCAATTGTTCGCCCCTCTGGGCCAAACCAAAGGGACGCTGCTCTGTACAGGTAGAGTCCAAGGAGGTGTCAGCTCATCATGTCATTGCTATTCACGCCATAAGTGGAATTCTTCATTGAGTCGTTGACTTCTCGACGGAATGCTGACAGGTTCTGGGTGAACCTGCAGAGAGGATGCATGTGGGTTGGGGGAGGAGAGTGGGGGGGAAAGGTATTTGCCTTTTTTTTTTTTTTTTTTAAAGCATGGGAAGTAGAATGTATGAATTGATGGGTTCTGTTTCAAAGATCAGTTAATTTCAGTCTTAAGACTCTAAGAGAAAAGTTGGCTTAGAGATCTGGTCAAATCTGGGGCCCTGAGGGCTACCTTGGGCTCATGGCAGCACAAAAGAAATCTCACTGACAGAAGTAGGAAGTTGCCCTCACACGTGAGGGCAGTAAGCCAATGAAGCCATCTCATTTCTTAATGCAGCAAGACCAGGTGGTGCAGTGCTATGCTGTCCAATAGGGCGGCTGCTAACCACATATGGCTACCGTGCCCCTGAATTATGGCCAGTGTGACTGAGAACATGAATCCAAATTAAATACAATTTAACATTCAGCTCCCCAACTGCATCTTAATTTTAAATTAAAATGCCTTGTTTTAAATTAATTAAAATTAAATAAAATTTAAAAGTTAATTGCAAAGCCCAGATACTCAATGCAGTTACTGGAAAGTCCCTAGGTGTGTTTGAAACAATCTGGGTATTACAGGAATCTACTTTGTCAACTGTAAATTTATGAAATCTAAATACAGATCAAGTATTTCTGATGAAAACGTATGAACTGAGATATGCTGTTAAATGTAAAGTACACAGGATTTTGGAAATGTAGTACAAAAAGAATGTGAAAACCCACAATTTTAAAATACTGATTACACACTGATACAATATTTTAGATACAATGGGTTAAATAAAATATATTATTAAAATGAATTTTGCCTGTTTAACATGGCTCACTTTTCTATTGCATTGCATTGCTTTAGATGGCCTCCAAACACAGATGTCAAAGACTTTAAAGCAACTGCCTGTTTCGTTGATTTGAAAAATAGCAATTGTCTGAGATTTCTAGGCAGGACGCTTTATACTCACCTGTCTCTGTTTTTCGTAAGAAGATTTCGCTCGATGCCTTCCATCAGGTTCTCAAAACACAGGTGCATGGCCTGCTGCTTCTCCGGTGGCTGGCTGTTCACAATACTGTTTCTTAGGTCAGAAAAATACTGTGGGGCAAGGAGTGGAACAGAAGGTTAGAGAAGCAGGGGAAGGCAGATTAGCCCTCCGTCATCTGCAGGGTTGAAGAATGTTCTTCTCTAAGGAGGAATGGAATGTCTACTAAAATTGGACCCTTAAAAAAGAAATTCAGGCAAGCACTTGTGGGATAATATGGCTTCATCCTACTAAGAATATCAAGAATTTTTAAATTGTAAAGCACTTTAAAAGGGTCATCTTATCCAGACCTTTCTTTTACCAGAATCTCAAGACTTGTTTATAGCAGAGCTAGAACTAGAACTTAGGTCTTAGGTCCTCTGATACCCAGGTACATTATTTCCTTGAAAGGTTTCTCTTACTGCCTAGGGGAAACACTCCTTTATCCTGTGTCTGTGAGCTACCACACATGCTGACTTCTAACAGTTAAATGATTATGTGATACTGAAAGCACAAATGGGACTTGCTCAGTAAATGACCCATTTTCCCTGTTTCACCACCGTGGGGTGTTTCTATACACATTTCTCCCAGGGCTTGGTGATACCAAGTGCGTGGTTGCCACTGCTTCTGGGTTGGCACCAGGGAGCTGGCTCTCTCACCTTTTCATTAAGCAATATCAAGCCAAGTAGTGGTCGGGACATAGACCACTGGTTCCTACAGTCTTCAAAGATGATGATGTTCAGCACCGTGGACAGCATCTGAAAATGGAATGGAGAATTTCAGGCAGTGACCTAATGTATTGCTACCCAAGATAAAACGACAGATTCCAAATACAGGAGTATATTAGGCTGAAGGCCTTTTCTGTATAGGGTAAATCAGACAAATAGTTTGTGAAGCTTCATCTGAGTCTTCTATTTCAAGGTTACCTTTTCTTCTAAGATATTCATTTCCTTTCTTGTTCTTAAAATTGGTTTGAACTTCACTTACCAATGGATCTTTCCAGGTCACCCTGAGTTGTGGGGAATGGGATGGGGTCACGTAAACAAAATTACAGTAAGCAAAACCACCTTGCATGATCCCTTCCAGGTACTCGGAGTTGACAGCTTTATGACATCTTGTGAATGTAATGGAGTCCTGAATTATTTCACTGCTTCTTTAGAGAACGGTGTGGACAAAGGTAAGACTGGCTAAAATCTCAATAATTACTGATCCCATTTCCTTATCTATTTTCATCTAGCATGTATTTCTGTAAGTTACTTCAAGGCACATACAAATAAAATAAGGGCAAGCATATGGTTTGATCTCTCTGTGGCCAGTTATTTCCTTCTGTCTTGCATTCTTCTTCCTGTTTTGTAAACAGGAACACAAGCCTTTAGAAAGCTGGATGCTGCTAACTCCTGCTCTATTTATAGCAGTGGGTGAGCAAAGTAATTTTCACAGAAAGAGGATAGTGATCATGAGACAGGTCCAGGGCATAGGGATCACTGTGACACTCAGAAGAATAATCCAGAACCTGAGCGTTTTCTACATCCAGTGATTACTTGGCAAACTCAAAATCCACTGCAACTTTAAGACACGGACTTCATCTCAGCAGCAGGAACCTGATGAGATGTCATGTTAATCGTGTGTGGGCTCCCCTGTCTTGCAGAGGTCCTTCCTCTGTCGGACACCCCATCACTGCCTCCTAAGCCTCCACTTTCTTACCTGCTGGATCATCTCTGGATGCTGCTGCATGATGTGCAGAAAGCGGTCGCTCTCCTGGTTCAGGGGTGTGGTCCTCTTCTTGGTGCTACGTGACAGCTGCTTGAAGAGGTATGTCACAATGTGGTCCAGGCAGGAGCAGCAGCCTGTGCATACCATGGTGTCTGCAAGAAAGAAAGGCAGGGGTAGGACAGAGCTGCTGATGGTGGCCTGGACAAATATGGACTATCTTTGGGTGAGATCCATTAGGGTACCGTGGCCAATTCAACCAAGGCGGTTGCTCAAGATGACTCCTGTTAACCTCTTAACCTCATTGTACAGTAGGGCTCAATTTCTAAGTTTGAAAGTGAGTATGTGGTAATAAAGAATACTGAAATTATCGGCTCAATGTGTTGTGGATGTACGTACATCTTCTGCCTCACACAAAATAACAAATAGTTTGATTCAGCAAGTGCTTCTTTTGTGCCAGATGTTGTGCTAAGTACTTTATAGGTGTTATCTCTAATTTATCCTCTCAAGAACTCAGGAATTAGGTTTTCTGTTTTACAAATGAGGAAACCAGAATTAGGAGAGGTTATGTATCGGCCTAAGGATCAACTGCTAGTAATTGCAGGAGCTGTGATTAGAATCCAAGAAGCCTGGGGTATGAGCCTATGCTCTGAGTTACCAGTGGGATGTAATTAAACCCAGAATGACGTAGCCCCTGAATGTTTATGGTTTGTTAGAACACGGTATGCTGTATTATCTGTTTATCTCCAAAGCATCTCTGGGGGGAGCTGCAGACTCATCTATGCGTCTTTACAAAGGGAACAGTACAGCACAACCTGTGGACAGAACTCTGATGAGGTAAGGCCAAAGGACAAAGGGGCTGAACCCTTAAAAGAGTAAACAAGTCTCTGATTCCTACGGGACTGATAGTTTATGCAAACGTCCCTCTACTTGCTTTTTCTTTCTTTTTTTTTTTTTTGATACGGAGTCTCGTTCTGTCGCCCGGGCTGGAGTGCAGAAGTGGCACGATCTCGGCTCACCACAGCTTCTACTTCCCGGGTTCAAGTGATTCTTCTGCCTCAGCCTCCAGAGTAGCTGGGACTACAGGCACACACCACCACGCCGAGCTAATTTTTGTACAGAGACAGGGTTTTGCCATATTGGCCAGGCTGGTCTCGAGCTCCTGACCTTGTGATCTGCCCGCCTCAGCCTCCCAAAGTGCTGGGATGAGCCACCACGCCCGGCCAGGTCCCTGTATTTTCAATAAGACATAAAAAAGTCTTCCAAAGCAAGGGCTGATACCTTGATTGGACTGTACTAGATACGGCTATGCACCCTGATAGACTGATAGAAGTAAATGTGTATCAAAGTCGCACAGAGGCATGGATAATTCACCACAGTTGACAATCCAAAAGTGTATTTGCAACATATCATCACTATTTGGCAGTTGACTTAATCCTCCTACTTATGTTTTGCTCAGCCTAATATAAAAATGTGTTTTATTCTCTGAACACATATACCTACTAAGATTGTTGGGCCAGGCACGGTGGCTCATGCCTGTAATCCCAGTATTTTGGGAGGCCAAGCCAGGCGGATCATGAGGTCAGGAGATTGAGACTATCCTGGCTAACACAGTGAAACTCCGTCTCTACTAAAAATACAAAAAAATTAGCCAGGCATGGTGGCGGGCGCCTATAGTCCCAGCTACTTGGGAGGCTGAGGCAGAAGAATGGCATGAACCCGGGAGGCAGAGGTTGCAGTGAGCTGAGATCGCGCCACTGCACTCCAGCCTGGGCGACAGAGCGACTCCGTCTCAAAAAAAAAAAAAAAAAAATTGTTGGAAGGTAGCCTAGAAACAAAATGGTTGACAGAAACCATATGGACTAGGATGAAAAAACTTATGGAGCTAGCTGCATGAAACCTTTCCCCAGCTTCCACGGCCCTCAGGACAGAATTCAAACAGCCTAATACGGCTTACAGGCGGGCCCCCTTCATGATCTCCAGATTTGCTCCTGCTTATCTCTAAAGCTTCATTTCATTCCTAACTCCTCTGGACTAGTGTGCCAGCCATCTGGATTTCCTGGTTCTTTCTTGCCTACAGGTGCAAGTGCTTGCTGTCTCTGCTGCTAGGAACCCTCCCTGGCTAACCAGGGTAACATCTGTCCAGCTTTTAGGTTTATGCTTTGATGCCAAGTCTTCCAGCCAGTCTTCCTTGATCCTGACTTCCTCACAACCAAGAGTCTAGGTATTCTTGAGGGCTTGTGTAGCACTTTGTACTCACCCCTATTGTAATGTTTAAGTGGTAAGTATGGTAAACAGGCAGTTGTTTGTTCATGTGTCTGTTCTACCCACCAGATAAGCCCCTTAAGGACAGGGACTATATGCTGTTAATTACCGTATCCTCAGTGCTTCCACAGGGCCTTGTACTTAGGAAGGGAATCAGTGAGTGTGTGCTGGATAAGCATGTGCTGTGCATTATATACTCTATTGTTATGGCCAAACCCCCAAGGCAGTGGTGATCTTTTTGGACACTGGGGCAAGATTCTCTCTTTCTGTTTAGTTAAGTGGTAAAAAACAAACCCACCAACTCACCCACCCACCTCAGGTGCTTACCAAGTGCAGTAAGTCCTTCAGAAATGGAAGAGAGAATATACATGATGACGTGAGGTTCCAGGCTTGCAATAAAGTTCATATGGTCCTGGGTCAGGACTTCCAGTAGTGAATAATAAGACTGGCTGAGCTTGGGGTAATCCTGTGGGAGAGGAAGAGGAAGAAAATCAGCTTAGGCACTATGCACTCCAGCATGCAGGGAGACGATCTTAAATAGCTTAGCTCCTTTTAGGTGGGAAAACAGAAGACTTAGTTAGAGCAAAAGGAGCTAGCTTACATAGTTTCTCAAGAGCAGTGTTCAATCTTGGTCTCAGGTGAAAAAGGCTGAATGTGATGAGGAACAAGATTGTGGCAATGCAGCGTAAGGCTTACCAAGAGATCACTGTGAGGAATAGAGAGGAGCAGCTTGATGAAGGTCTGCAGAGCATTGTCCAGGGCATCGTCTCCATAGAGACGAAAGACTCCGAAATTGACGTAACTCCCACTGAGAGCAGCCTTCAGCATGGAGAAGCAGATGGAGATGCCCTTGAGCTTCAGAGCATAGACCTGATCCTTTGGGACCTCTCCTAGTGTCAGGATGCGATTGCCTGAGTAGACATGTCATATATGTTTATTCAACCACATTAGAAGCGCTCGTTTAGATCAGCCTTCCTACTCCAAAGGCATACAAATTCCAGTAGGCCCCTGGTGACAGGTGGCACTCTAATGCACATGTATTAGCATACAATACGAATGCTGTCCTGGCTCCTGCCAGGACTGGCCAGAGACCCACATGCTGCTTACAGTGTGGTGACTGAGCTGGAATTAACTTCTAGAGGCATGATTATCTGAAGCACTTACCATACATTGTTATCATCTTGCTGGTTTCTCGGAAGAGTAAGATGCCATTGGGGGAAGAGACATCAAACTGGAGTCGCTGGGACCTGAGCAGAGAGCACAGGAGGAGAAAAAGTCAGAGGTGTTTTCTTGGAAGACTGGGGTACTTGAGGCTCTCATCTGAGTACCTTGGGTGATCCTGCATTTACATTAAGGTAAGCAATTGCCTATCCTAATATGAGAATAACCAAGTTATAGATATTTAACCATGAAGTAGCTTCTATATTGAAGACCAACATGCTAGATTCAGATTCTGCTGCTCAAATTAAAAACATTTATAAGAAAAAAAAAGCAGCAGTAGATAAAATTACTATTTGAAAATTCTCAATTTTATTTGATTAAAGTATACTTTCTTTTTTTTGAGATGGAGTCTTACTCTGTCGCCCAGGCTAGAGTGCGGTGGCGCAATTTCGGCTCACTGCAACCTCTGCCTCTCGGGTTCACACCATTCTCCTGCTTCAGCCTCCCAAGTAGCTGGGACTACAGGTGCCCGCCACCACGCCCAGCTAATTTTTTGTATTTTTAGTGGAGATGGGATTTCACCATGTTAGCCAGGATGGTCTCGATCTCCTGACCTCGTGATCCGCCCGCCTCAGCCTCCCAAAGTGCTGGGATTACAGGCGTGAGCCACCGTGCCCGGCCTTGATTAAAGTATACTTTCTACCCGTCGCCTCTTGATACTAATGCAGAGCCCTTCAGCCATTAGTTGGCATGGACCTTTATGGCTTCAGTGGCAACTGAGGGAGAGGGGCCAAAGCATTGTTACCATTTTATATGAAGAAAAGATGCATAGGGACTTGGAATGGTCCAAAAGAAGCCAGACAGAGAAGGCCATTTGTAACCATCTTGGTTTTAAGTTCCTGACTCTTTTGTCTGCTCCACATTTTGATGAGCTTTATTAGATTCAAGTTGGTAAGACCTCAAAAGCCCAGGAGTCCTTCCTCCTTCCTCCCCCCCACCACACTGAATCCATCAACATCTAACTCTAAAATAAACCCCAAATCCACCTTTCCCTTACATTCTCTCTGCTTCTACTCTTACCTGCCTTTAGTCCCATTCTTCACATGGTAGCCTTTAAAAAACTTAAATGAGATCATTTTAATCCTTTGCTGAAAACACTCTAGCGGCTTCCCACAGCAATGAGAATAAATGCCCACTCCTCACTACTGCTGTGCGAAGGCACTAGATGATCTGGCTCTGCTCACTGGTCTGACCTGCTCCCACAGCCTCCCCCCACCAACCAGGCTCCTGCCACAAGTCCCAGCAAGCCTGTCCTATCTCAGGACTCGTGCAGATGTTTTCTGTTTAGAAGACTCCTTATCTTTGCAGGGCTACCAGAATCTTTCTTGTCATTTAGATCCTAGTTAATATTACCTTCTCTGAGAGGTCTTCCCTGACCCTCCTGTCCTTCAATTCCCCTCTATTTTACTGCCTTGTTTTATTTTGTTTCATGGCACTTAATCACTGGAAAGATCTTCCATACTTGTTTTTATTGTGTGTCTTCCCCACCATTTGTAACATCAAAGAGGGTAGAGATTTTGTCTGGCATAGTGGCTAGGAAAGTTTGGCAAAGAGTAAGTGCTCTCAAGTATCTATTTTATAAATGAGTAACTCTTGAATATAAGTCTCCTGGGAGGTTATAGCCTCTTTAAATATTACCCACTCCATAAGGTTGTTTTAAAACTTATTAATTCTGCTAGGCCTGGTGGCTCACGCCTGCAATCCCAACACTCTGGGAGGCTGAAGTGGGCGGATCACCTCAAGTCGGGAGTTCAAGACCAGCATGACCAACACGGAGAAACCCCGTCTCTACTAAAAATAGAAAATTAGCCGGGCGTGGTGGCGCATGTCTGTAATCCCAGCTATGTGGGAGGCTGAGGCAGGAGAATCGCTTGAACCCAGGAGGCGTTAAGTTGCAGTGAGCCAAGACTGCGCCACTGTACTTCAGCCTGGCGACAAGAGAGAAACTCCGGATCAAACATAACTAACTAAATAAATAAATAAAATAAAAATAAAGAAAAAAAACCTTACTAATTCTCTCAGGACCGCCATGAGAGACCAATGCCCATACCTGAAATTCTAGGAAAGCTAAGGTGCTAGACTTTTCTTTTTCACTGTCCTTAAATTGTTTTGAAAATCTTGCTCACTTTTTAAAAGTAAATTTTTATTGATCCTGCCACAACCTCTCTAATAAATACCTTTCTTAAGAAAGGGTATTCTAATATCTATCATATCCTTCTCAATGTCTCTAACCATGAAATGTGATGGACAAGGCACCATTACCAGATGTTAATTTCTTATCTGTGGGCAGGAAATCAGAATCTTGGTTGCCAAATTTACTTCTCCTAAGAGTAGACATCTGGAGATTCTTTTTATTTTACTTTTTTGAGACAGGGTCTTGCTCTGTCACCCAGGCTGGAGTGTAATGGCATAATCTTGGCTCACTGCAACCTCTGCCTCCCAGGCTAAAGCAATCTTCCTACCTCAGCCTCCTGAGTAGCTGGGACTACAGTTGTGTGCCACCATGCCCAGCTAATTTTTTGTAGAGGTGGGTTTCACCATGTTGCCCAGGCTGATCTAGAACTACTGCATTCACGCAATCTGCCCACTTCGGCCTCCCAAGAAGCTAGGATTACAGGCATGAGCCACCATGCCCCACTGGAGACTCTTTTTAAAAGTGACTTATTAGATGGGCGCAGTGGCTCACGCCTGTAATCCCAGCACTTTGGGAGGCCGAGGCACGCGGATCACGAGGTCAGGAGATCGAGACCATCCTGGCTAACATGGTGAAACCCTGTCTCTACTAAAAATACAAAAAATCGGCCGGGTGTGGTGGCGGGTGCCTGTAGTCCCAGCTACTCCGGAGGCTGAGGCAGGGGAATGGCGTGAACCCAGGGGGATGGAGCTTGCAGTGAGCCGAGACTGTGCCACTGCACTCCAGCCTGGGAGACAGCAAGACACCGCCTCAAAAAAAACAAGACAAACAAACCAAAAAAAGTGACTTATTTCCTGCAGTTGACTATGGTTTTGTGTAGTTAGGAATACTATTCTTTCACACAAACAAAAACACAAAAACTTTTCGAATTTTAAAATGCAGTAGTGAATCTTATTATTTCCCACAATCTGCCCAAAGCACTAGATACAGCAAATTCTCTCAGATAACAGGGCAGATGTGCCCTTGCAAGCTCTGCCTCCTGCTTACCTATTATGAACCAATTCAGCCATCAACTTGAGTACAGGTGTAGTACAGGCTGGATCATGGTACCAGAGCTCAATTGCCCGTTGGAGAATTGGCATATAGGATGGATATCTGTAAATGAGAAGCTAAGGAAAGATTTCTGATTCCAGAAAGGTACAGAATTTAAAATAGTTTTTCAGCACTAGCCAAGCAAAAACTTGTCAAACTACAGTTCTTTAAGTTCCTGTCTCTTGCTTGCTAATCTTGGAGTCTTTCTAACCAGAAGATACTAAAGTGATTTTGTGTTCTTTAACCTGTGAAAGGCATCTCATAATACATTTTAGTTTACATAGGGCCTTTCTTCTGAAGAGCATGATGTATTTCATACTGTTATTTGTCCTTTCATCACTTCTATGGTATTATATGGGATCAGCTCATTTCCTTTACATAACTATTAAAGAGGCACCTGGATTTGAAATAATCTTCACAAGGGTATGAAGTCAGTAAAGTTAGACTTCCTAATTTGTAAAAGCTGTTTATTATTATTATTATTATTATTTATTTTTTTTTGAGATGGAGTCTCGCTCTGTCGCCCAGGCTGGAGTGCAGTGGCGCGATCTCGGCTCACTGCAAGCTCCGCCTCCTGGGTTCATGCCATTCTCCTGCCTTAGCCTCCCAAGTATCTGGGACTACAAGCGCCCGCCACCACGCCTGGCTAATTTTTTGTATTTTTTAGTACAGACGGGGTTTCACCGTGTTAGCCAGGATGGTCTCGATCTCCTGACCTCGTGATCCGCCCACCTCGGCCTCCCTAAGTGCTGGGATTACAGGCGTGAGCCACCGTGCCTGGCCTTTTTATTTTTTTCAGCAGACTGAAACATCTCTCTAAATATAGCAAAACCAACAGTTCTACAGTGGTATATGGTTCCACAGGCATTTATATTTGAGATCCAAAAGAGAAACTGGGAGACTACTTCATTCATGTTCTAATCTCAGACAACCTTATGTCTGTCATAAGGTGGCTTCCAGGACACATGCAGGCCTTCTGGCTAACTCTTCATCTTCTCTGCCTCACTACCCTCCCTTCCCCCTACACCGTCTCTGGACCCTATCACCCAATCACACTCCAGTTAAGGCAGGCTGTAGTGTGCTCCTAGTTTGAGTTAGGATACATCCATTCAAAGAGCATCATGAAGCTGGTCTTGGCATTGAAAGCGAAAGCGATCCCTCTCAGGTCTCTTACTAGGCCAACTAGAGTTCGCTGTAGTAGAAGGCAAAAATGTGTTAAAATAGAAGAAAAGACAAAACTGTAACAATCTGATGAGGATTCCACACATGTATCATCAAATTCTTTCTCTCACAGTTCAACATATACTCCTTCTCAAATATTCGGATTCAATATCTTCTATGCTAGAATGGCATATTTTCATTCTAGCAGTGGAAGTTTGTTTTGGAAGTTTGAAGTTTGTTAGCTTTGGAAGTTTGTTATGCCAAGAAAATTAGCTTTGGAAGTTTGTTTTGCCAAGAAAATACGTTCCTGGTTCGTAGCAAAAATAGAGGCTGATAAGGTTTTAAGACATTGAAGTAATACATCACATGTAAAAAGTGAAAAAGCTTTGAGTCCACCCAGGGAGGAAAGGAGGGGAGGGAGGGGGAGAGAGGGTGGGGGGCGGAGAGAGAGACAGAGAGAGAGAGAGAGAGAGAGAGACACGGCAAAGAAACCAACTCAAAAAGCCAGAAAAAAGCAAAAAAGAAAAACAGAAGTCCCAAAGAAGAAGAGGTAGAAGAGCCATATATACCCTAAAGGAAGTCAGATGCAGGCCCTGCCAGGAGGAAGACAAAGGGGAGTCTACACAGCACCTCTCTCTTTGGGTGGGCCATCTAGATAAGACTATGTTTAATCAGTACTCTCCATTTGCAGAAAAAGAGACTGAGGCTTAAAGAGGCCAAAAAACTTCCCCCAGTCATGTTGCTAGGTAGCAGGAGGGTCCAGATCAGGACTCATACATAATACCAAGACTCCAAATCCAATACTCACTCTCTCAATAAAACTTTTACTTGGGACATGAACAGCAATAAAACTACTATAAAAATCATAGTTTGGGGGTTGTCTCCAAACGTGGAGACAGAACAACAACAACAACAAAATGTGCTCAAGAAGGTTGTACATTTGGGGATCTTGACACGTTTGGCAAAAACGACATCACTTCTGTTAACAGTCTGCTTGTAAGCAAACAGTTCTCTCCTAAGCTGATACCACAAGCTCAGTTTTCCAGTCTAAGACTTGGTCAGTCTCTTAAAAGACTTTACATGGGACATGACAAAGAAGTGGGTGACAGCTGTAGTCCATTACCAAGGTTGTTCTTTTGGTTAATTTTACTTGCTTTACATGAAACTAATACCATATAATGGGAAAAAGGGCTGATATTCACTGATATCCCTAAATCCTTGATATTGGTTGATACTCTAGCCTAAAGTTGGTAATATGTTCCACAATAACCCAAGCTTTGAATGGTACCTATCTCAGACTCTAAAATACAAGTATAATTAGGGGAGAGAGGGTTGCATTAAGTGTTGTTGCTTTCTGTCTACCCTGCTGATTTGTAGATGGAAAAAGAAAAGGCTAAAGATGAAAAAGGAGAGCTTTAGAATGCTAGGTAAAGCCTGGCATTTTTTTCTGGCAATACCCTGGCTAGCTGGTAGTTCTACCATTCAGCCTTGGTGCCCTGAGGAATACTGTAAAAAGTCCTACCAATAGTAACATCCTGGTGTCTTCTGATTTGGACACAGATCTATACAGGTCAAGAGAACAGTATGTATGAAGTAAAAAGATGAAGAAAGCAACAATCAAGAAATGACAATTCTAAGAGCTAGAAAACAAGAACTTAAAATTCCATATATGTGGAAATTCACTGGGCATCGTGTCTCGTGCCTATAATCCTAGCCACGTGGGAAGCTGGGGCAGGAGGACTGCTTGAGCCAGGAGTTCAAGGCTTGCAGTGAGCTAGGATCATGCCATTGTACTCCAGCCTGGGCAAGAGAGTCAGACTCTGTCTCTAAAAAAAATCAAAAATAAAAACCCATATATGTGGAAATTCTTAAACCTTTCTAAGTGACTCAAGTGTCAAAGAAGAAATCTCAATGGAAATTAGAAATCACAAAAAACTGAATAATGAAAATGTTCCATATTAAAATTATGGATTCTGAAGATCTATTTCACAACAATGTAGAAACTTGACATCACTGAACTGTACATGTAAAAATGGTAAAGATGGTAAACTTTCTGTTTTTTACCACAATTTTAAGAAAACCTAACTTGTCACTAATGAGCAGTATTAAAAATGAAAATGGGATGCAATTAAAGATAAAACCGAGATTAAAAATGCAGTAAGAAAACTGTAAACAACTTTATGCTAATATATTTGAAAACTCAGACAAAAAAAAATCCTAAGAACTACTTAAGTAAATACATTGTAATATAAAAACAGAAGTTTACAAATCTATACTGGTTCTGCAATTCCAAAACCCTAGAAGTCCAAGACATTAAAAAAAGCTATGGCAGTGGATAGTTTACAGTCAAGCACGATTTTCAATCAGAGACTGCCCTAAACCAGAAGCTGATTAATTACTGGGTGAAAGACTCACTCACCTTTGCCTCCTGCTCGTTGAAACTATTGGTGCTAAACATCTGGGCCACAGCCTCAAATGCTGCTGTGAGTGGCAGCATGAACTGCTCATACTGATCTTCATCCTCTCCTGTAAAGGAAACATCCCAGGGTGTAACCCCAATACCAAGAATTCAAAGCTGTGCATATATGGGAAGATGGGATGAAAGAGGAGCAAACCCAGGGGAACTCAAGGGGGTCCCTTTATTATCCCAACAGGTATTAGTAGCAATGTAAGAGCAACATGTATATATAGAAACAGAATTTTTAAACTAGAAGATGACAACAGAAATCACCTAGTCTAGGCTAGGTTTGTTGATGCTGAGCCACAGTATCAAGAGATTCATATGTGTGTAAGGTACTATGTTATTTATTTATCCTTGCTGAGAATTAGCGAGTCAGTGGAGAAAGGACTGAAGCTTGTGCATGAGAACCAGATGAGACTCAAACTTTAATGGGTACGGAGGTTTCATTCACACTTAATTTTTTAAAAAGTCATCTCTCATAAACCTAGAAGGTTTTATGTCATTTTAGTAGGATTAAATTTAAACAGCTCGAAATTAGAGTAATACCACTGAGCTTTAGTTATTAACTGACCTGAAACTGCTAATATCACCACTACTGCTACAAAAGTGATAAAGCCCTTCTGGCTCATCTGTGCTAGAAAACTGGATAATAAAAAGTGGTGTTGACTGTTTCAAGTGGGTTTACACCTCATTGTGGGGTGGAGAAGTTATCTGGCCAAAAAGATACATTTAGGAATCTCAATTCCCTTATTTAACACCCGAAGAATGTGAAGAGAATTTTAAAGCCACTGCGTATCAGATGAAAACTTCAGGAGCAGACTGTTACTCTCTTCCAGTTATAAGGACCTCGACAGCATGATCTGTTCTTGGTGAAATCAGGCTGTTATTTCAGATAGTTTTGTTACTGTTGAAAAAACAGAAAAGGCCTCCCCAACATCTAGTTTTCAGTCCTCAAATAAAAATTTAGAAGAGTGCCAGATGACTTCATGAGCCACTACGATTTCTTACGGTACCTAAATCCACCATGAGGAGACGCCCAAGTGCTGTGTAGAAGGTAGTCCGACACCGCATGTCTGTCAGGTTGGACTGATTGTTAATACCCAAAAATGAAAAGTGCTCGCTCTATTGAAAAAAAGAAAAGAAGTTAAAGGTAAAAACATGAGTTAGAGGCAGAATGCAAGCCAGTAATCAGAGAATTACTGAGCCCTTTCAAGCCAATGGTTATGTAGTCATTCCTTGAGGATCTGAAGGTTTTTTTTTTTTTGAAGGCAGGCTACCGTTGTCACTACTACTAATTTATCTGCAGTATGAGTAGCAGTAGGTGACTTCACCATAACTCACATCATCTGGATCTCAAAGAGCCACTCTGATGACGTAAGTATAATCTGGCAGTATCGTGGGAATCAGGACCACCGTCTTTGCTGTAGCAATACCCGGGACCTCAGTTTACATATCTCCTTTATGTGTCGAGAAAGTGTATGTGTGGGTGGTAGGAGGGCCAGGAAAAAAAGCTAAAATCACTCACCGTGTGATTGTTCAGCATGAACTGTACCGCACTAAGCTTCACTAGCTTCCTTACGCTACTGTACGTGAAGACAAAGGAAGAAGGTCAAGGAAAGTGTGAAGCAGGCCGAAACTCTAAGGCAGATGGAAACTTTCCAGAATAAAGGACAGTTCACCCAAATATCTTATTTTTTAAAAAATACTTGAGTATACCACTGCCAAATATGAAAAAATGCATTCTCTTCTAAGCACTATTTAATCAGTAAGAAAACACCTATACTGGCCGGGCGCGGTGGCTCACGCCTGTAATCCCAGCACTTTGAGAGGCCGAGGAGGGCAGATCACGAGGTCAGGAGATCGAGACCATCCTGGCTAACACGGTGAAACCCTACCTCTACTAAAAATACAAAAAATTAGCCGGGCATGGTGGCGGGTGCCTGTAGTCCCAGCTACTCAGAAGGCTGAGGCAGGAGAATGGCATGAACCTGGGAGGCGGAGCTTGTAGTGAGCCGAGATCGCGCAACTGCACTCCAGCCTGGGCAACAGAGCAAGACTCCATCTCAAAAAAAAAAAAAAAAAAAAAAAAAAAAAAAAAAAAAAAAAAAAAAGGAAACACCTATACCAAACTCCTATTTGTAAGAAAATAGAATAAACCTAGCAGTTTCCCCAAATAATCATGAATAGTCTAAAAGGGCTTTTCTCAGCAGGGGTTCCAAGGGAGAATTAGGCCCTAAACTCCTGCCTAAGAGGCATATATTGTGTATAATGAATGAACTTCTCTCCTATTTAGAATGGTACTAGCTATATACAGTATTTGGAAAAGCGAGAAGAAAGTCACTTCAATAATTTTACAGGGTTTACCCTTCTTGTGGACCCCTGGTTGTGAAAAGCTGCCCTAGAGCAATTCAAACTTTATAGCAGACCTAATTCAAGTCAAGAGGAAGCATAGTCATCACTTCAATCACAAAGCTTGGAATCAGGATGTTTCTACCAACCAGCTGATGGGACAACCTAAGAAGGAGTTTGTCTCTACTACGGATACTAAAACCTTGGTCACACAGAGTATGTACCTATGAGATGGGGCTACTATGCACTTCTGGAACTTAGGAATAGACAGGGATAAATCTGTACTAAACTATCAGGTTGGGTGTCAGCTCATTTTTGGGGTCTGAAATTATTCCTATATTCTGCATGGGCATTGGCGTTTTTTTGGACTCCTAGGAAAATGGAAGATATGTGAGTACACACTACAGCTAAACTGAAGTGGAAAGAGCAGGAGGCCATGATTCTAAGACTGTGGCATGCCAGTTTCTGTTGTGCACAGAAGTTAGCTTAGAAAAGGATATCCAATGGACAGGTCATTGAGAAGCTGTAGTGTCTTGGAGGTGATTGGTTCACAACGGCCCCAGTACTTCAAGTTGGTGATGCTGGAGGACAAAAAGAAAAAAAAAAGCAGGAGACCCTTTTGATTTGCTGGTTTCCTTGAGGGCTGGGAGAAGAAGAAAGTCATTCATCAAAAGTCACCACACATCTGCACCACCAATTCACAGACATCACGACCACAAAAAAAGATGGGTAGGAAATCTCTGTACTTACATTTGGTTGACTAGAAAAATTATCCTTCAGATAATCTTCACTACTTGGTTCCAAAGCTACACTGGCCCATACCCAGGCCCTTGGAATTCTGGGGCACTCCAGGGCTGATTTCTGCAGCAAGGGTAAGAGATTTCTGCGGCAGTGATAACATGCAGACGTATGCAATTCTGCACCTGCACCATCCACTGTCAGCTGCAGAATTCTAGTAGCCCTTGCTTCTGGATTCTTGGCTGGCAGAGTCCTTTAGACCCCCTTTGCTTTTTCCATCTTAAATTATTAAACCAGCTCATGGATATGAGTGTTTAGGGTTGGGACAGTTGGTAGGAGGCAAAATGTCACTCTGCACACAGCCCTGGGTAATATATTTGGCTCCTAGTGTGTGCTTTGATAAATTGAGCTCCTAAAAAGGGAAAAATGTAACCAAAGGGGTATAACGTAAAAAAAAAAATAAAAAAGGGCCAATTAGGAGCTCCAACTCTGAAGACAGTTCAAACAGCAGCACTAGATTTTGGAGACTCAACACTCTTAAAGGGTGTGATGTTTCCTGGGAGGAATAAGCCCATTTTTAAGTGGGGCTTTCCCCTTCGAGGGGATAACGAGAGGAAATCAGCAACAGAAAGTGAATGCCTATGCTGGGCATCCCTGGAGCACAGCAACTGGGTGAGGGGCTGAGCAGCAATTACTGGGGTGGAGGTCTGTTTTGCTAATGACATGACAGAGTTTCACCTGTGATTCCAGAGGCTAAAGAGGAGATTCTGCAAGAACAAAATTAAATCCTTGCCTGTACAAGCCTGGAATGCTCTGGGGCCGGGCCATATCTCTAAGCACAGCTTGTCACACACTCAAATGCACAATTTTCTGACGCAAACGATCAATGCTGGAATACCAGGCACTGGCAGCACAATGCCAAGATCACATTTTACAGTTGCAACAGGAGTGCAAAGGACTCTTGCTGGTGGCAAGCTGAAACACTTACATTTTTCCTATGAAGACGCTTAGGACCATGGTCTCATCATTCAAGCCCAGAACTTCTGAGAGTCGGCGGTACAGCTGGTGTTAAGAAGAGAAAGTAACCAGAACACATGAATTACAACAATCACATCCTGGTACTATTTTTGTCCACACTCATGGGTAAGATGTGGAAGAAAATGGACAAGAATCCCAGAGAGGACTTTACTGAAGGGATAAGCTAGTTTCCAAGTATTACTGGACAGATGCTGAGCAATCTTACTGGTCCCTTTCAATCCTGAAATTGCAAAAAGACAGCCCAAATCTTCTGTTCTGAATATTAATTCATGCATGGAGACTAAGAATTGCCCATTTGTGGGAGAACAACAGATGTTTGGACTGGCCATTTGTTAAGCATATGGAGCACTAAAGAAATGGGCCCAATTCTTTGATGACTCTCCCAGAATTTAAAGACTAAGAGAAAACATTTGGACTGTCCTATTACGTGAAATCTGGAGGTTATGTGAACTATCAGCAACTGTTTCCCTCCATCAGCAATCCCACAAGTGAGAAGTGAGAACTAAGGGGAGCCAATTGAGAGGCTGTTACCTTAGAGGATTTCTGCACTTGGTCCCCAATGTAGATCTTACGAAACTGTTCAAAAAAGCTCAGCATGGCCAACTCTAGCTTCTCATTACCCGCCTGGGCCAAACGAGAATCTGTTAGGTTCATCAGCTGGAGCACCCTGGAGGAAGAGGAGCAATGATTCTCTCAACAGCAGGACATCCTGTTTACTCTAGACAACCCAAGCTATCTTGACATGGTCGTATATGCCTGTACTTGGGTACAGCAACCTCCTGCAACCAAATTCATCTACATAAATGAGGGAGGCAGGACTAGACCAGGAGTTTTCAATCTTTTTGGAGACACATGAAGGATGATGTTCACAGGTAGGTAACACTTCCAGGGATTACTAGCAGAAATATTACCTGTGACTTCATCTCTTTTCTCTGTACCTTCTCCCCAAAAGAAAGGATACTGGAATGCAAGTGAGTGAATGCGAATACAGATGTCATAATAAGTGAGTCATTTGATATTTGAGTGTGGGAATAGTTAACTATTTGTGACACATCATGAGTGAATGAGACTCCATCATTGTGTTGCTACACTCAAGCTCAGAACCAATCTGCAAGACATTGTTTGAACTAAATTTATATTATGACACACACAGTATTGAACTCGGCTGCAGAATCAGAAAGGCATTAGATTTCATTCTTATTAAAGCTCTGCTCAACTCTTCAAAAAATGCCAGTGGGAAAATGCTACGGAGACTTTTGTCAGGATTAAGGGACCTCTGGGCAAATGGGCATCTGATAAACAAAATGGGGGTGGAAAGAGACAAATGAGGATTTTCAGAAGATATATATATTGAAGGCGGGGCGCGGTGGCTCATGCCTGTAATCCCAGCACTTTGGGAGGCCAAGGCAGGTGGATCACCTGAGGTCAGGAGTTCGAGACCAGCCTGGCCAACATGGTGAAACCCCGTCTCACTAAAAATACAAAAATTAGCCAGATGTGGTGACGCATGCCTGTAATCATAGCTACTTGGGAGGCTGAGGCAGGAGAATCGCTTGAACCCGGGAGAACCTGGAACAGGGAGGCAGAGGTTGCAGTGAGCTAAGATAGCGCCACTGCACTCTGGCCTGGGTGACAGAGCGAGACTCCATCTCCAAAAAAAAAAAAAAAAAAAGTTTTGATAAAATGAGAATTGCACAGATGAAAAATAACTTGAAATGTATGGCCAAGAGATTTGAAAGGCTGTAGGAACTCTGTAATTCCATCTCTGGTGAACTTTAAAGAACTGCAGTTTCCTTTTAGACTTATTTTGGGATGGCAAAAGCAGTCCATATTTTACTAACTCTGAGATACTATTCGTAAAAAGACCTAACAGAGAATCTCTGCTTTAGTTTTCCTAATTCCGTATCCATTATTTCCTTTCTGAATTATTGCTGGTTTTTTATTTTAAAGTAAAGATCATAGGCAGAGTTATCATGGCACTTACAAAAGCCTTGAAAGCTGTGTCTCATGGGCAGTTAGCATGTTCAGATTACGTTCTGTAAGTGGAGAGGACCCTATCGGGGAGTGGAGAAGTGCCAGCAAGGCAGAGTGGAGAGCTTCTGTGGGGAGCACTTACCGACAGACAAGCTCACCATCCATGGCGTCTTGCTCATCAGTGCTGGCAAAAGAAACCCGGCCACCGATCACTGCTCCAATAATGTAAACCAGCCATGTCAGCCTTCCTGCAGCAGGAGACAGACCCAGTGTCACCTCCAGTGATAGTTTCTTGAAGACATTCCTCACTCTGAACTTCCTTAATCTTAAGAACACTGTGGTGAAACCATGAAGTCTTACTTTTCTTACAGAGAATGGCTACTTCTCTGCTTTGGTAAGGGCAATGCTAAGAGGGAAATTCGTTAGGTAACCAATGTTCCTGTATCAGACAAGGCCATTATTTTTAGTGTAGTATTTCCTTAGAGTTAAAAACACCCAAGCTGGGCACAGTGCCATGTTACAAACACCAGCCAGGCCCGGTAAAAAGAGGAAGCCCAGGTTACTATCTGTACTTATCTCCCTGTTTCCCCTGGCCCTTGATTTAGCAGTCATAAACCTCTTGGCCTGGTCCCAGCTGTGCTGTGGGGCATTAAAAAGCAGACAGGAGCCAGGTGTGGTGGCACATGCCTGTAGTCCCAGCTACTTCGGGAGGCTGAGGCAGGAGGATCACTTGAGCCAAGAAGTACAAGGCCCACGTGGCAACATAGCGAGACCTCATCTCTTAAAACAAAATCCCACTGCAGATGTGATTTCAGTTCTTCTTCCCTAGTCCCTTGAGGGATTTATTCATTCATAAAGATTCTTGTGCATATGGAGACAACAGATGATGAAAGAATCCTTTTGCAGGGAGGTAGGAAAGAGGTGGCAATGAGCGAAGGGGTACTAGACAACATCTCCTCACAGGTCTAGAGTTCCCAGCACGCTGCACACTCACCCTCCTGCACTGCAATGTCCATTGGGCTTGCGCTGGCGCTCTGTAGCAGCTCCTGGTACGACTGGGCCGACTGGTCAAACAACTGCACGAGGAGTGCACACGTCTTCTCATATTCACAACGCCCAATGGTGGACAGCTGGTCCAACTGCTGCTGGACCAGCCCCGTATCCTCCAGGGGATCTTCCAGGCCATCTCTATTCCCAAGGGAAGAAGGAAGGCAGCTCTCTTAAAATATGACTACTGATTTGCCCAATATAGCAGCTCTCTGACTTCTTCACTTAGCCACCATTTCTGACTGTAGAGGTCTACATCCCGACATTACTTTTAACCAAGGAAGAATGTTTAATGAGGCAGAAGGCCAATGTCTTCGCCCTAGCATCAGTCTCCCTTAGGTATATTCTGCTTGTTGGTGTCAAATCTTACAATCTGAATTCTCAACTCTTAATGTTTTTCTGCCTTAAACCTCAAAGTCCTGCCCTTCTCAACTGTCTGACCTCTTGACTCTTAGTCTTTCGCTTGTTCTTGACTATAGTAAACTGTAGGATAAGTACACAGTCCTGTGTGGGAGGCCATTGTGGCCAGGTGTGTCTTGGAATTCAGAACTGTTCAAATTGGAGGAAGGCAGTATGATGCTTCTACCATATCATATAAAACCCTTGATGGGCTTTGTGGCACATCAAACTCAACGTTCCTGTAGCAAAACTTATGAATATTATAAATGGTCATACTAAGTAGGATTTTAAAAAAACTACAAATGGTCTCATACCAACTCCCGTCCGGTTTTGTAACAAGTGAATTCTAATGCCAAACTGATGAGGAAATTTCTTTTGTCACATCTTTGACTTTGGAATTGCAGACAAGGCATTGTGGCCCTGTACTAGGTCTTGCCTTATCTGCCAGCTCCTAGATTTTAACATCTTGTCCAATGAGGAGCTCTTCTGTTGTTACACTGCAATATGATAATGGCAGCAGCAGCAGCAGCAGGAGCAGCAGCACTAAAACTAGCTGTGTGCTTACCATGTGCTACACACTGTGCCAGGTCATATTAATTTAATCCTTGTAAGAACCTTATGAGGCAGGCCTATTATTATTTGAATTTTACAAATACAGAAATGGAGCAACTTGCCCAAGAGTACAGAGCTACTAACTGGCTATCCGGCCCCAGAGCCTACAAACATGTAACCACTCCCCAACAATGCCTCACTGAAGCCAGCCGAATCCTCAGGAGTGGAAGCTATGGAGGTGACAGAAGAAGGCTTGCTGGTGAACTTCATGAATACTCAGATTTTGAACTGATTCAAGTCATCAACAGTTAAGACTATAACTCATGACTATTCAATGCACTTGGGGCTAAGCAAATTAAGAATCCAACTTAAAAAGGCCCCAGACCCTTAGACTCCAAGTAAATTCTCTTGACAAACAGCCAGTGAAAACAAGAAAGCTACCTAAACAGGGCTATAACTTCATTTAATATAGGTAATTTTTGAAAGGGCTTGACATTTCTTTAGCTACGGGATTTTGGTTCAGTTAAGTCAATGTAGACAGAAACCATGTATGAATGTAAAGCAATCAGTGATCAGTGGCTTAGAATTCTTATGTGTTCTAGCTCTGGAATTAGAATTGATAACTAGATTGTGTAATCTTTATCCACTTATTTCTTTAGGAGTTCACATTAAGCACCTATAAGTTACACATAATTCTTATCATCTATATCTTATAAATGTTTCTCACATTGAAAGAAAAACAGCGGCAAGGACAAACATTATATGGATATACTCTATTCAAAGATATTGCTATGGACAGTGAAAAGGGGGAATATGAATAGAATATAAATGTTCAAGAGACAAGACTATTCTATCAGGCTTTATGCTCTCATGCTACTCTGCTGACAAGGAAGAAGAACCATGAACAGTAGTGGCTCCAATGAGACACGCTTCGAGTACCTCTTTGCCAATGGGGTGTCTGATCTCTAGGAAGTGTGACAACAGGCCACTGGTGCGGGAATGAATGAGGCTAAGTTTCCTTACCTCAGTATGATGTGCACAGATTCCAACCGGGATGTGATGTAGGCTTTGGTGACCTCAGGAGTGTAAGTTTCCAGCATGTGGGGCTCTGTGGCTTTGACATACGGCACAGAGGCTGCCAGCCGCTGCCACAGGCTCAGAAGATAGTGCACACTATTTGGAGCAAATTCCCAGTGCTAAAGAAAAGTAGAAAAGCAGAAGGCATATTTTTCATTTCTGTACGTGTTAGTCCCATGCCACTGACACAGAAGATAAAGACTTTTTTCTTTTTTTTAAAAAAAGAGGATAGACTTTTGTGGGCTTTGTTCTGTGTATGGCATCTAGTTTAATGTGTTTATTAGTATTTTCAAGATTAAGCATCTAATGAGAAGGGCTACTCTATGCTGGCTGTGTAAGCCTTACCATAAGGAAAGCCATATGTAAGTGGGTCTCAACCATTAGTATGCATGACAATCACCTGAAGAACTTGTTAGAAACACCAAGGCTCTACCCTGGACCTACTGAACCAGAAATTATGGGGATAAGACTCAAGAATCTATATTTTTTCATCAGTCCCCTAGATGACTGTGATACAAGCCATAAAATTTGAGACCCATTGTTCTATATTACATGACTAAGAAAGAGAGGGCATCAACTCTCTTTTTACTCTTCTGTCTAGCTCCCTGTTCCGACCTTGGCTTTTTTGGGGTGACTATGAGCTAATTCTCTCTGGGATGAATCTAAATATTATCCTAGTAATTCCCACATGTTCCTCTCCCCACACTACTTGCACTTGTGTAAATGTAAATCACAGGCCACAATAGTAACTACTCTGTAGGGCTATACTGGACTTATGGTTACCTTTGCCAAGAAAAAAAAATATATTCTTACATGGTTAAAACCAACAAGCAAGAGATTCCAGTATTTAGGAAGGAAGACACAAGTAATCAAAGACAAACCTGTAGGCTGGTCACTGTGAAGTTGGCTATCAATCGGATGACCTCAGGGTAGTTTTCCACCTTTACCAATTCTCCCAGTTGATAGTTACTCTTCAATCGGGCCAGTAGTCTGCAAAACTCATGGTAATTGTTTGGGTCTGATAAACTCTGGCAGTAGCAGAGGAGAAAAATAAAATGTAAAATGTGCCTTAACATACTTCAAGAATGATGTATACTTGAGATGGCATGGGGGAAGGGGTAGAATCTACTTTTTAACTTCTGGGCTGCAGGTCATGATTCAGAATGATACGTCTGCATAATGTTCAGAAACAATTTTTTAAAGTCACTTTGAAAAGGGACAGTCACATTTATTATCTCATATGTTCACAATAATAATCACATGAGATGACATTATTAGCCTCAATGGACAGAGTTTGAAACAGAAGCCCAGGAGGATCACACTGAGGCTGTAAAGCTCATTATAGCAGAAGTGGGCACGACCTAAGACGTGACTGACTTGTTTTCTTATTGTTACCAATCAAAGGAAATCTAATGAAATTTTCATTTCCACGTCTGTCAAACTG